>NC_000023.11:17592033-17895063 GCF_000001405.40 Homo sapiens
GTGTACATGTGCATGCAAATACACATATGTATAATAGTGTGCAGTCACTGTAATAATCACTGTATACCTGTCTATCTCTGTCATTTTATTTAGGCATAGTCCATAGACTCAACCATATTATACATTCCTTGGAGATGATCTTCTGTGTCTTTTGTACTTCAGTATAATACTATCCAGAGGTGTTGGAGCCATTAGCACAATTTAGGCTACTTTCTTTGTAAGCCATGATTGAAAACAATGTCTGACTCATTTGGGTCCTTAGACTCAGGACTTTGTTTGTAGAATATTGTTCTATATTTAGCTTTTGTGTCAGCCCTAGGTTTTAAAGAGGCCTGAAGATTAGTGGAAACTTACCCCCTGGGTATTCTAGAATGTTCCATTGAGAGGTAATTAAGGGGAAGAAAAGGAACAACTTGTGCTCCCCAATTGGCAAGCCAGCGACTTGGTTATATATTTCTGTTTGCTGGAGCAAAAGAGCTTTGAATTCTATCCCATTTTAACATCGTCTCAACAATCACCAAGGTAGTTTAATAATGGCACCTTCGAACTTTGCCTGGCAAATGGAAATCTGAGGATAAGCCCTGAAATGTTCTCTATAGTCCATTTGAATGTTCTATCAAATTTATTCATTTTGACAATGACTTTTTAAAAAAAGAGAAATGTGCCAGGAAATGATAATTTTAAGTGGACCTTAGGAATGTTATAATAAAGCCCAGTGCTAGGACAAAGCAAGGACCAGCTTGGTGGAGGGTTTTGGAGGCAGACCAATGGGGTTTGATTTTTGACACTGCCAAGCTGGGAAGGAAGAAGTGCAGGGGGTATAGACAGGGCAGATGGGCCCTAGATGGTTGTTACATGTGTGTGATGGGTATGTGGAATTTCATGGTAAAGTTCTATCTACTTTGGGGTATGTTAAAAATTCATCATTCACCATAATAAAAACCTGAACATTTTTCCAAAAAAAATTTTTAAAAGAAGAAGGAAACAAGCTTGGCCAAGGACATTCAACAAGTAAGTGGCAGAGAAAAGCAGCAGCATGTAATGTAAGAGCATACTTATTGAAACATCATGGCACAAAATTAAAATGAGCACAGGCTTTGAAGTAGGATATGAGTTCAAGTTATGACTCTTACTCCATTTGTAAACCTTAAGTCACTTAACCTCTCTGATGTCAACAGTCCCCTCCGCTATAAAATGAGGATACAACACTCACCTCCCAGAGTTGCTGCCACCATGAGAAATTAACATATATGTCAAGCACCTAGAACCCTATTTGGCCTTGATAAGCATTCCTGCTTTTATTATTAATATAGTAAGCAGATTAAGAATCCCAGTGGATTCCAGTGGGCCCACTGGGAAGGAACATATTTTGGAGTCACCATTCCTTTGGTCTTCAGGAAAACAGGAGCTCTTCAGGCACATGGGGAAGACCAGCCAAGAAGTCCCAATTTCTTAGAACTTGGTAGTTTGGGGGTCTCTTTCAGGCTGCAGCAACTTAATGGGGATGATTTCCCATCAAATCTCAAGGGATACCTAGTTGTTTTGATAGGAGAATGCAAGAATCCTTCACACAGGAAGGACTTCAAGAATAAACGACTTATCAGTGTGGAACTGAGCCCCTGATCTCCTGTTTCCACCTCCATCCAGGTACCCCTGGATTCCCAAAGGTAGAGGTATGCAGCTATTGTCAGCAATGAGCTGTAAACTTCTTACATGTCTATGTCTATGTCTGTTTTACTTCTGTATCCACAATACCTGGCTCACAAGGGATACTAAGGTTTCGAGGGGTTTTTTGATGAATGGATGAGTAGATGGACAGATGGATGGGAAAGTAGGTGGATGGATGGATGGATGGAGGAAACTGACCTGAAGCGGGATGCCTGTGTGTCTGTGTGTGCTAAGAGTAGAGTTTTCTTTTTCAGTTTCTTTTTCATACCTGTTTGTCCTTTTTTGAAGTCTCCACTAAGGAGAAGCACCTACTATATACCAGATAGTCTACCACTGAGTACCTATTGTGTACCAGGTAGGATACAATGAACATCTAGTTTTTATATTATTTAATCTTCCCAACAACTCTGTGAGGTAGGTCTTATTAACACCACTTTACAGATGAAGAAATCTATGTTCAGAAAAGTTGAATAACTGGCCCGTGTTTACCCACTTTATATAATAAGTCCATGCTCTTTCTGGTACACCATGCAATGTAAGCATTCCTATAGCAAAAGCAAAACAAAACCAAAACCAAAACCAAAAACAAAAAACACGCCAGTGTAGAAGTGAGGAAGGGGGTCACTAACTCAAAGGCAGAAGAAAGTCCAATGGAAGAAAGGGAGTCTTTGCTTGGATATCTATGAGAGGGTGGGTGGCAGGTGAGGGAGGGCATGGATCAGTAAAGGGAAGATAGAGGTACCTGGCAGTCTTACACGCCAAGGCTTCTCCTCCAAGTGGAATTCAGTCATTGGTTGGAAGGAGTAAGGTGGGTTACTCTGTCTCCGTTCTGCCTGGGGTACCCCTGGGATCAGGCTATTCCACCTGTCCAGGCAATCTCTGTCAACAAATTCTAAGGCAATTCGGAGGCAGTGGGGGAGACTGAAGGTCTTGCCTGTCCTATTGTCTTTGTTTAGGTTCAGAAAAAGAAGCAAACAGAACAGGAGAAGACACTGAGACATTGATTCTTGTGCACGCCCTTCATTGAGAGCGTCCTCTCAGAAGGGGCATAAGGGAAGCAGGCTGTGACTGGGGAAAAGTTCTAAGCAAGTTTGTGGCCTTAGCTAAAGACTAGCTACAGTGCAATCTCACTGCAGCAGGAATTGCACCACAGAGTTGATCCCACCTTGAAGTAGGGCACTGGCCTTTTGTACCATGCTATCAGCCAGTCATTAGCTATGGGCTGCCTCTGGGAGAGGAGGAATCACCTTCTGAGCTAGATGATTCCCATTGGCCAAGGGCAATTCTCCAGAGAAGTGAGTTGCTTTTAGCAGCCAACACTCATAGCTGGTGGGGAGGAGGATTCCACCAGAGTTAAGGGGATCTGGGTGGATATCAACAGCAGCCACTACACCCACCAAGCTGCTATATATGTTCCTGCTGACATGGAATATATGTAGAAGTTCTGTAGGGATTTTGGCTCTTCTCATTCAGATGCAGGCTGCCTTGCTGGGTGCAGATAGCTCACCTGCAAGCTCATTCTTTGATCCTGAAGAGTGGGTACCAAGCAAGGATCCTTTCCATGAGACTGATGGTATAGACACTTTCCCTACCCATTCTTTGTGAGCCATCTGCTGCTGAAGTCCTCCTCTGTCTCAGCTGAGATTTAATGTGGCAACATCTGCCCTAGGGTTTTGACTTTAATGGCATTTATCATGCACACTTCCCTTTGATGTAGGACAGCCAACCTCATGACATCTTCTGTCTTCTATCTCCAGGTTTTATTTCTCCTCTTAGTTTAGATGTCCCTCATATTCTCTCTAAACTCCTGTCCAACCCTTCCCTCTCAAATCTTGTTAATACTTAACCTGGGGTCAAGGTTTCTTTGGGCGCAGAACAATGAAAAGGCAATTAGCTAGCTGGCTTTGAGTGCTAAGGGAGTGAAAACTGGTTATGACTCTAACTTGAGACATTCCTAAGAGTAGGCCTTTCCTGTATGGTCAAGACTGAAAGAAATAAACGGATGTGGGCTTTTTTCTTGCCTTTAGACTTTATGGATTAGTCATAGGATCTTGTTGAAATTATTCAGTCCAGAAATAAGTGATTAACATTTAACTTCTTTAATGGGCAATTACTCAACAGCTATGCCAGTGGGTAAATATTTACTTATCATCTATTCCAAGGAGTGAATGTTAACTTGAGTCAAACAGTTACTTGTGTTGGTTCTTTAATAGCGGAAAAGTGAATTTATATGGCTCTAGGAGTTCCAATTTCCCACCAAATAAGAACTTACTGAAGGATGTTCAGAGCCCTGGGCTGGAGTTAAATTACAGACAATTTGCTTACCTACTCCCTCCCTCCAAAAAAAAAAAGATGAAGATTTTTTGTACTCACCACTATTTATTGAAATCTGGTAGCTTCAAATCTCACAAAGCCAAACAAATTCACTCAGTTTTTCAGTCTGTAGGTCTGTGACAGCCTCTGTTTACCACAAAACTGCCTGTATCTTGTCACTATGGATGCAAGTCAAGACAGAGGCAAAGTCTGGATGATGAATGGCTTGTTCTTAGTAATGTGCTTGTAATTGTTCTTCCTTAGAATGGGAAGGATGGCTTGGGAGGACCTGTCTATCATAGAGGGACTTGGCAGCTTCCAATCTCTTTGCTTGCTTGTCTACAATGCAGCCAATGGGACTAATTCAAATATCCCAGACATGCCCAGATGGATACACAGAGCATATGGCTTGAAGACTCAGTTATGGAAATAACAGGCACCATTTCTGAGACTTTCAATTCACTTCCAACAAATATATTTTAATCAACAGGCAGGAAACCAAATTAAAAGTTGAAGCATGAACCAAGGTCAAAGGTTAAGGGTTAGGATGTGGGATTTTGGTGTTCATGCTCCAGGTTTGGCCTACCATGCAGAGAGGTCAAAGATGACTGCACAGGGAACCATTGGGAGAGAGGAATGTGGTATTCCAGTTTGTAGAAAGTTTGAGAGTCTGGAATTTGGTATATTAGTCAGTGCCAGCCACTCCAAGTCTCAGGGGCTTCACACAAAGTTTATTTCTTGTTCATGTCACATTCCAGGCATGGGAGTGGGGAAGTGAGGGATCAGGACCTGTGTTCCACGCAGGCATTCAGACTCCCAGGCTCCTTCCATTTTATGACTTCCCTGTGCCCTAAGGCCTCCAAGTCCACCTCAGCTACTGCATCCAGACTGCAGATGAGGCAAAGAGAAAGTGTGGAGGATAGCGTGGAGGTTTTATGGGCCCACCTATATTCTGGCCAGAACTGTCACGTGGCCCCACTAACATGCAAGGGAGGCTGGGAAATAGAGTCATCTGTGTGCCCAAGGTGTAAAGGGAAATGTTTTGGTGTAAAACTAGCCAGTGTGTCATACACGGCTTCAGGAACTTAAGACTATTCTTCCGTTTTTTTTTTTTTTTTTTTTTGATACGGAGTCTTGCTCTGTCACCCAGGCTGGAATGCAATGGCGCGATCTCGGCTCAGTGCAAGCTCCGCCTCCCGGGTTCACGCCATTCTCCTGCCTCAGCCTCCCAAATAGCTGGGACTACAGGCGCCCGCTACCATGCCTGGCTAATTTTATTTTTTTGTATTTTTCGTAGAGACGGGGTTTCACTGTGTTAGCCAGGATGATCTCGATCTCCTGACCTCGTGATCCGCCCACCTCGGCCTCCCAAAGTGCTGGGATTACAAGCGTGAGCCACCGCGCCTGGCTATTCTCTTTTTTTTTTTTTTTTAAGAAAAAACAAAAAACTGGCAGGGGTAGGGACAAGGGATACACTCTTCCTCAGTGAGCATTTGGAAGAGAGCTGGAGAAAGAGCAAAAGAAGAGAGCAGGCTAGAAATGACTTAAAAATTAGTGGGATATTCCTGGAGAGTTGCCAAGCTAGAGGAGATTCACTTCCACTCATAATGGGAGATAAAAATTGTTCTCATTTGGGTTTATTTTTTTTCCAGGCACAGGCTTTAGAGGGTGAGTTAAACTTCCTAAAGCAAAGGATTAGATAAGAGGGAACTCAGCTTTGATTGAAGAGCCAGCTGTGTCAGAAAGTAACAGGGAGAGGAAGAGTGGGTCGAGCCACACCGCGGGTACCTGATTGTGGTGGACTCTGGAGGTTGCCTGTAAAAGGAGACACTCCTCAGGCTCCTCATTCACTAGGGATGTTCAGTGAAGAACAAACCCAAGCGAGAGAGGGTGCCCAGAATGATCGCAGGCTCATTTCTAGGAGGGTAGGACACTCCTGCTTGATTCTCTCTCTTCTCTTTCTTTTCTTTTCCTGTCTATGAATGCAGCCCTGTCTTAGTCAGCTCTTTTTGGAGGAGACCTGTGATGGAAGGGAAGGTTCTGACTGGGAGCTAGAGGAAAGGCCAGGGTTCAGGGCCTGCCCTACCCAGCAGGTAGACTCAGGGGGCTGTGTCCTGGCATGGGTCCTGACTGGATGGCACTCTCCCTCCCCAGCAATTCCAACAGGCCTTCTTGGGCGGACTCTTTTGTGGCAGTTCCTGGCAGTCCCAGATGTGGCTCGTTGTCAAGCCTCTGGACCAATGCCCGGAGCCTGTTGGGAGTCCAGACTCCAAGTCAAGAAGAACAGAATTAACTGGCCAGGCGCCAAGATAATATTTTTCCCTCATAAGCAAGAATGCTGCCTAGGAAATAAGTTTAACTCCTTTCTTATTTCCTTAACTCTTCTTTAGTCTCCTTTAAAGTAGTTAGTGATCATCAAAAGACATTTTTAAGTGTGCCCCCACAAAGAAAACTTTTATTTAAAAAACACTTATATGATGCCTACCCTGTGCCTTACACTAGCGTTGTACAAATATTAACCTATTAGATTGTCACAACAACCCACAACAAAGGTACTATCATTATCCTCACTTCACAGATAAGGGCATACAGGTGAAAAAGGCTTCATGGCTTCCCTAGGGTCATGCAGCTTACAGGTGGTAAACCTGGGATTTGAACCAAGGCAATCTAGTTTAGAGTCTATATTCACTGTATTGACCCTTTCTATATTCACTATATTGACCTTTCTTTCCCCAAAGAAAACGTGGATTGCTTTCATAAAATGGTATACATATAGAAAAATGCACAAATCCTAAGTGTACACTTCCTTGAATTTTCACAAACTGAACACACCTAAGTACCTACTCTCCTCACAAAAAAACCCCAAAGATCACTGGCCCCAGAAGAGCCCCTTCATTTCACTCCCCACCCCAAGGATAACCCGTATACTGATTTTTCCTTCATTGATTAGTTTGAACTGTTTTTTGAACTTGTATAAGTGGAATAATACAGCCTACTTTCTCTTGTGTCTGATTTCTTTCCCTCTGCATCACCCTGGTTGTTGAGTATAGTTCAAATTTCCTTCTTTTTGTTGCTTTGTAGTATTTCATTTTCTGAACATATCACAAGTGATTTATGAATTCCATTATTGATGGGCATTTTGCTAATATCCAGTTTGGGACTTTACAGAGAATGCTGCTATATACACATCTTTTGGTGAACACATGGATATAGTTCCATTGAGTATATACCCAGAAGCACACAGCCATAGGGTAAACAAATATTCTGCTTTCACAGGCACTGCCAAGCAGTTTTCCAGAGTGGGGGCACCAATTCACAATCCCACCAGCAGTGTGCAAGAGTTCCAGTTTTGCTAACATTTGGAATCTTCTGTCTTTTAATTTATAACCATTCTGGTGGGTGGCAGAATTTTTTTTTTGCTTTCTTCTGTTTTAAGAAAAATAGACTTTATTTTTTACCACAGATTTAGATTTACAGAAAAATTGAGATGATAGTAAAGACAGCTCCCATATATCTCCCACCCTATTAACATCTTACATTAGTATGGTACATTTCTTAACAACTCATGAACCAGTACTAATATATTATATACTGATATATTATATATACTAATATATTATCATTCACATAATTATTTTTAAATTGCAAACACATCCAAAAAATGAATAACAATGTTAATGTCTTTTATATAAAATGAGGACCATTAGATAACAGTTTGCCAGTTACATTATTTAACGGGATGGGTTGATGACTCTAGTACCGTTCTTTGCTGGATAAAGTCAAAACCACCAGTTGATGCAGGGAAGTTGTTACCTAGCATAAACCTTTATGATGATCATTCTGTATCAGTGGGGCTCCTATTTAAATGTCCATTCTTGTGCCCCTCCCCACACTAAGAATCAAAACCTCTGGAGATGCAGACCAAGAATGTGCCTTTTGATCAAGAAATTTCAGGTGGTTCTAATACATCCTAAAGCCTGATAACCTATGTTTTAGACATAGGAAAGCAAGCCCAATAAATGCCTGTAATATTTTAAGTCTAGGGGGCATATCATTTTCTGGGCTGGGCAGCTAGTACTAAGACACTAATTTAGTTCTGATTTTAATAATGTAAAGGTATATGGATAAAAAGGCCGCCTGTCAATACCAGAGTTCTAAGGAGGATGACTCTTGAGTTAGGTTTCCCAAGACCTTGAATAAAAAAGTTTGCGCTGGAAAAGTTAAATGATGCTGCCAACCCCAGGGGGCAAGGCAGCTGAGACAGAGAGAGACAGAGAGAGAGAGAGAGAGAGAGAGAGAGTGAGTTGGGGATTGTGGCTCTTTGGCATCTCAAAAGGAGCTTGAATGTCAGACAGGGTGTGGAGGACAGCAAGAAGAGATCAGTGTGTAAAATATTCCAATGGAAAATTCCAAAAAAGCGTCAGCCACAGCTAAATGGGACAAGAAACAATATACGTTAATTTAAGACGACGCCGTCAATTTAGTGGCATGTTTATTGAAATAGCCCTTTGCATTCTAAAAACAGCACTAGGGTATGGACCTCTGAATCCTTGCAGGAAACTGTACAAATTCCTAGGAGGGAACAGCAGCCCCAAATCTGACTTTAATAACAAAAGGCAATTATTTTTAGTATTTTCCAGTAGATCTCAGCTGTCTGGTATTGTCAGGCTCTATTCATGGAGAGGTGGAATTTGGAGAGAGTTAGTTCAGTGAATGGTGAGTGGGGGAGGGAGGAAAGGAAGGAGGAAAATAAGGCAGGGAAAAAACACAGAAAGGTTGGGTGGGGGAGCGAGAAGGAAGGAGAGAAGGAGAGAGAAAGGAGAGAATGAGAATATGAGTGGGAGCTTGTGAGCTTTTCCACTCTGGTACTATTATCTGGCATGATGGCCCTCAAGGCAAGGTGCCAGTCATATAATAATAAATGCCAAGATCAAACCTCTAGGAACAAATATAAAGGGACTCTAAAACAAGCAATTTGTCAGACTGGTTTCAGGGTACGGAGAAACATAAAGAACTTGGGAGAAAGTAAGTCACCGATAAATTCTCATGGAAACAACAGGAAAGCCATTATAGGTGCTAGCATTGTAACTAATTAAGAAGTGGTAAAACCATAGAGGGGGTGGCATTGGAGGGGATGGTGGCAATAGGTTATGAAGGAGAGGAAGGGTATGGAATTAATTTTTTAAAAGCTGCTTGGAAAACCCAAACTTGTAGATTCAGCAGGTTTGATGGATGAATACCTAGGTGAGGAAGAGAAATGGACATTGTGTTTCTTGCCAATTGTGTTTTGCGAAATCATGGAGAAGCAGGAAGGTTGTCAAGTGGAGAGATGACTCTGTAGAGCATTTGTCATTTATAGGAGGTAAAGCACAATCTTGTCAATAACAGGCCAGAAAAAGAACATTATTTTGTTCTCAAAGTAAGGAATAAACATGGAGGAAAATACTAAAAGATTCTAGGTGTGGTGGAACTGTTTATGATGGGCAGTTTCCACATCTTAAATCAAGACAAATGGATTTGATGATGGAAAGGAGCCATCATCCTTAAAAACTTATGTAACTGTTGGACAAGGAAGAAGAACATTATGTCTAGAGCTTTAAAAGATGTTTCTATGGTGTCCTAGGAAATCTTGTGTGGAAATTCATCCAGATTGGCTTGGATACTAGCAGTCTCATGTAGATTTTTCAAGTGGCTTAAGGAGCACAGTCCGCAAACGATAATTCATAGAAACATTTCAGCCTGGGAGGAATATAACGACTTAGTTTTTAAAGGTTTGCTGTTCACTGGTGCTTCATTCGATCCCACCCTCGATACTCTGGGAAACACTGTGAGAGATACTAGCCTCTTTTACATAAAAGGACATATAAACTCAGAGGCATTAAGTCACTGTCTAAAGTCACAAAGCTTATTTAGAAGCTCAGATCAAGTTCCCAACTATTGTTATTTAACCTTGAGAGTCACTTTTCAACACGTTCTCTTACAAACTTGGCTTTAACATATAAATGTGAGGTGTCAGTGCATGCCAGGAAGATAAGAGGATTGCAACCAAAGTCCTCCTGTGGAGAGCTGTTGATTAAAACAGCAAACAATTCCTCCTTCTAAATAATGCAAGCTAGGATTCCTAAGGAATAGGATTGGTGAGATCAGGCATAAGAACTGATCACACACACAACAACAACAACAACAAACAAACAAACAAACAAAAAAACAGAGAACCAAACCTATGTGGCTCTCAAGGCATTCCTTGGTGAACTAGGTGATAATCTGAGAAATCATTTTAGAATCTTCCCAGGAAAGCATACTGAGTGCTTAGAACTGGTAAGGCAGGGAAGAGATGAAGAATCACCCCTTCCATCCACATGGCCTCTGGTCTTTGGTAATAACTGACAATGTTTCCTACTGTGCCTCAGAAATTGGGTGGGGCAGGCTTTCAAGGATGAAAAGGGGAGATTGCTCAACTGGAGAGGGCCCACTATACTCTAAGAAAGGAGTGAGTCTCTGGAAGGTGCCAATGGGACACTGCTAGAGAAAGGTAGTGTATTTGCTGCAAATGGAGAGGAGATAAATATCCTAGTGAGATACCTATGACCTTGCATGGAAAACAGTATGGAGTAGCCTAGCATGGATGCTGCAAGTGGCTTGCTGCTTTACTAAGCAAGTTAACTTTGACTTTTTTTTTTTCTCTGAGAACTGAGAACAGTATTTAGGGAAAGAGAAAGGTTCAAAGACAGAAGGCAATGTTTATGGTTCTTTTTTTTTACATTTTTAAACTTTTAATAGACAAATAATAATTGTGGATATTTATGGGGCACAACTACAATTTTTTTTTTTTTTTTTTTTTTTAAAGACGGGGTCTTGCTCTGTCACCCAGGCTGGAATGCAGTGCTGTGGTCATAGCTCACCGCAGCTTCTAACTCCTGGGATCGGGTGATCCTCCTGCCTCAGCCTCCTGAATAGCTGGGGTTACAGGCATGTACCACCACGCCCAGCTAATTTGTAAAATTTTTCTTTTGTAGAGACAAGGTCTTGGTATGTTGACCAGGCTAGTTTCCGACTCCCAGTCTCAAGTGGTCCTCCCACTTTCACCTTCCAAAGTGTTGGGATTACAGGTGTGAGCTGCTGCAACCAGCCTATAATTCTTTAAGTGGGGTTTCTTCTGTGTGTGTGTATGGGGGGGCCCTTAGAACATGAGGCTACTTGGCAACAGCCCAGCTGCTGTTAACATGAGAAATTTGTTAAACTTTTAATTTCCATTTTTATGTGCATTTGTGCACACATTTGTATTTCTTTTCTTTGGAATTTAGCAACGGTGATTTTAGGCTTGGGGGTTTAAATCAAGATAAACTACTTTCCTTCTTTCTGAAGAGTGAATTCAAGAAATACGGTGGCCAAGAGCCAGAATAGTCTCAGACGAAACATACTGGCTTCATTTGGAGATACTGAATTGATTCTTGTAACCATTTCAAATCTCTCTCCAAGACATTTCAGAGCTCAGAAAATAGAACAAAAGGAATTTGCTTTTTTTTTCTCTTTCCAGAATCTACAGCTTCTCACCAATGCCTACCAAACCTACTATACAGTTAGACATTTCTTCATTTATTCACATACTCATTATTAATGGTTCAAACAAAGAACATAATAAAATAGAGTTATAAGTGCTAAAAGGTGTTTCTATGACTTCACACCGTGGCTCAACACCACCTTAACATTACTGCTTTCATAGCCAAGTCAGTAAGCCTCTTAAGCCTTAAGTCTGATTTACACCCAAAGCTAGAGTGGCAGTAAGAGGGGGCACATATTTTAATAAGCTATGGAAACTTCTTTTGCCCATAGCATTGGCCCAGGTGCTATTAGCTTGATTTCAATTACCTCTCATAGTCATTGAAAGGAAGACTACAGATTCCTGAAGGGCTATGAGTTTGCCTCTTTGATGACCTCTTATCTTTACCCCATATCATACTACTCTGGGACCTTATGAATATCACTTAAACAATATCTGTGTCCTCATAATAAAATATTATTAATATTCTTTTAAATAATAGTTTTAAAATGTATCAGTTAATAATAGTGTACAAATACAAGGTATTTTATGTAGCACAAATATATATTAATAAATTACATCTCCAGATAAGAGTTGTTTATATCAAGTTAATGGTACATTGCTTTAATAAAGTGTCTCCCAAACTACATGGTTTCCTCAGGATATTAATAGATCACACACACACACACACACACACACACACACACACACACATTAATGTGGTCCAAAAAGTTTGAGAAAACTGGATGATTTAAAAATAAAATGGGTTTCTTTATTGCAGAACCTATCAAAGCCTTTAATATCCTGAAGTACATTATAACTCTCTCAAAGAGGATCAAACATGAAGGGTTTTCTAAACTCATTGGAAGATGCAGCTCTGTTACCACATTTGGGATTGGGTTCTATAAAACACATTTTCAGAGATGCTGTTTTAGAAAGTAACTTCCTGCAACAGCGATCCTTTATAGGGCAGGCAGGCCATGCCTCTAGGAATGAGGAATTTCTGGGACTATTTAAGAGGAAGAAGGGGAGAAGGAGTTGTTGACCAAGGGTAACCAGGTATCTGAATAATTAAGGTCTTGAGGCCAGGAACTCCTTGAGGACTCTTTGAGGTCACCATCATCAGCATGTAGCATAGGTATTTGTTATTTGATTGTTGGGTGAATGAATGCATGCATGCATGAATGAATGCTTCCTCTAAACCTGAGTAAGCCAAGCACCAGCTGGTCCTGATTACCTCTGGACCCAGGGTCATATGAGAATGTAAAATGCATCCTGATGATTTGAGGTCCCTCACATTAGATAAATGACCAAATCAGATGAAGAAATGTCAAAGCTGGCTCACCCTCGGGTGTCTCACAACTGTAGCCCAACCCCAATAAAACATTCAAGGGCAATTCAGGTTGGGGCAGGAGGTGCCTGATGCCTCCCAGTTTGACTTGAGAAAGATGAAGGCATGTCTGTTTACATTCTGAGGTGGGTTTTAAAGACAACATCGTGGATATTCTCCTCTGCTCTTACACTGACATAAAGGGGCATCTATTCTCAGATGCAGGTCCTGACAAATCAGTGTGTCAGTTGTAAGCTATGCCTCAAGTACTTTGTTATTAATGCCAGACATTTGGGAATGTCTTACTTTTAAATATGAATTAGAACAGATTTAAGGCTATAGCTAACTTCACTCTCACTCCCAGCTTGATATGCTTTCTTGAGTGAGAGAGAAAACAGCTTGCTTGCCAGGAATTGTATTTGCTTGCACCATCAGATAGATGTATCTTATTGGAACAAAAATGATGAGAGTGCTGTAATAGAGGTTGGAGAAATGCATCTTCCACACAGATGCTAAGCGAGAAACTAGGTAAAGCGCTGGTCCAAAGACCCTTAACAACAAGCCAGTGGGTAGCTTCGTTAACTTAGATTTTCTTCTCTTTCTTTGGGGCTCATAATGTTTTCCCTGGTGGTGCCAATCTTGATGCTCTCTCACCATGGGTCAGCCACCTCAGCCCCTTTAGTATAGGGGCCCTAAAGGTCTCTTGCCCATTGTCTTTCCTTCATACAATTAGCCCTATCCCCCATCCTAAGCACTCATTGCCAAGGAGCGCCATTCCTCTTAGTTTTCTGCTGGCCGTTCTTTGTCCTCAGCCCTAGGTGGAGGTCCAACTTCCTTGCATCTTCTCCTGTCCCTGCATACAATGAGCAGGGGCTAGCCGGCCTCCAACTCTGGAGGAGTTTGTCACTGTGGGGAAAGGGTTAATGTAACCTTTCCCCTTCTCTGTGGAAATCTGTCCTTGTTTTAACTTTCCAGCTCTGTTGCCCTGGAAACGTGGTGAAGGTGGAATGTCAGCTGTGTTACCAGGCAGTATTGCTTATAGTAGAAATGACCCAATTGTTAAATTGCTTTTATGCCACAGGATTGTAAATGAATTTGAATACCTGGTGAAAAACCATAGCTTTGGGCTTCCCTGAGTGTCAAACTCTTGGTACTGGCATGTCCCATATGGGGCCCCTGGAAACTTTAGTTGTTTACAAGACATATTAGCTCCCGTGGGGTATGGGGCTTCTAAGCCAAGATGGACCCTATACTCTCTGAAGTGCTTCTTGTCTGTTTGCACCTGAGCTGCCACTTGGAGTTCCAGAGAGGAGGCCCTGGACAGCATGTGGGCTGCTGTAAAGACCCCCACAGAGGAGGGATGCCTGAAGCTATCCTCCTGGCCATGGTGGTTCCTGGCAGTTTGTTTGTGAGTAGACTCCCAGAAGCAGTGACCTACAGTGGTCTTGTGAGTCAGTGTTTTGCTGAACTGAAGGAGGCCCCTGGTAGACATGAGAGTCATGAGAGGGTAGGTTTGCTCTCCATACTTGCTGGGGCCGACGTGACATGTTGTCTTCCCGCCAAGTTTCCTCACACATGCTGGTCTGACTCTTCAAACATAAGTTTGCAGGGAGTTGTTTCTCTGTCACTGGAAGATATTCAGAGCCCATTTCCATAAAAAATGACCCTGTTGATTTATTGTGTTTGATCAAAAACGACCAGTTGGAGGGGCCAAAAAGGATTTCTATTCCCAGTTTTTCTAGAAGTTTTCTATTTCCTACAGATGGGGTGGTTCGTACTGCTTTTAAATCTCTTAAATGCCTTGCACTGCCAGAAGCCTCCTTAACATGTAAGTTTCAGAAGACTGGAGCATGTTTTCAGTGTTTCGTTTTACTGAGCATATTCAGCTCTGCCACTGTTTGTGGGCTCATTGGCACGATTCATACTGAGACTCCTCATTTAGTGGGCTGAGCTTGGCAGGAGGAGTTCAATAGCCAACATTTATCGAGCACTTATAACGAACCCAGGAACCGTTCCAAGTGCTTTACGTGTATTAACGCATAAACAACAACACTATGAGGTAGGAAATATTATTTATGATCTTCGTTTTAAACGTGAGGCACATGGGGCACAGAGTACATTAAATGACTTGTCCAGGGCCACATAGCTTGTAAGTGACAGAGACAGTGCTCACACTCAGGGAGTCTGGCTCCAGGACTCAAGTTGCCCCTCTGAGTCTCATGATAAAAGCAAGATCTTGTCCAGCCTCAGGGAGTTGAGGGTTGGGGCAGTTTGAGGGTGTCCTTGGTGGTCCCTGGTGTACTTGGTGGATCCAGACAGCAGTTTCCCACTGGTCAAGCAAGGAAGTGGAGGATGTTTTTGTTCCCTGCCTTGTAGAAGAAAGCAGAGATAACCTACCCCATCGGATTACTCATCCAACAGCATTTACCAAGCATCTCCTCTTAAGCACTGTAGTGACTGCCAAGGATACAACAGTGAACCAAAAGGCTCCAACTCCCAGCCCTTGGGGAGGTTCTACTCTAGTGTATGTCCTGGTCAGATTCTCCCATCCACAAAAATGAGGAAGGGGAGACTCAGGAATAGGAAAATAAGTACAAAAGTAAGGAAAGAGGAGGAAGGAGAAATGGTTCAGGCTTTTCTGTTTCTCCCCCTAGTAAGGAGTTATCTGTTTCCCAGTATGACTCCTTTCCCCCTGCCTAACCCCATCACAAAACAAAATGGAATCATTGATAACACTGCCTAATAGAACTTTCTATGATGATGGAAATGTTCTAAATTTGTGCTGCCTACTAGTGAGCCACACTCAATCAAGTGCTACTGAGCATTTGAAATGTGGCTAGTGTGACTGAGGAACCAAATTTTTAATTTTCTTAATTTTAACTAATTGGAATTTAAATATAAATATAAATATATGTGACTACTGGCTTCTCTAGTCGACAGTGCAGCCCTAGAACTTTCCCATCCTGAATATGGCATCAAGACCCCTTTTCCCAGCCTGATCCAGGTTTCGTTTCTTCTCTTTTTCTTTTCTTTTCTTTTTTTTTTTTTTTTTGAGACAGGGTCTGTCTCTGTCACCCACGCTGGCGTTCAGTGGCACGATCATAGCTCACTGCAGCTTCCATCTCCTGGGCTCAAGCAATCCTCCTGCTTGTCTCCAGAGTAGCTAGGACTACAGGCACGCTACCATGCCCAGCTAATTTTTTTGTTTTTAGTAGAGATGGAGTCTCACTATGTTGCCCAAGCTGGTCTTGAACTTCTGGGCTTGAGCGATCCCCCTGCCTCCGCCTCCCAAAGCGTTTGGATTACAGGCGTGAGCCACCATGCCTGGCCAGGTCCAGGTTATTCCAATAAATTCCCAAATTGCACTGGGAAAAGTTTAAGGAGGTGGCCAGAGCTGTAGCTTTCAAATGTGCATTGATGGATTAAAACTTAAATCCACGAACATGGGCCGCAAAACTCCAAATCCAGTCTTTCTCTTCAGAGTTGAGTTTCCACCCACTGCTGTTTCCTTTGAACACATTTCCAGGTAGCTAAGTAAAACAAGAGATGCTCAAAAATCGTTTTTGTTCAAAAAGGCAAGTAGGAGGTAAGAGAAAGGGCAGGAGGGGAGTGAAAGAAAGGCTGATATTGTAGCATCCTACCAATCTTTGTTTCTAAATCTCAGCAGCCTTGAAAGAGAACATTAAGATATCTTTTACTCTCAGGCCTGGCTTCCCAGGGAGAAGGAGCCATAAATGAAAGCCTGCTTTGTGTGGCTATACTATGACTGCAGAAACAATGAAAAGACTTTTTTTTTTTTTTGGGGGGATATAAGTTTATGTGTGTGTTGAAGCCCTTGTCGCTACAAAGCAATCTCACAATTAGCTACTGTTCACCTTCTTGGCTTCAGTCTTTCTAAAAATAATTATGATAGTAACTTTTTAAAAACCTGCTATCTATACTCAAGGCAATTTCTTGGATCCTAAAGGATTTAACAAATAGTACTCAAAGCCTCAGGCCCTAGCTGACCTAATCAGCTTGAAACTTGAGCAGTTTTTAAAGACGGAATCAGATATAAAATACCCTTCACTGAGATCCTGGCTGTTGGGATTTAGGCCAAGGTTGAGCTTTGGTTGGGACACACCAGCCCAGCCAGGAATCCACTTGATTGGTCAGTGCTCAGACCATACAGTTGTGAAATATTTTGAATATCACCCCTGGATATCGTGGCTGTGCCAGGCCTCCAGGAAATGAAATGATTGCAGTGGGAAGGGACTGAGCCACCCCATCATTGATTTATTTAATGCCAAATTGAGTCAGCCAGCCAGGGAGACAGGTGTGCAAATAAATAATTACCTTATGGAAAAACTTGAGCCAAGGCTGAAGTGGAAGTGTTTATAAAAAGCTGTGGGAGGCCAGAGGAGGAAGACATTGTTTTGACCTGGGGTATCAGAGAAGTTTGAAGGAGAAGCTGATATTTGATCTGGATCTTGAAGGATGAGTAGGAGCTCACCAGGACACAAGGCATTCTAGGCAGAGGGAACAATGTTTGAAACACCAAAGAGAGGACTCACAAGTTCCATGTGTTTGAGCATAGCATTTGGGTGGTGGTGGTGGTTAGGGTAGGAAGTCCAACCAGAGATAAAGTGGAGGATCTTTGTTGGTGTCATATTATGAAGGGCTTCCAATACCATGGCAGAAATTGACTTAATCCTGTAAATAATAGGGAGGCAAGACAGTTTATGTTAGCATGTTGAGAGATGATGGGGTTTGATTTGGAGGAAGACATTTACAGTCATGTGACAACATCACCAGAGGAGACAAATGGACTAGTGTTGGAGAAATTAGCAAGGAGACAACAGTTCACATGAGAGTTAAGGGGACCATTGATCTATGGCAGTAGCTGAGGTGATGGGAAGTAAGGAGTGGCTGGAGTTGAGTGCCACTGAGACATAGGATTAGCAGCTGTTGGTTACTGGATTTGGAAGACAGGAAGGAGGTGAAGATGGTTCTGAGGACTCTAGCTTGGTGGGCCTAGTGGAGATGGACATTTTAAACTAAGATGCGGCAGCCTTGGGTAGAAATGGGATGTTCAGCTTTAGACAGGAGACTTTTGAGACGCTTGGTCCAGGAGGTAATTGGAAGTCCATCAGCATGTTATACTAGCCCGCCAGTTGAGCATGAAGGCTTTTCTCTTTCAGTTCTTTCTGAGTTGTTAATGATCTCTTATATCCAACTGGCTTTCCTTATTTGTTACACAATCGAATAGTCAATGTTCCCTGGTGACTGCAGAGTTTCTACAGAAGTACTTAAAGATGATCGTCTGGCTGGAAGGAGACTTCTCTTGAAGTCTCCATTGCATAGGAAGCACATTGCTTTTAACTGAATTGTGTATTATGGGTCTATAAAAATAGGACAAGGAAAAAGAACTAATATCAAATAAATCACTTTAGGAATATTACCAAAACATAATTCTTTGCCTCTCACATGAGTGGTATAATCAGTTGCCCTGGGACTGATCAACACAAAATAAAACAAATATAATTAATGAAAATGTATTACTGCACTTTGCTCTCATTATAAGGGATACTTAAATGGTTTTATAGAGGCAGAATAATTATTTGTTCATTTGGGGTAGATTTTGGTGGGAATCTGATGGATATTTGGAGGGGCTAATAGCCCTCCAGGTCATCCTTTAGTGCTGCCATTATGAAGACTTAATTCCAATACATCAAGCTGAACCTTGTGGCCACATTGCTTCTTGAAGATCCTGTTTCAACTACAGAGATTTAGCTACTGGAGTTTTGCTTGTTCCTATTGGATTGAATTCTACATCTATTGAACTGTTTCTCTCATGAATCATTCACAGGATATAGCCAAAGTAATGTAACTTTGTCCCCGTTTATTAAGGCTTTTATTCCCCCTTGTCTGGGCGGTGATAACACTTGCCTCTCCAAAGACTGTGAGAAGTCATTGTATGCAGTGAATTTAGATACCTTCCTGGGTCTGTGATCTGCAAACTTCACTCCGTGTAATCACATAGATCTGTAACCACTACTCATGTATGATCCTTGGTGAAGTCTGCTAAAGATTACAGCAGATATGCCCATTTAGAAACTTTTACTGGCTACTGTTTTGTTTCAGGATGGCTGGCGGGACCACAAATTGCGCTTAAGATGAATCTTGAAACCCTTTAGCCATGTCCCACATTTGATTAGAATCAGTCAACCCCTTTGAAAGTTATCATGAAACAAATAGGCAGATAAAAGCAAAATGCTGAGTGGCCGAGGTGAAACAGACCCCTTGTTTTGGTTGGTTATTTGATCTCAACCCATATCCTGTCATTTGGCACATTGTCAGATTTAAGAACTAATTCTAGACTTCCATTTATATGAGGGAAGCCAGTGAACACAATAAGAGGGGAGGGGAAAACCCACATGGTTTGTTGCAGCCATGCCTACCCTCCGCTTTCCTTTTCCTAGTTCCAGAGGCACCTTTCCTGCATTCAGGCTCAAGGCTGTGCCTGCACATATGGACCCAAATCAGTGGACAAAATGTGCTCTTAGCTAGTTGAAGGCTTTTAGCCCTCCCCCTACGGAAACATAACATGTGATTTTCTGGTTTAAAATAAAAAGTTAAGGGGAAGAACTATCAAAGGGAAAGAAACATTTTGAAAAGTTTTTCTTTTTTTTTTTAATAGAAACTTGTCTGACTGTTTCATAATAAAGTTGGCTTAGCAATGTTAGGTCCATTTAAATTATCATCGACAGGTAGGTTAGGGAAGACTATAGGGCAAAATTCTCAAACTTTCAGTATTTTCAGCAGACAAACAAGAACCAAATTATCCACACTCAGGTACTCAGAGAAGAGATGAGGGAGTCTCCTTGGGAGTGAAAGCCAAGGGTCTTCAAATCCATACTATTAAGGAGGGGACCTTGTGAAATTTGTGTTCTCAGGGTGTGTAGATGCAACCAGTTAGAGAACTGCCACGGAAGCAAAGATGTCAGTGTTGGTTGCTGTTCAGATCTTGTGCATTTGAAGAGAACCAGAATTTTTGGTACTTTTGGTAAAGAACTTTTGGTAAAGCACAAATGCATGGTTAGTTAATGAGATTCAATAGTAAAATTCATTACTGCACCTCACCCCCCTCCACAGACAACAAGTTTCTTCTAGGATTGCCCCCTACACCCCCAGCATGTTATTATGAAAAGTTTCAAACAGCACAGTTTTTCCCCAAAGTACCAAACATCACCGAACTGGAACAAGTAGTAGGAATTTGAATCAGGTAGATTCAGACACCAAATTGACTTTGCATGTTTCCTCATGACTTTTTTTTTTTTTTGGGCAGGGCCAGACTTACACATTATTGTGAAAATGTGGCTGTTCATCTTGCTGAAATAGACAAACACGATCTTCTGGCACTTTGAGCACCTCAAGTTTGAAACTGCTAATCTTCTATTTCCTGCCTCTTTCCCCCGGTTCTGTCAATCATCCTCCCACACTCCCACTTCCAAGACCCCCGAATCTCAGAGGCATCTTTTGTGCTCCCTGTCCTTTGCTTCTCCAGGTCCAGCTGGGTGACAGGTCTCCCTTGGAAACATCTCTCCCAGCCTTCCTTGTTCCTTTCTGGTTGCTACTGCCCTACTGCCCCCCAAGTTTATTGAGCATTTTTTCATGCCACATCCCATGCAAAGCACTTTCTACACATTAACTCATTTAATTCTTATAGCAGTCCTATAAGGAAGGTAATTATTATCCTCATTTTGCAAATGGGAAAATAGATCCACACTACTTTTGCCCTGATTGCTGCCCTGTTCACTGCACTCTGGAAATGCCTTGGATCTTCCATCTGGTCCACTGTTTCCCATGTTTTTGTGCCTTCCTCGTCTCTCTATCCATCCAAACTCTGCTTATTTTGCCAGGCCCTGTTCTGGCTTCTACAGCAGGAAGTGATCATTCCTTAAATCAGAGCTCTCACCACCTATACCACTCTCTTGTTCAACCTCAAACAGAGCCTTGCAAGGCATTTCTCTCCCATGTGCACGTCTTATCTTCCAAACTAGATTGCATCCCCTTGGCTGCCTGTGTGTGATAGGTAT
This sequence comes from Homo sapiens, assembly GCF_000001405.40. Classification (NCBI taxonomy): domain Eukaryota; kingdom Metazoa; phylum Chordata; class Mammalia; order Primates; family Hominidae; genus Homo; species Homo sapiens. Next base: position 17,612,963 of record NC_000023.11, read on the forward strand.
GCTGTATGGATGTACTGATTGATCATTTTTCAAAAGTAATTGCTGTTTTCATCACTTTTTTTTTTTTTTTAACATATCTCATAGTCATGATGCAGTAATGACGTTGAACAAAAAAGTAATGGTGCTAAGGCTGGGCACAGTGGCTGAGGCCTGTAATCCCAGCACTTTGGGAGGCTGAGGCAGGTGGATCACTTGAGGTCAGGAGTTCAAGACCAGCCTGCCCAACATGGTGAAACCTGGTCTGTACTAAAAATACAAAAATTGGCCGGATATGGTGGCAGGTACCTGTAATCCCAGCTACTTGGGAGGCTGAGGCAGGAGAATCGCTTGAACCCTGGCGGCAGAGGTTGCAGTGAGCTGAGATCGTGCCTTTGGTCTTAAAGGTAGTGTCCCAGTGTTTCCAAGTGCCAGGGTTAAGATCCAAATGGCCATTCGTACTACAAGAACAACCCTTCCCCCTAGATTCAGTTTATTTGCAAGGCCTAACTTCATTTCCTTGAGACCTTCTACTTGTTCTGATCATCATGATCTTTAGAACAAGAGCTCTTCCCTTCTGACTGCCTGTGATGAAAGCATTTTCTGCCCCCCTTCTTAGAGCTTCAGAAACTGACTTTCTGAAGGCACATCTAATGGTAGCACTGGAGGAAAACCCATCCCTGGCATCTGAATTCAACCCAGGTTCATGTTTAGAGCACAAATCCCACTTCTGTTCTTGTAACTTCTCATAATGACCCTTCCCCTCCACAGTGCATGCATTCTATTCAGTTCCTCTTAAGGTGGCCTTTTAAAGAAATATTTTAAATGTACTGTGACAGTGGGATAAATACTGAAGAGTGCAGTTAAACACAAGAGACTTGAACTTCAGATAATGGTCAACAAGATCATTCTGACCGGTGGTTCTATTGAGGATGACAAAAAATGATGCAAAAATATAAAGAAGCTACAGATCCATCAGTTCCCCATGAAATTGAATTAATTAATGGGTTTGTGATTAATCTGCTAGTAGACCCATTTTGCTCAATATGCACTTTCTTCTGGGGGTAGGTATAGGGGCATAGTGTTTGGTTTGTTCTTGTGAGATTAAAAGAGACACCTGGTATCACTTAGTATCAATTGGACTGGGGAGGTGGTGTTAAAGTGCTGAGCGTCCTCCAGAAGAAAGTCTGCACTGTTGTGAATACAGGGAGAGAGAGAGGATGAGTGATAGCTATAAGCAGTGGCCCTCACTTTTCAGAGGCGTGGAGCTGTTGACAGAACAAATAATCACATCTCAAAGACTTTGAAGCTCCTCACATGGTCAGCAGACAAGAGGCCGCAAGGCTCAACCATAAATGCTGGAATTAGTTCTGAGAGCAGAAGGAAGGACTTGCCTTTGCTTGAAGCCAAAACCAATCTGAAACCACAGAACCTCAGCCTGAGGGCTAGGGCTAGGCAGAAAGCTTGCTTTTGAAACCTGAGCTCTCCTTGCAACGGTGGTGGGGGTGGGGGTGTTGGTGTATGTTCCACTTGTACAAGCAAACCCTCTCATAAGTTTGACCCTGAAAAAATTACATAATCCTTTCATCACAGCGGGTTACATTTTCCAAGGGCAGAGCTTTGACTTACAACTGATTATAGGTGTATTGTTAGGACTCCAGCACCCATGCTTGATATGTGTTTGTTTCATTTCCAGTGTTACATGTATTAAGTGTCAACAATCTACACTCATGCTACCTCACGTTTGAAAATTAACTCAGGAAGTCACAAAATGAACTTTTTCCCCTCCTTAGCAATTTCCCATCTTCATTGTGTGATAAAGGTTTTTGCTAACAGCCAAGTACCACACTAGACATTAGGTAGGTTCATGGGCCTGTGGTCTGTTATCAATGTCTTGTGTTAATCCAGGCTTTCTTCCAAAGAGTTTGCAGTGCTTTTTTTCAGACATCATATCATGTCACATCTCTCCTTCCTCCTGTGTTCCCTAATCTCACTTAATGACAACACCATGAGCTCCTTTCCCTCTTCCCTTACTTCCCTGATAGCTTAATATTCCTCCACTATGCCTTTTGCATCTTCCCTCTCTTTCTCACTTTTTCTTTCCCTGTCCCAGGGCAGGCTCTTGTCATTCATACATATATATATATATGTGTGTATATATATATGTATATATATATATACACACATATACATATGTGTGTATATATATACGTGTATATATACTATATATATACGTATATATATAGTATATATACACATATATACGTATATATATACGTATATATACACATATATATACGTATATATATACACATATATACACATATATATATATATATGGTCTCACTCTGTTGCCCAGGCTGGGGTGCAGTGGCACACTTATGGCTCACTGTAGCATCAGTCTTCTGGGCTCAAGTGATCCTCCCACCTCAGCCTTCTGAGTAGCTGGGACTACAGGTGCATGACAACACACTCGGCTAATTTTTTTTTTTTTGTGGAGATGAGGTTCCTCCATATTGTCCAGGCTGGTCTCCAACTCCTGGGATCAAGCCTCCTACCTCGGCCTCCCAAAGTGCTGTGATTACAGGCGTGAGCCACTGCACCCAGCCATGCTCTTGCTGTTTCTTGCTTGGAGTATTGCCATGGTCTCCATGAGCCCATCACTCCTCTCCTCCAAAACCACACTAGTCTCAACTGATTCACTTGTCGTTTGGTCCCTTTGGACTTTTCAAACCTCATCTGTCAGGACCTCTCTCCCTTTTCCCCCACACCATTCCCTGAACGCACTATCCATTTACATGCATTCCTTGGCTCAGCTGTTTACATCATCTGCACTGCCCACCCCCCCACCCCACCGACAACATCCTGCATGCCTATCACAGTTCATCTTAAGTGTTACTGCATGGAAAGCCCACCCTGATTGATATCCATAGGCAGAATTCATCACTGTTCACCCTTATGCTCTGGGAGCCCTTTATTGTGAGCTCAATTTCAGCATTTAGTTCAGTCTAACTTTAAAAAAATAGTTAATTACGTGCTTGAAAACAATTAGATTGCAAACCCCTTGAGCCAGGGACTATGTCTTATTTGTCTCTGTGGCCCACTATAGCAACCAGCTAGTGGCCTGGCCCTAATGACAACCTGGTAAATGAACAGAGTGAGCGATATCCCTGTATCAAAGGTAAAGAAAGATTAGCATTTGCTGCTGTAAGGATGGCTAAAGGGATTCATTTGTCCAAAGTCCTTCAAAGGGCAAGTCAAGTTGAGACACTGTCACTTCTGTCACAATCCCCAGTTGGCTGGGTGGCGCCACCTCTTCAGAGATCTTGGCAGTAGATTTTTGGTTGCCATTTGTTATTTTATACATTGGGTGGGTCTGTATGTATGCGCATCTGTGACAACAACTTGGCTGGGCAGGTAGATGACATCTGCTTGTGCAAATCTCTTTTCATTCTTGAATATAGTTGTACCTTAGAAATACAATGCAAAACACAGATGTCATTTAAAAATATCTAATAATGAAATTACAAAAGTAAAAAGAAGCAGGTGATGTTAGTTTTGATTATGTGTTTTATTTAGCCCAAATGTCCAAACTATTACCATTTCAAAATGCAATCAATATTTTAAAATTATTAATGCGATGTTTCATATTTTTTGTATTGTCTTCAAAATCCCATATCCATTGCACACGTGCAGTGCATCTTAATTCAAATGCTTAATTTTCATCAGAAATACTTGATATGTATTTAGATTTCATAAAATTTACAGTTGAAAAAGTAGATACACATATCCAAATTCTTCCAAATGTATTTAAAATTTTCCCAATAACTGGATTTAATATCAGCCTGTACATTTACATTTGAATTAATTAAAATTAAACAAAATTTTTAAATTCCATTCTTTGGACATACTAGCCTTGTTTCAAATGCCCAATAGCCACATGTGACTAGTAGCAATTGTTTCGGGGCATACAGTCTTAGGGCACAAAGATTTCTAAGTATCATTCAGCTTATTCCTCTGTCCTCGTAATTTAATTGTAAAAGAAAAAAAAGTGTGACAGGGATAGTTATTAGAGACCTTCGATTAGCCAGCTGCCTTTTCTCTCCAGCCTTGCCATCAGCTTTGTGAAACTGGGGCCTACTGCTGGCTTCCCGGGACTGTCGTGAAAGTAATAGGATTCTGTTGACAAAGCACTTGAAAATCCAGGGATGAAAGGGCCTGTGTAATTCCCGGGTTTGTTGGCCAGGCTAGGCTGTGAATTGGGGTCTGCGTCTATACTGCAGCTGCCCCTACGCAACCACACTGATCTGTGCTTCCTTCTGCAGCCAAGGTCTACACCAGCATCTCACAGCACATGAGTCAACTGCATGTTTTATCGTCCACAGCACCGGGATGCCATGTTTTTAGATGCTCATGGCTTTGATTAGATTATAACATATTTGACGTTTCAGTGCTTAACTGCTTTTGGGTGATCAAATATGTGGAAAACATCTTTCTCAGCCAAATAGCATATTTTCCAAATCCAAAAGAATTGAATATATTTTTCGCCTTCCTTCAAGTTTCCCATTGAATGTCACCCCAGAGACCAATTTAAAGCTTGAAAAGTTTAGACCAAAAATGTTTGGGAACAAATGAAAATGAGATGTGTCACCTAAGCCAGTATCCAGTCGGTGTCTCATGCAAAACTGTGAAAGCACTCGGTATTATTTATTTATAATAGGAAACTGGGGTTAGGAATTGATTTCCCCAGAATGCTGCTAGGGCGAGGCATGGGGCCCTGTGGCTGGCTCTGATATGAGATTCGAGACCTAAGGGGAAACTGAAATGACTCTAGACCCTTAAGGGTTTTGAAACAGGTGCAGTCTCTCTTCTTTCCCTCTGGGAAGCATGCTGTCCACAGTTGGATGAATGCTTCAGCAGCAGTTCACTGAGCTCTTGGATGAAAATGGCAAATTTCTCCCCAAATGAGCTTATTATCTGCTGCTGTTGGGTGCAAGGCATCCCTCAGCTATGGCGGGAATTACAGCTTCCATCTGTTCCCTAATGTGAAAAATGTGTGCAGGCCTCTGTGCTACCAAGCTACATGAACTTTAGACATTCAGATCTGCTGACACATTTGGGTCGCGGCCTCAGAATGGCTTTTGTCAATTATTTCATTACATATCCAAATAACCATCCTGAGGGTGGTCTGGATTTGTGATCTGTGACAGTGTGGTGCTGACATATTTCTTGCCCTTGGAACTATCTGTTTTTTGGCTTTGTTTAGGGATTGATGATATATAAGTACTCAGTATATTTAATCATTATTACTTTTGAAGTTAGCACAGTACCACCATTATGAAAAATTCTTGAGTACAGTTACAGCCAAATCCACATCATTAATTCTTGGCTTCTTCCCAAACTCTCCAGTCTTTCTCCTTGCTCCATTATTTTGTTCAGACAAATCAAATAATGCTTTGTGCTTAGAGAGCAACTTTCATCAGAAAATTTTAAGACCCTCTGCAAATTTTTATTTCTCTAAGTACAAATAAATATCTTCAGAGAGCCATGCATATTTAAGCATGTTTATTTGTGCTGGGTTTTTTCAATGGGTAAGAAAAATTATGGCTTTCTGTGTGCTCACTTTGGAATAGAGACATGCAATGTACAGACTTAAATTTTACTTGACATATTTAATAAATATCCCTTGAATAATGATTAGATACAGAGTCATATATGTTCTTGAGAATATGGCCAGGCATTAGTTTCTTCTACTAATTTTATATACTTGAACATTGTCAGAGTTACAGCTGGTGCATTAGGTGGATAATTTGTTTCTATCAATTAATAACTGCTTCTGATTGTCACCTGGAGGAGGAAATGCTTTGACTAAAGTAAGCAGCATTAACTCACCAATTGAAAATTACAGTCTGTTATTTAAGACTTAACTTGAAGTTTAATTGTTGTCGGGTGGTCTAGTGGTTGGTTAATTGGTTTACTCAATACTACAGATCTATTTTCACAAACTGATCCATTCTGTATTTTTTCACACTGTTAGGTGTCCTTATGGCATAGAAAATGCTAGATATTTACCCAACTCTATATTCTTTTTGTTCTGGACACACAGAGAGACTACATTTCCCAGCATTCATTGTAGTTAGTTGGATAGAACCCTGTGATTGAGTTATGACGAATGAGATGTGAGCAGAAGTAATGGAGTCCACTTTCAGCCCTGGCCTTAAATTTTTCCTTTCTAGTCCTCCAAATAGTCTCTCCTTATTGGCCTGTTGGCTAGATTCAGAGAATCTGGTGACATACACTAGGCCTGTTGGAGAAGGTGGGGCCACAAGATAGAAGGAGCCTGATTCCCTGAATGACTTCATGGAGCAGAGCATCTCAGCTGAACTGTGTGTGTGCTCAGCTCCAGTGTGACAGAAGCAGGAAACTGACCTCTGTTGCCTAAAGCCAGTGAAATATGAGAATTGTTTGTTACACTAGTTAGCCCACCCTAACTAATCTTGTATATGTGGCCAAAAATCAGTACTGTCCTCATACACATTCTACAAGTTTCAGAGGGGCATGTAGAACACACTTCTCTGTAATTTGCACTGAACAGTAGGTCGTGAAAATGCATAACCAATGAGCCATGTGGCTCTTTGATCACCATGTCCAATTAAGCCACATGGTTATGTGATTTTCTGGTTTGAGTCAGCTTTTTATCTGGGGCAGATGCAACTGTGGACAGTTTCTTGTAGTAAAAACTGATCATTTCAGTAAGTGGCTTCTCCAGAGGATGGAGAGGAAGGTACAGAAATTCATGTTAATTACCAAACACTTCAGGCTTTAGCTTCAGATTTTTTTTCTCTGAGAAACCTTTTCTAACCCCACTCATGTCTGGGTTGCTTGCCTCCCATGCCTCCCACCCTGTGTTCTTGCCACTGCCCATGCACCTACAGCGACTTCTTACCTCACTGGCTGGTAATGTCTAGCTCTTGATCTTGACTCTCTTTCTTTGTAGACCATATGTCTCAGAGGGTAGGGGCCATTTAAACTTGGCTCAGTGTTGTGTCCCCAGCATTCTGCCCAGTGCCTGACACATACACATTGTTGACTGAATGATTAAAGGAAATAAATGAATGACAATGGGATTTTGGTTATCAAGCATGAGCAATAGCCTTAGGATCATTCATGAGCTGCTCCTCAGACCACTTAAGTAAGGCAGGCTGTATTTTTTTTTCCTGCCTAACAATAGGAAATATAAGAAGGGAAACTGACGTTCATTTTTAATCAACAGTCAAAACACAAATCAGAATTAGAAACAAGGGCAGAATCTATTTTCAGGTTTTGTTTTATTAGCCCCTGTGAGTTTTTAAGAGTTGAAACTCAACTAATTGGTAGCCCAAATTCCTTAACAAAAACGTTTTAGAGCAAAAATACAAGTAGAAGTTAGAGCCAGATCATCTGTTTATGGCCCAAGACAGCTCTTGATGTTTTACTCTTTTGTGCATTCATTTGATGAACATTTATTGAGCCTCTTCTATGGCAGAGTCTGTTTCTAGGTGCTGGGACACAGTAGTGCACAAGACAGAATGAACCAGCTCTCAAGAAGGCAACAGTTGAGTGGTAGACAGACTGACAATAAACAATCAAGAAAATGTCAGATGGGATAAAGTTCCCTGAAAAAAAAAAAAAGGGAACGGATTGATGTGATGGAAAGTTCCTGGATCCCGAAGATTCCATAGTCAGGAAGGCCTCTGGGGAGGGAGTATTTCCCTGACACAGAAGTTGAAGCCTGAATGACCAAAAGTAGTCAGCCATATAGAAATCTGGGAGGAGAATATTCTGGGCAAAGGAACATATCTGGATTTGTCTGCTCCTGAGATGAGGGAAAGTGGCCTGTCCAGGAATGGGACTATGTCTTGAGTGGTGGGAGCAGAGAGTATATTGGGTGGGGAGGGGAAAAGTGGAGGGTTGAAGGAAGGAGTTGGGGTGAGAGACAGGTAGAGGGTTGTTTATGGAAAGCCTCATTTGCTCTGTTTCCAGAGTCTGGATTTAAGTCAGAGAGCAATGGGTAGCCATGAGAGAGATTTTAAGCAGAAGAGAAGAATGAGCCACCATGCATTATAGGAAGAATACTCTGCTGCTCTGCAAAGAAATCACCCCAACCCAGGCCCCAGATGAAGGCCTGACTACGGGAAAGGTCAGAAGGTGTGAAAAGAAGCAGCCAGGTCTGGAACCGCTTGGGAGGTAGAATTTAAGGCCCTTGGAAGTAGACTGGACCTGGGGATTGGGACAGAGGACAGAGTCCTGGGCAATGCCCAGGTTCCTGGCTTGGGTGTTGGATATAGAGGTTATAGGTGTCCACCTCTGAGACAGGAAGCTCCGAGGAAGAGTGAGTGTGCAGAGGATGCTGAGGAGTTGGTTCTGGCCATGGCCAATCTGAGGTACCCATGACATTGCCTACAGGGACCATAGAGGAGACATTTAATATGTGGCTAGGCCTAGAGAAAAGAGGTAGGCATTCTGGGTAAACAACCAGGTGCTAATACAGAGGAAGAACACAAGGAAAGGCAGGATGAGGTCAGATTCTGAATGTTTAACCACTTGATTTTATATGACATTTATTTTTGCTTCCTTGTCCATCTCCTCAAGATGGTAAATAGTCATTTCTGCCTCTCCAACCTAGTCTGCTGCAATCTGGGCTTTCCCTGGTCTCCTTTCTGCTCCTACCCATTAGCTTTTATCCTCAGAGATCTTCCCCTTCCCGACACATGATCTTGCTATTTCTTTGGTCCTTTCTCTGGGGCTCTAGGAAATGAGCCCCCCAGGTAGTGACTCATTCCCTGAACATTAGTGATGAGCAGGCTGCCGCTGGAGCCTGTGTGCAAGCCTGGGTTTATGCCCTAGCTCTGCTGTTCTCTAACAGTGTGGTTCAGGCCTCCCTTTCCTCATCCGTAAAATGAGGGGATTGGACTGAAGAGTACTTTGAGCTTTAACATTTTCTAATTCTAAGTTGTCCCAGTCCTCAGGGTGAAGTGAATGGCCTCTTCTGAATTGGGAGTTGGAGCTTGTGTAATAGCCATCAATACCTGAGAGAGAATAGCTTTTGTTTGTGTGTGCAAGGCCCTGAGGAGGCTGGGTGGGCTGCAGCTGTTCAGCTTCAATTAAAAACATACACAAACCTCCTGCTTTGTTTCGGTTTCAAACCTTGACCATTTGACTGAGTGTGTCTGAATTCCTAAGACTCCAGTGTAGGTGTGGGGAGGCACTACTCCACAGGCTTCATTCAACCCCCTTGCTTTTCAAATTTCATTTATTGAGGGCAAGAGAGATTTTGAAGTCCTGGAGATACAAGGAAAGAATGTACCTTGGCTTTAAAAGCCATTGGCAAGCAGCTTCCCGTGCCCATTTATCCATCCCTAGTCAAGGGCGTCTTAAATGCCAACATGGGCTTGTGAGCCCTGGTATTTGGGCAGGCATTTCTAAGTGGCTTAAGAGAGAAAATGAGTCTGTCAGTTATGAAGAGTCTGCCAACTGCCTGTGGTGGTCTTGAAGCAACCTCACTTCCTCCAACAAAAGCAGGAGTCCCCATGGCTAAAATCATGTTCTGGAACCTCAGGCAGCTGTCCTGTCACTTCAGGGTGGGATGTGTGCACAGGCCCTAGGTCCTGAGGCTGCATCTGTACCTGCTTGGGGCGGGAATAAGTTGATAGCCTCCGGGCTGTTGGGGTACACCCAGTAAGCAAGCCATGACCAGAAATGAGTTGCAATTCCACTGAGTGTGGTGATGGCCTGGAGAGCAGGGCACAGAGCAGGATCCTGGGCAGATGCAGGACGATGGGTGCTGCAGGCCAGCAGAGCAAGCATTTAGGGCCCTGCAATCAGGCGTGGTTTGAGAGGTCTAGCAGTCAGGATCATCAGAAGTAGAGGCAAGGTGTATGGGAGGGCTCCACGGGCGGGCCAATGCCTGGACAGAGAGGGGTTTCTCAGTGACCTCTTATTTTATTATTAAAAAAAAATTTTTTTTTTAGATGGGTTCTTGCTCAGTCACCCAGGCTGGAATGCAGTGGTGTGATCATAGCTCACTGCAGCTTCATCCTCCGGAGCTCAACTGATCCTCCCACCTCAGTCTCCCAAACAGCTAGGACTATAGTCATCCACCACCATGCCCTGCTAATTTTTTCTTTTATTTTTTGTATAATAGAAACGAGGGGTCTCCCTATGTTGACCAGGCTGGTCTCAAACTCCTGGGCTCAAGCAATCCTCCTGCCTCAGCCTCCCAAAGTGCTCGGATTATAGGCACAAGCCACTGTGGCCGGCCCTCAATGGCCTCTTTGATGTCCCCTGCAAAGTGTTGTTGGCTTTCCAAGCAGGGAGAAGGGAATTAACATGAGGCAGAGGCAGTTACTGCTTACCAATATGCATGTTCTTCTCTTCTTCCTGGACACACGGCCAGGAAGACTAAATTTCCCAGCCTCCCTTGTAGTGGTGGAGTCGTGCTAGACAGCGAATGAAGCCCAGGCTCTTTCTCCTCCTTTCATTTGCATGTGCGTGTGGGAAGTGGGGATGGGGGTAGGGGGGAGGTGGAACTGTGGCTAGGCTAGGAGATGTAGCTTGTTCCTGATGAAGGTTGGAGTGAAGTGCTCGGTCTTCCAAGAGGCCTTCACAATCTTCCCCCAGAGACCTGGATGAACCACAGGATATAGGTATGAGTCTCAACTGACAGGAACCTAGGGTATTGGAAGTGATAGAGATGGCAAAAAGTGATTTCTTGACTGGAAAAATATCCCCAGGGGCCTGCTGGTGAGGCCACATTCATGTCCCTTACATAGTGGTGCCCTCTGTGAATCCTGCCCTCTCAGTCCCTCCTCACTGTCTCCCTCAGTGGAAGAAAGGAACACAACCTGACACACCCCCATCCTCCATGCTCTTCTTCCTCATGCCACACCCTTCCTTGCCCTCTGTAGCCACACCCTGGGCCTTCACTGTCAGTGTAGCCTGCAGGGTCTGCATAGCACAATAGCTTGCGTCACATCTGGAATTATCATTGGAGTTGTAGGTCTCAAGCTCAACTGCCTACGCAGCCAGGCAGCCAGCTTCAACGTGTGACAGAGTTGGCATAGCATACTAAGGAGTAGTGGGGACTGAGATGCTGTGTGTGTTGTAAGCAAATAAAGGCATTCAAAGTCAATTTAAATATACATCATTGTACTGTTTAAGCAGGACAGCTCCCCGCAAGCTGCCTACCTCCAAATGAAATCTACTATTATTTATTTCTCACAAGGACTAATGAAAGGGCAAAACTACAAGCCATGTCTAAAAATTCTGGTTTACCCTTTTCTGTGCCTAGCAGAGCATGGTGTAAAAACAATAATTAGTATTCGATTTCTTTTTTTACCCTTTGAGTGATGTCTAACATACATACAGAAAAGCATCCAAATCATACAATTCAAGGAATTATTACAAAGTGAACACACTCCTGTACCGGCTACTAGGTCAAGACTTAAAACATTATTAGCTTCCCAGGATACCCCATGAGCTGTTCTTCCTCCCCAAAGGAAATCACTCTCTTGATTTCTAACACCATAGATTAGATTTACCTGATTTCTAACTTTAGAAAAATGGAATCACACAACATGTACTCTTTTGTGTCTAGCTTTTACTCAACATTATATCTGAGATTCACCCATACTGCATGTGACAGTGGCTTGTTCATTCTCATTGCTGTATAGTATTCCATGGTGTGAAACACCAGAATTTCTCTATCCATTCTACTATCAATTAGCATTTGGTTATTTGTGGGTTTTGGACTCTCACTAATAGTACTGCAGCATGAGAGAAAGCCCTCAGGCAGAACAACAGAGAGAACTGGATGGTTGTGGTGGGAAATGGTCACAGTAGCAACAAGTGGACTTAGAGGTGAGCCAAGGCATGATGGGAAGAGATGATAACAGCATCCGCTACCAAGCCCCTCTAGAACAGCAATTGTCAAACTTATAGATCAGGATGGTTTTATACTATTAAAAATTATTAAGGGCCCCAGAGGGCTTCTGTTTGTATGAGTTATATAAATATTTATCATATTAGAAATTAAAACTGAGAAATAAAAATATTTTCTTAGTAATTTATTTCAAAATCAACAAACAATAATTACATATACTACATTATATATAACATGTTTATAAATAAAATATTTTGAGGAGAAAATTCTATATTTTTCAAAACAAAAAATGTCAATGAGAAGAATGGCTTTCTTGTACTTTTTTTGCAAATCTCTTGACTAGCAAGCAATGTGGCTTAATAGAAGACTGCTGGATTCTCATATCTGCCTCTATGTTCCATCTGGTATGGTATCACATGTCACTCATGAAAGAATGAGTGAAAATGGCAAGTAGTGTATTAATATCATTATAAAAATAGTTTTGACTTTGCAGACTCCCTGAAAGGATCTCAGGGATCCCCAGAGGTTCCCTGAACAAAACTTGAGAACCACTGCCCTAGAACACCATGGCCAAGTGCCAGCCAGCTTTAGAATAGAAACGTCCAATGAATTGAAAGCTCTAAGTTAGCCCACACAATGGGGAGTTGCTACTTACTGCAAATCACCATGAATTAATTTGCTTCTTAGCTGATTAAAAACCCATATGTTCTTCTCAACACTTTATAATCCTTCAGTTTGAAATGTATTGCTTTTGTTCATTTTAAGCCAGCAATGTGCATTAGAAATATGATGTGAGTCATTTACGTAATTAAAAAATTTTTAGTAACCATTTAAAAAATGCAAGAGAAATTGGTGAAATTAATTTTAATAATGAATTTTATTTAGCCCACTCTTTTCAAAATATTATCATTTTGGTATATAAAATCAACATAAAGTATAATCATAAAAATCAAATCAATATAAATTATTAATGAGATAGCTTACGTTCTTTTTTATACTAAGTCTTCAAATTCCAGTGTATATTTACATTTATAGCACATCTGAATTCAGATGGTAAATTTTCATCAGAAATACTTGATCTGTATTTAGATTTCATATCATTCTATAAAATTTGAAAAAGTAGATTCACAAATCCAGGTTCTTCCAAATGTACTTAAAAGTTTTCCAATAACTGAATGCAGTATCCATATTCAAATTAATTAAAATCAAATGAAATTAAAAATTCAGTGCCTTATTCACACTTGCTACATTTCAAGTGCTCTATAACCACATATGGCTAGGGGCTGCCATATTGGAGAGAGCAGATCTAGATTTTTAATCCTTTGCTTTTCTTATCTATTCTATCCCTTTGTTCTTCAGTGCTTAGAAACTTGATTAGGAAAAACTTACTCATTCTCATTATTTGCCTAGAAAACTGGTGCCATGATGGATTTCTTCATAGGCAAGTTAAGATATTTGACAAAGAGAGAGGTAGGGGTGGGAGAATCACTGTGTAGCCGTAGTTTGCAATGGCAGGTTCCCTTTCAGCTTGGCTTCCAGGACTTTCTCATTTGATATTTTCACAAAACTAGAATAATCTCACCTTGTTTCTGAAACAGCTGTGAAATATGCTGCAGCCCCCAGCCAGCCCTGGAATGGACTTCTTTCTGGTTGGACATGGCAGAAACTTCAATGGGATGACACTATGGACTTAGACCAGGCTGCTGTGCTTATTTGAACTAAGCACTGGGAAGTTTGCTAAGTGCTTAGTGATGAACTCCACATCAGTGTCAGAAAGATAAGGCAGGTTTTCTTGCCGTTTGTCTCCTTGCCTTCATTCAATGGTATGCTATCCAAAAGGTAAAGGGACATAATGGAATGAAATTCTAAGCCGAAAATGCAGCTCTGAGGTTAGCATCTTATAACTCAAAGGCAGCAAAAATAATTTAACAAGTTTCAAAGGGGAGAGCCGAAGAACATCTGTACAGAGTTATTTAAAGATTTTGTTCTGTTTGTGAACTGCATCACTTCCAAGCCATTTTGAATACAGGAAAATGAAAAGTTACTCCATTTGACACAATGGGGATCTCTTACTTATTACTCTCCAAATGAAAAAGACGAATTCCAAGTCTAAACATTTGATCCCATTGCTGCAAGTTTTGTGGCTGGTCAGTTGTTTGTCATTGAATGGGCAAATGAGAAAAATGAGTTTTATCTCCCTCTAATATTTCCCCTTCCCCAAGTTGATTGCTTAAGCTTTTAGCCAATCTTAAAATTCCATCATATCCATTCTCCTAATGTTGGACTCAACAAGAATTCTGCATCTGGGTGCATGATGTCATTTACAATAAATCTAAAAGGAACTGGAAAGCTTCTGGAATTTCCTTATCTGAGGTAGCCAAGCTAAATAGACTTGATTGGCATCCATCAGGAGCTCAGTGAGGGCTAGCACCATTCTGGTTGAAATGATTTCACGCTAAATGACATGCCAAGACTGAAGTTTTCCTGGGCTCCTTGTTGAACCAGATACTCTAACTTTTCTGTTTCCAAGCCCACAGTGCAGAGTGTCAGAGGACCAATGACCACACAATACTACTGGCTAGGCACAAAATGCCTTTCAATTAATACAATCAACTCAGAATCAGGAGTTACATAACTAATACAGCAACTGTGCACCATCTTGAATACATTTGGATTGGGGAAGCCAAGCCTTTCTTTAGCATTCACACTAAAGGCACCAGAGTCATCAAGAGATGAACCAAAGTTCAATCTGAGTGCTAGAACTATTAGGGACCTCAGTGATCATCTAATGCTGTCTCTCTTTTCCTGAATGGTCTTGCTCTTAGGACCATTTTAATGTTCTTTCTCTTTTCTGGGTAAAATACAGTTAATACAGTTTTGTTTTTACTAGGATCCTCATGCAATCTTAGGTGAAGTGTTAGCTAGTTCTAGAACTGTAGAAAACCCCATGGTTTCTCCTCCTCTCCCATGCCCAAATCCTCTTCTACCTGCTGGCTGATGCCTCTAGTTTTACCATTCCAGGTTGGTCCTCTCAGCAATAGGCTTGATTTCCATTAAAATGCAAAAACCCTAGGACAGGCTTAAGCCATTATCAGGTGTTTTTCACTTTGTTGTGAAGGAAGGGTCAAAGTAATATGTTGTGGAATGAAAGTTTTATTTCTGTAAGGCCAGAGGGTTAGAGAAAGGAAGAGGAAGTGCCAGCCTGGAGGGCAAAAGGTTCTAAACTGGGAACTTGGGGGCCCACATGGCAGCTCCACAGACTCTCACTCCTTCTCCCAAAATGTCTTTATTTGTATGTATTTGTCTTTGGACTCCCTGTGGTGATCAGGTACTTGGTAATTGTTCTTGCTACAACTGGAGCTCTGCCAAGTGGAAGGTTCCCAATTGAGAGGCAGCTCAAATCCGGGATGAGGGTCCCCAGCCTTGTCAGAAGGGTGTGTTAGTGCTTTTTTTTTTAATCCCAGTTTGTGGAAGCAGCAGTGGGGATCTGTGCAAAGAGGGAAGGTTAGAGTGTTGTTTTCAACTTCATTTGATATGGGAACTCTTTATCCAGGCTCAAAGGAGAGCATTGCATAAGGGGGCATATGTAGCCTCTCATGCATGCATATGCATGCTTACACCCATGGACTCACACACAAACACACACAACTCTGTCTACACATGAATGTTCCTCCTGAAACACTCAGCAAAGCAAGTGACAGACGTTTCCTGTGGGTAGCTGGGATTTCAATCCTGCTCTTGCTTATTGTCTGTTTTACTAGGATTGGAATGTGAGTGATGGGAGATGGTAAATCTGTACTTTCTGAGGCAGGATAATGGGTTCCCTACCATTTATCATTGGGGTAACCCAGCATAGTGGTCAGGAGCCCAGGCTCTGCCATTTACCACCTCCAATGCCTTGGGCAAGTTGTTTAACCTCTCTACACCTCAGTTTCCTGATCTGTAAAATGGAGGTAATACTATTATCTATCTTGTAGAGTTGCTGTAAGAATTAACTGAAATAGCACATACAAAGAACTTAAAACCATGCCTGACACATAGTAGGTGTTCAATACATATTTGCTGAATGAATAAACCATTACATTTATCATTATTATATTATTACCATGAAGAAACTTCCATTGCATGTTGGCTTTAGATTTAGTGGAAACAGTGAGGAGAGAGTTAAGAGTTGTGACTTCTGTTATTACAGTAGGGCCAGATTGCCCTGCAGGCTCATCTACAGATATTTCTCAGTGTGTGAAGGAAAAGAGAAAACAACAACTAAATGCCTGAAAACAAAACAAACAATGAAATCTGGGGTGAGGGGGAGAGGGAGATTGACATCTTGCAATTAAAGAACAGCTTCTGGAGAGACAGTTGAGTCAGGCCTGGATATTTCCTGTTTCTAGCTCCAGACTTCAGTTGGAAGTATTGTGCTTCCTCCTGAGTTGAAATTAATCACAAAAGCAAAGCATATTGTTCTCTTTTTTGCAGCACTCCTCACTTCTTGCTCCCTTCTCTGCTTCTTGTCCTGGGTCTCTGCCCTGATATAGAAACCAAAATGGCAACACTTCCTTGATGAGAGCAGAGACTGAGTAGCGTGGGGCTCTATAGTGGTATGGAGTACTATGTAAACTCTTCTTGGTTAATCTCCTGATGAAAAACAACTGATGGACTCAGGAACTGGGTCCTGAGTGCTTTATCACTGAGGCTCCCCATTTCTTGACCATGTGGTGAGGACGGCTTCAATGGACACTGGCATCAGGCCTGGTGGATGGAGGTTGGAGTAGCTGAGGGGCAAGGCAGCTCCAGGCCACAGCCAGGCCTTTAATTTTCCACACATGTTCACACATGTACAGGAATTCAGCAGATGGGCTGCAAGCAAGCTTGGGCAGCAATCCACTGACAAGTAGCAGTAGCTCTGAATAAATCACATTGGCCTGGGCTGCAAATTTAGCTCCAGGGAGTGGGGACTCAGGCAAACAAGGAGAAAAGGCATTCACCCAACTTTTTCCTGAAATGCCAGAGGAACAAAACAGGTCAGTGGTGAATACAAAATTAGCTTCTGGCCACCCTCCAAAGTGATCTGACCTATTTGGGACTCATCAAGAATAAGGCAAAGGAAGTTCAGTTGCCTGCATCTTGATCTGTCAAGGGAGAAGAGAGAGGGCACAAATCGCCAGGTGGCCAGATTCCCTGAGTTACTGGTTATGGAGCATATGAATGGATATGGCTGGAACTCATGAGAAGGGCTCTGGGACAATGACTTTGGGCCAACCCCTAGCACAACTTAGCATGCGAATGATAACCCCGGTGGATGCATTGGTAATCTAGTGTGCCAGCTTGGTGGCCCTGGCCACTGAAAGGATTGTATCGCATTCTGAAACTCTTCCTGCAGTCTAAGGCCATACCACCCTGAATGCACCCAATCTCATCCGAAACCCTTCCTGCAAGTTAAACTCATATCCAAGACCCTTATGTAAAAGGGGACCTTGGGCCAAGCCAGCAAAGGGACATTAGAGCCCTAGCAGAGTGCAAAGCTGACCACAACTCCTAGCAGGTTGGAGCTGGTAGTGGATGCTGTTAGTGCCCTGCCTACATCTCCTTTACAAGCTAGTGCATGGGTCCTCCAGCTGCTGTGAGTGTTGGCTGCTAAATGCTATAGCTGCCCTCTTCCCCAGAGACTTGCTGTTGGCCAAATGCAAGCCCCATCAACCATCTCACCTCCAGGTGACACCAGCTCTGTGGTGCATTTTGTGCCCCAGAGATCTCCGTGGGATCAGGCTGGAGCAAATATCCAGCTGAGACTATACTCCTGCTCAGTCCCTTCCCCTACCATATCCAGCTTCCTTCATGCCCCTTCTACTAAGAGCACTCCCTCCATACATTACTTGAACAATAGTGTCAATCTTAACTTAGACTTTGCTTCTGGATAACCCAATCTTAGGCAGAGTTGGGAGGAGGGGCATTTATGAATAGTCTCAAACCTGACTGCACCTCAGAATCACCTGGGCAGCTTTAAAAATACAGATTCCCAGGCCCCACCTCCAGTGATTCTGATTCAGTGGGTCTGGAGTGAGGCCTGAGATTCTATAGTTTTCCTGAGTTCAGTGTTTGGTAATTTTAATGCAGCTAGTCCTTTGACCAATGAGAACCACTCATTCTAGCCCATTGTCTTTATTTCTTTTCTTAGATCTTCTAAGAAACATTCATTGATCAAGTTCAGGAACAAATCACACAATCTGTCAAAGACACTAAGAAGCAGAGATTTAAGTCAAAAGATCCACAGTCTTTGGCAAATCTCTTGGAGTCCAGCATACGATGCTGACTCTCAGAACTTTCTCAGCAAATTGCATCTTTAAATTTTTTTCATGTGTCCTGAAATGTAAAGGTCTATTTGGTTGGGAAAAGGGAGAGACTTTTGAGACATCAAGTTACCATGGAGTTTTCCAAAAAGGGATATTTGACCAAGTTTAGAATATAATTCATGCTTTCCATCCTCCATGCTCAGAAGTATTAACCTATTAACCCTCCTTTCACTAACAGACCTAAATCTTCATTATTGTTGGTTGTGTGGATGATTTAGTGATGAAATTCAAAGAGAAACATTTTGTTTTGTTATCAGAGACTCTATATTAGGAAGATTTATGAATAGGTTCTCATGAAAGACACAATTCTAGGGATTTTTAAGCAAATGGACAATTAAATAACTGAATGAAGGTGGCTCAGACTAATGCAGAATAGGGGAGTATTCTAGATTTTGTAATGATATTGATGATAATAGTGATAAGAACAGCAACAAAACATGATTGCTAAGATTTGTTTCAGTGCTTAGTATGTATAAGACCAAGCACTAATTATTTGATCTGTATTATCTTATTTAATCCCCCCAGCAACTGTTTGAGGTAAATGTATCAGCTGGGGATCAACAAAGGCTTTAAAAAGATGAAACTTTATTTTTCGCTTGTGTAAAAGAAGTTAAAGGTTTGTATGCAGACTCAGCAATAATGAGGTACCGAGGCTTCTTCCGGCTCCTAGTTCCACTATCCCTAGACTGTGGCCCTCATCTTCACAGTCTAAGATAGCTGCTGGAGTGCCAGTCATCACATTATTGGCCTAAGCATCAGGATGAAAGAAGGAACATGCCCCTTGTTTTCTGGGGAGTCTTTCTAGAAATCCTGTACCACAGTTGCTTTGACCACATTGACCAGGTAGCAATCCCTAGCTAAAAGGGAGACCTGGATATGTAGAATTTTGGTTGTATGGCATGGGTACAGTTTTTTAAATGAGATTTTATAAATTTGAAAGAGAAGGAGAATGTGGAAGGTTCACTAAGAAATTGACAACTTATGCCACAGTAGGTAATATTCTTATCCCCATGTTGCAGATAAGGAAAATAAGGCACTAAGAGACTGAATGAGTTGGTGAAGTTCACACACTTTATAGGTGGCAGTCACAGTAGGACGCAATTCTCTATGATCATCCCTCTCCTGACTGCTATTTCATCCTGTCCATTTTTTTTTCCGATTTTGTAAAACAGTTTTTTTTTTTTAGAAAAACATTTGTTCATTTCCTGCTTTCTTCTTGGTGTGCCTTTTACCACCTTTGCATAGATCCTAGCCATTCTTCAAAGTTCAGCTCCAATGCCCCAGAAAGCCCTCCCTTGCACCCACAACTGCTTTCTAGTAAATATTTATTGAGCACCTATTATGTGCCAGGCACCGTTCTAGGCACTTGGGCTTCATCAGTGATTAAAAAAAACAAAAACAAAAAAAAACGAAGACCCCGGCTAGCTTAATAGTTCTGTGACCTTGGTCAAGTTCTCTGAGCCTCAGTTCTACATGTGTAAAATGGAAATAATAAAAATTACTGTGCAGAGTTATTGTAAAGATTAAAGATGTTACTGTATATAAAGTGCAATTACTGGCATATCATTAGATTTTGAAAAATGATGCCTTTTAGTATTATTATTGTTGTTGCTATTATTGTTATACTATTGTACTGTATTATTATATTCCCCTAATGAGAAATGCTATTCCTTATTAGGCTGTAAACTTCTGGGCAGGAATAGTATCCAAAGCCTTCTGGTATCACTCAAATACTTGATCAAAGTCAGGGCTTATTAAATGTTTGTTGAGTGGATAAAAAGTGTTTTGATGTAGAGAGAACTTCCTGCTTACTTATGCTGTAGATTTAGGAAACAGTAATAAACAGCCTGAGACCCATAGGAAGGGTTTTTGTTTTTTTTTTTAGCGGGGGCGTTGCCCAATTTAAACTGTGAGTGTTGGTGAGTGGTGTCCTAAAGCAAAACAAGAATGAGTAATAATCTACTCCTCATACTCTTCCGGAAGGCCTCAGAAAGAAAATATATCCTCTTCCTTTCAGTTTCTTTTTTTCACCTTCACTGATAGATTTCATGTTCCAACAAGTCCTGCTGATCTCTTTTTGTGTTTTATTTCTGTCTTCTAATTCTCTTCTCCATCTCTGATCTTTGCTACCTATGGGAATAGGGCTGCTGGCCTAGTGTCCACAGAAGAAAACTTCTGGAAATCAGGAGGCATTGTGCATCCAGGGTCCTAGAGCTGTTACATTCTAGACCTACGGACAGCACCCCAGCAAGAGCTAACCAGTGCTTGCATCAAAAGTGCACATCAGGTTTGTTGAGCACCAAACTCCTTTTATTTTGCCATCTCAGCCCAGCTTTCCCCTCAGCCCTTCTGCAAAGGTGAAAGGCAAGTTCACAGGATGCAGGGCCTTCTTTCTTCCCTCACATCTGGTTTGATTCTGGGCAGCTAAATAGTGGCTTTGCCATGAACAACAAAAGCTAATTCACTGTGGTGGTTTTTAAACACCAAGTGCAAATATTTTTCCTTTTCAGCTTGGGGTCACTGGAAGGGAAAAAACAGGGCTGAGAGGGAGATTAACCTTTTAAAACCTATTATGACTTCCCAGAAAAAATAAAACAATGGCAGCATTTCCTTTCATTCGCGACAGTCTTTTTATGAGTGATTGTTGTTTGAGGCAAGATTGGGGCCCTGAAGAAGATTTTTAAATACTAGCTTAGCTTGGTTTTCTACTCAAAAGGCCACCATGATTGCTTTTAAGAACCCACACAAATCCCTGTAAAGCCCAGGGCCACCCTCTTTGCTTTCTCTCTCTTCTGTCTTCATCTCTGGCTGACCTTCCCTCCTTTTCTCCAGCCCTTTGCTTTCTTCCCTCAATCAGGAGCCTGACTCTCTGCTAAAGGGAGGGGATCAGTGCAATCAGCCATGCCAGCCACTGATGCCACTGACAGATGCTTGGGAGGCTGAAGATTCTGTCTGGGTCATTTCTCTGAGGTTCCAGCCAGACTTTCTGTTGATCTGGGCTGTCTTAATGCATCCCAGAGCCTCAGCGCCGTTCAGTTCCTCTTCGGAAATGAAGTCGCCCATTCTGGTTCTTGCTGCGCATGATTAAGGAGCAGAAGTATCCAATACAGGGAGTCACAGCCATCAGCACAAATCTGGCAGATGAGAAAAAAGCAAGTCTATCTGCCTCACTAGTAGTCCTTTTAATCTTCTCTCTGGACTGCAGAGGAAAAGCTCGTCTCCCACTCTTCATTAGTTTATCTTCTTTCCTTCTCTCTTCCCTTTCAGCTTCTGCACACAGATTCACTTGCTGGGCTCAGGTGGGAGGCAAATCATGTGCCATGACAACATAAGGCTATTAGGGCAAAGATGTGGAAGTACCTAAACTCTCCCTTTCTTGCCAAGAGGAAGATCTGAACAGGGTCCAGGATGGTTGCTGTTTGTGAAGTGGTTTGAGTATTCTTGCTATGCGCTATTACTGCTGTTATCAGCATCACGAGAGTCTAACATGTTGATACAGGTGGTGTGTGTTGAGGGCGGGTGGGTGGGAAGGGATCAGAAATTGATTTGTAACCTGCAAAGAGCAAACTCCAGTTGTATCGCCTCCACCTGCACCATTCTTGTCCTTTCGGTGTGTGCGCAAATATTTGCAAACCTGTTGAATAGCGCACCCTCACACCAACCTAAAATTTCACAGCCAAGTAAGCCAGCCCCATCCTGGTGAGAAGAATGGGTGGCAACCTGGGGCAGCTATGGAGTGATGGGATGAAATGTATTCCTTCTCCTGATCAGGCAGTTGGTGTAGGGGCTGGGCTGCTGTGGCTCCCTGGATTTATTTGTCCAGCTTCCTGTCTCTGGCAGTGTGCTAATGGTTTCGATAGCCACATGGCACTTGGCAGAGCTTCTTAAACTGGTGTGGCCCGAGACTCTGCATTCTAACAAGCTCCCAGGTTGATGCCTATGCTCCTAACCCCCTGGCCAACTGCAATTGGAGTAGCAAGGCTGTAAAGAAGTCCCACTGCAACCTAAACTGCTCCAGGGATGAAAAAGGAAAGTGCTAAGCCCCTCCTCTGGAGACAGGGTGTGTCCAGGCTGCCCTGGAGTCCTGATTTGCCATTCAAGTGAACCCTGGAGGGATTAGCAGCCAGCCTAGCACTTGGGTGAGACCATCTCCCCCTCCAGGGGGGAGTCCTAGATGCAGCACAGAGGTTCTGTGAAAATCTGCCATCCTCCTTGCAGAAGGTTGCCCTCTCTCGCCCTCCATCCCCCCCGCCGTGCTTGCTGACTTAAGCAGATCAGCTTTCAGCTCTCTGGCATTCAGAGACGTCTTTGCATAAAAGAAAAGGCCCTTCCTTAAGGAGCAGAGCGGGAATCCAAGCATGGCTCTGGCCTGCTGCATGCCCAAGAATGCAGGTATTTGGGGTTTGCAGCATTTCTTGGCAAGACAAAGGGGAGGGGGAGGCTGGGTCTAACGAAGAGGGGCTTGTGCTGTAGCCACTTCCTATTCTGGGAGAGAAGATAACTATGTTTCCCAATGAAAGTGAGCCCTTTCACAGGAACAGCTGTGAGGAGGGGAATCTGCACTTGACCCTCACTCAAGGCTGACTTTGACATTTAGGGTCAGTGGCTCCTAAGCTTTGAGGACCTTGCATTGTTCATACTGGCTGGCCAACGTTTTCGCCTTTGCTCTCCTTCTGAGGCATCAAACTACCCAAGACAAAGAGGACAACCCTTTCTTCCTTCTCCTCTTCTGCTCCGACATTTGAACGTCTTAAAGAAGGGCCAGAGGGTAGCTCCAGTAGAGATTCCAGGGCAGGATTCCGGGGCTCTAGCTCAGGACTTCTGGGAAGGGGCCCCATCCTGCATGGGCTTGCACCAGGCCCTATGTTGCTTTCTTCTCCTCCAGCACTGCCCCCTCCAGTCTTCTTGGAATTCTTCAGTATCTTACCTTCATCCTGAGATTACAGAGAAAGACTTGTTTATCTCCCAGTGTCCCCAAAACAGCCCTAAACTGAGAGTCCCCAGACCCAAATCCCCCAACCTCTCGTTTCTGTTACATCTTCAATGGCCTTACACAAATCTGTTAAACCACTGTGGGGCCTGTCTTGATTTCTTTAGCCCTCTAAGCCCTCCTTCACTATACTTCTTTATCACATAAGTTTGGCCATGCAATTGAACCCTATTTGAAAAGCATTGAACTTTTTACAGTATTCTTCCAACACTGGGGTTATTAGTCCTTCAGTTGTAACTCAGGCTCCTTAATGTCAAGGACAGTGCCTTACTTTCATTTCTTGCTATGCGCTATTAGGTTGTTCTGCAGGAGGTGGCCAGTGTGACAGTTGACGCTGGCCACTCTCCTTGCCTCAGCTAAACCCCTTCACTGCACATTTGCCTCCACTGCCTCTGCGGAGGCTGACACAGGGCCAAGTTTCAAGGGTCTCCTATTAGCCCAACAGCTACCAACACCGTGTATGCAGCCTTTCTTAATGAAGGGTTTGTCCTACCTGCTGTCTGAGAACACTCTCTCTGAGCTGCCTTTCCAGGCCATGATGATGGGGAAGCACTGTTGTGTGCAGCTTTGTTACTTAAGATCGCTCAGGAGAAGAAGGAAGCATTCCTGTGAACCAGGCAGCTTCCAATGGGTGTCATGGAGCCTCTATCAGTTTGTTCAGGACATTGTGGTTTCTGAATTTTATGGCAGAGAAGTTGTTCAAATGCAAGTCCCTAATATCATATATATTTATGATAAATAACCATTATTTGATGGGCAGGCCAATTATAACAATTAAACACCTCAGACCAATCAAATCAGAATCTCTGGGAGTGGGTCCCGATAACAGTGCATGTTTTTAAAACTCCCCAGGTGGATTCCAATGTGCAGCCGTAAGAAGTAAGAACTGCACTTCCACCCAAACCCCCAATTCCCCTCAGGGAACCAAGGAAGACAACTAAGGGCCTACATTCATACATTTTCATACAGATCAGTGGATTCAGGAGAGAGCGTCCAACAGCCAGATAGTCTTTATTTATTAGGCCTGAAGAACTAAGTAATGGGAGAGTACCAAAGAAATAAGGCCCTGCCAGAAGTTTCAGTTTAGGCTCAATAAGAAAGATGAGAAAGCCTTTAGAATAGCTCGACCCAGTTTTCCCTCAAGACTTGAAGATCCAAGGCCTATACGTGGCTGACAGACCAGGAAGGGACTGGGCGGGGGTGGTGGTGGTGACAGGGCTACTTGACAGAGGGCTCAACTTTTTTGAAGCTGCTGGCGTGTCATGAGTTTGGCTATCTTTGGGCATTAGTCTCAGCAATGTCATGGTACTCCTGCCAACTCTGGATGGTTCACAAGTGGGAAGACTAGGCCCTTAATCAAAGATGCCTTCAAGTAGGACTTGGCAGATACTGCATTCAGCACAATAAAAGCTGAAGGGAAAATGACTGCTTTTACCTTAACGCAAATTTTATTACCACCAGGTTTCATTATAAAAATGTTACAGGTTTGGGTGTGTGTTTATTACATAAACGATGGAGTTACTCTGATCTTCACCAGCTTTCAAACTGGAATCTCAAAGGGAGTTCTATTTGCTAGATTTAAAGCTGTGGAACCATTGTTTCTCATGACTGCCTTATAAGCATAGGAATAAAATGCAGGGAAAAACAAACTCTCTGTTTTCTTTCCTTCTCGACCCCTGCCAAATTTCCCCAATCTGGAGGAAGGCACAGCCACGTGCTGGATGTTGTAGCTGATAGACTATATTTGGGCTAGGCTTACCAGGGATAGGATGGTCTTCAGGAAAAGTGGGAATGTGACTCAAATTTCAGGCTCCTGTTGCGTCTAGCTTAGAAAGGTGTCCTGGAGGCTTGGACAGGTGTGAGAATCACTTAAGCTGATCAGGCAAACTCTCAGAAACACAGACCCTTATGCCAACCCATAGTCAGTGGTCACAAAGTACAACAGCTACTGTCATTATGTGTTCCCAGATCTCTGGGCATTTGTCTTTCCCAGAAGCAAAGCTTTCATGTCATTATCAGTGTCATCTTAGGTCCCTTAGTTCATTCCTGGGAACCCTGCATTCAGAGGGAGCAAGGCATAGGCTGCCACTGTCTTATGGCAAAGACCATTTTGTCAATTTTACTGATGTTCTGTATTTTAAAATTAATGTACCTGATTTTATATTCTTTACTTGAGATTTTAAATTATTAAAAATATTTCTTAAATTGAATGTTTCAATAAAAAATGTGAGAATTGAAAACTACAAATTTACCTCAGAGTATAGCTTTGGTAATTTCCATTGGTTTTTCTATGTGGGCTTATTGTTATTGGTTTCATCCTCTGAATAGTTAGTTTTGGGCAAGACAGCATGGTGTGAGGAAAATGGGCTTTGGTGTCTGCCAGATCTGGATGTGAATCTTTACTCTGCCCTTTATCAGTTGTGTGACTAAGTTATAGGATCACAACTTCCTTATTTCTAAAATGGAGATAATAATATCTGCTTGTTGTATTCTTTAAACGATGATGAAATGAAAGAATGCAGGCAAAGGACTTAGCATGGTGCACCTAGTAGATGCTCAATCCATGGTTGCTATGGATAATAATAGCAAAAATAATACATCACTGGCACAGGCAAAAGCTTTGTGGCTGGGAAGTGCTCTCCATTTGCATGTCTTGGGCAGAGGGCCAGGACAGTGGGTATCCTTTCTGGATCAAACTACTTATCCTAATGTCCTCCAGAGACACTGGCAGATGGGACATGAAATACCAACAGTGTGCCTAGGGGAGGGCATGCAGCCAAATGTTACACTGAATTGAGCACGCCAAGGCAATCCAGGAAAAAACTCAGCACAAAAACTCACCATTCAGAAATTCCCCTGAACTGTCTTGATCTCATTTTCTCTTGTGGGATGTTCCTCAATGAACTGAGCTTCCCTACCCCAGATCTGGCTTCTTTCCTGGCTACCCAGCTGGGTTGCTTTCCCCTCTGTAGGGTTTTGACTGCACATTATAGCCAGAGCCTTGAGGGAAGTGAGCATTTGGGGAGCAAAACTTTATGGAGCAGCATCTCTGTGCTGGGAATTAGGCTTGGCTCTGAGCATCAAACATGACTAAGTCACAGTTCTGTTCTTGAGGACTTCCAAGTCAGGTGCCTTAGTCCATTTTCTGTTGCTATAACAGAATACCACAGACTGGGTAATTTATAAAGAAAATAAATGTATTACTTACAGTTCTAGAGGCTGAGAAGTCCAAGATCAAGTGGTTGCATCTGGTTGGCTTCTGGTGAGGGCTTCATGCTGTGTCATAACATTGTGGAAGGCATCCCAGGGTAATAGGGGGGTTGCACCGAGAGCCAAACTGGCTCTTATAACATATCTACTCTTGTGATAACCACCCCATTCATGTGATAACCCATTTAATCCATTAACCCATTAATCTATTAATCCATTTAATCCATTAACCCATTAATCTGTTAATTCATTAATCTGTTTATCCATTGGGTTATGGAAAGAGCCCTCATAACCCAATCACTTCTTAAAGACCCCATCTCTTAATACTGTTAAATTGGAGATTATGTTTCAACATGAGTTTCTGAGGGGACAAACATTCAAACCATAGCATCAGGAGAATACTGACCCATGAACATCAGAAAGGCTAAACACAGTGCCTTTAGGCCCATCCACAGGAAGGAGGAACCAACTCTTTCTTGTGGAGTGGCATGGGAAGCCAAGTGAGGCTGATGGAGGAGAGGACTTTTGAACTGACTTTGTCAGGATAAATAGGTTAAGATGTATCAAGTTTTCGGTAAGTTTTTAAAAATACCTATTTGCCTTTGGTTGATTCTTGCCTTCTCTGAGTCTGAGGGGCATAGGAGGTGATGGAGGAGATGGTAAGGTTTAGGAAGAGATAAGGCTGCAGGAAGCTATAAGCAACTGTAATCTGCTATCCACACTCTCTCCATCCTGCAGAACTCCACTGTATATAGAGGTAAACTGAAGTGGAAGTTACTTATCTGTGTTCAAAGCAGAATCTTCTAGTTTTCTCTGAAGCCCACCCTGTACTTCTGAATACTTTGGTGGGTAGCATGGCTCTTTCTCTCCTAGTCTTTTTGGCTCAGCAAGAATACCGGAAACTCCACTCTCCTGAAGGGTATTACTTTTCATGGCCTTGCATGTGGCTATAACTCATTGATCTTGAATGTAGCTGCACCCCCGGCTCCTGAAATGGCAGAAAGGACATACAGAAGGGAATTAATCTCAGCCATATCCATTCACAACTGAAACACAGAACTGGTTCTTCAGCATCCAGAGGCCAAATGTCAAGCTCCAATAAGAGGAAAGATGCAAATGCTTCCTCAGCTTCAAGGAACTGAGGCCTCCCAGGAATGTTGTCTTTGCTCCTTTCTTGATCCCACCTTTGCAATTGAGTGAGGAGGAAGTTTTCATTTATTCTTCAAGATAGAGTAAATCACTCTTCTCTCACCACCTTGTCTTTGTGTTAATGCTTGCCATGGATGACATTTGGCCATTAACAGCTAAGCTCCCTCTTCCATCTAAGTTTTTATCCCTGGAAACATTCACAGGCAAGTAAGAGCTGGATGATTAATTTTCGAATAAGGATGTGTTTGAGAACAG
Organism: Homo sapiens; assembly: GCF_000001405.40. Lineage (NCBI taxonomy): Eukaryota > Metazoa > Chordata > Mammalia > Primates > Hominidae > Homo > Homo sapiens. The sequence goes on from NC_000023.11 coordinate 17,640,813, forward strand.
GCCAGGGGCACACATCAACAGCCACATAGCCGTTGGCTTAAATGGATGATAAATTCTGCATCCCAACTAATACAGGCCCATAGTCCCTGCTTTGAAAACCAGGGGTGATGACAGGGGCCATGGGTTTCTAGTGCTTTCCACACCTGTCTCAGAAAGCAAGCAAAATAACCACTTGGGAGAATTAAGATAATTGTGTGTTGAGTGTTTTTCCCTAAGAAAGAGTTGATCTGTTGCTTCTTTTGATTAGGCTTTTATTTTTGCCCTTTCCCTCTCTCCACTGAGTTTCTAGTTGCTTCTTTTTTATTTTATTTTATTTTATTTTTTTACACAAAAGACATCATGGGTAAGAAGAGGAGATTTTATTTTGAAGAACAATGACCACATTAACAAGGTGACAACAGATAAGCTAAAAGTCACTCCATTTTCTGCCAGGGAAAAATGTCCTTTGCTGCCAAATCACATTCTGCTTCTCTTTGTCTACTCTCCTTTTATAGGAGGGTGGCAGGCCCAGCCACTGATGGACTCAGAAGAAATATCTGGGAGATAAGATACACCCTTGATTCATATGAGAAAAGAAGCTTTTGAGTTCAATGATAAAAAATAACTTCCTTTCCTGTTCCACAACATTCTTGTGGCTGGAGCCCTCTGTAGGACAACGACATTTCTCTCCCCTTGGTCCAACATATCACGCTGAAAATAACTATGAATTTGGAAACTTGGTAAAGGGCAAAAATCCAATTTCTTGCATTTAATAGATATCTAGGCTTAGATTAGATTCTGTAGGTATAGAATCTGCCCTACATCCTGCTCTATATTTGGGGCAAAGCTGAGAACCTCTCTATCTTTAAAGTGTCACAGCTGCATTTAGAGACCCAACCCATTCAGCATTCTGTGAAAGAACAGTAGAACCAAATATCCATGTGTGATTATATTCCCAAGTGTGTCTATTTAAAAAAAAAAAAAGAAAAGAAAAAAACAAACTTCAAAATGATTGGAGAAAGAAAAACTGGATGTGGGATGGAGGAGGTGACAAGGGAAAGGGAAGGAAGCTTCTAAGGAAGTGAGATTTGAGCTAGGCTTTGATGAATTGGTAGAAATGTATTAGCCAGAGAAACATTTTAGGGTATATCTTTTTGTTGTTGTTGTTGTTGTTGTTGGAGTCTTGCTCTGTCACTGAGGCTGGAGTGCAATGGCACAATATCGGCTCACTGCAACCTCCGCCTCCTGGGTTCAAGCGATTCTCCTGCCTCAGCTTCCCGAGTAGCTAGGATTACAGGCGCAGGCCACCAGGCCTGGCTAATTTTTTTGTATTTTTGGTAGAGAAGGAGTTTCACCATGTTAGCCAGGATGGTCTCGATCTCCTGACCTCGTGATCCGCCCTCCTCGGCTTCCCAAAGTGCTGGGATTACAGGCGTGAGCCGCCACGCTCGACCTAGGGTATATCTTTCTAAGTTTTGGTTTCTTCTATAAAATCTCATAGGCTTGTTGTGAAGATTTAATGGCATAATTAAAATAGTGCACATGGCACACTGCTTGGGACATAAGGACTGAATAAGTGGTTGTAGTTGTTGTCATTGCTACTGTTATTATCATTGCAATTAGGAGGTGGTATTGGAAGTATGTGAAAAGAACCTTCGTAGGGACATGATGCTATTACCACAGGTAATTAAACCCCTTTTTCCTGACCCCTTTTTCTCTGATCTTATCCCGTTCTTTCTGAGACTGTCATCTTTTATATTTTGGCATACTTTGGTTAATATTAGTTCGCTTCTGGCAAGATGAAAGCAGACCCAACCAAGTATCAAAAGATTTTTTTTAACCCCGCTCCATTTCCCAATATAACATCTTATACACTGATTTACAATTTCAGTAGTGGGTGGATATTCGAGTGAAGATGTAAATATAAAACCAATAGCTTATGCTATAATTTCTCCAGGGGTCTTTGTTTTTAGCAACTTATTTTAGCAATTTCAAAAAATATTCACTCCGGTTATTTTGATTTTCTTCTAATCTGTTTATCTTCCAGTGATTTCATTCAAGTCACAAAGGAAAGGTGTTTCTGGAAATAAGCAATGAAACATTTCTTTTTTAAGTTTAGTAGTTAATATGGCAGTATTTTTGCCTCATAAGTGATGGATATAATGTGTTTGAGAGGGGCTTGTCCATTGATGTTAGGGACTGAGGAGATTGTCACATGCAGTGGTTGGGGGAAACCAGGATGGTAATGTTAAAAGTAATTTAATGACTCATGTGCTCAGGAGGATTATGCTAATTGCTTGGTCATAGCTTATCCTCATCACAATCCTCTGATGCAGGTACAGTTATTCTTCTCCTTCCATAGATGAAGAAAATGAGGCTTAGAATATTTACATAACAACTTGCCCAAGATTACAGCTTAGTTGTTGCAGAGCCAGAATTTAGACTCAGTTCTCTCTGGCTCCAAAACCTATGTTTTGTGTGTGTTTTTCTTTCTTTCTTTCTTTCTTTTTTTTTCCCAGTAGGTTATACTGTCTGCAGGGATTTAAAAATAATGATCCCAAACTAAACATGGGAGTGATGTTTTTAGGTTATCATACAGTGCCTTGGGGAAAGTGGGAGCTCTCAATGAGGTTAAGGGTTAAAAGATGTGCTATGGCCTGTGCTACAATCTCTGTTTAGTTCGTCCAAAGTAGAAGGAATTTAGTTCTGATCTGAAGGTGTAAAAACTGATCAGAAGAAATGGCCTCAATCAAAATACAAGACTGTGAACTGAGAAGTGGTGTCACTTGGACAAGGGACAGAGCCAATAGTGTCCTGTGTCTTGAAAAAAGGGAGGGGCATGGTAGGTAAAGCCTGTTACCTTCACTTTTGGTTTCTTTAATGACACTAGAACTTTTTGCTAATTAACTTGATTGCCTGCAACTGATATATTTATTACTAAGCATTGTTTATCAATGACATATTGTTCAAATATTTGTTTCCCAGGAGAAGGCTGTAAATGTCCTCTGGGATCATAAAAGGTGATGGATTAACAAGTGCTGGTAGTTGTGGTAGGTCAAGAAGTTACAATGCAGAATTTCCCATACTGTTGTTTGGATATGTTGGCAGGTCAGCATGAAGAGATGGTGTTTTTCCATGATGAGAAAGATGATAGTTTGTCCTCTAATTTCTTAGCTTTAGCATCCGGTGAAGTTGCTTGCAGGGACTATATTTTATCTTATCTCATTCAAAGTCTCTGAATGAAATAACAAGTAGCAAATATGATTACAACTCTTTCTGTAGTTACAAAAACCTATTTTTAAATGTCTCCCATCTACAATTGGCTATCTTCATACCACCATCTGCTTTCTCAAATTTCCCAAGGCCATTTGCTGTGGATAACCACAAAGCTGCCCGGGGCCAAAAATGCCACCTGTTGACTGGAACAGAGAACTCTTGGATTCAATATCTTTTTCCCCTCCACCTCCTTTCTTGCACCTTGGAATGATAATGCATGTGTCTCTGAAGTTCCCCACACTAGCCAGATGTTCCAGTCATACAAAAAAATTGCTTGCAATTTCTCATCACATCATGCTCTCTCACACACCTACAGGTCTGTGTACACTAAAACCTCTGAATGCTTTTATGACCTATTTTACCTGGCTATTTCTTCAGTTTAGAAGCCTTAAGCATCACTTTTTTGGGGGAAGCCTTCCCTGAAATTGCCCAGGGTGATTTAGATATCTCCCTTTCCATAGCCTATATGTAAAGGAAAGATAGTTGTGCCTGTCTATCTTTTAGTGGATGGTAGTGCTTCCAAGGGAAGAGGGTGAACCAGTACCCCTATAAGGACCTGAGCCAGTGGTGGAGATAGGGAGGGATAAAGTCAGGCATGGCTCCAAACAGTCTTTTATATCATCATTTGAATTTTTTTTTCATAGTTGCATGCCTCATCCTAAACATTCTTATAAAATTAGCACTATTATCTATGTTATGTAATATAAAATAATCTCTCCTCAATCATTGAGTAAAGCTAGTGGTCCAGGAAGATCCTTCTATATTTATCCTGTGGCTTCCTGAACTGCCAGGCACGCTACAGTGTATCTCGGGAGTATGCATAAGTCCCTCTGAAAACCAGGTATAAAATAGCGTCTCTCAAGGCAGCCATTCAATGGTCTCCTTCAGAGTAGGCCCTAGGTCTTTCATCTCTGCTATAGTATTGTCTAGTGGATTTTAGATACTCAAGAAATATTATTTTTTGGAATGAGTTAATCTTTCAAGTGATATCAGACATAATAAAGAATCAGTGTCATTAATCTTCAAAAAGACAGATAATTCATTTGTAGACCCCAAAGTCTCCATCAATCTACTACTCTTTCTCTAATTATTCTTGCATTTTATGAGGTACTGGCATTTAAAATTAATTTTTAAAACTATCTTCTTGAGTTATGTTAACATTGGTTACTCACTACCATGATACCAGTATTATTTTCCACTCTTCATTGCAAATACATGTTTTCCAGCAATATTATGGGGGAAATAAGCCTTGATGGAAAAACCTGGAACTCTAAACACCATCTGTAGTTTCTTTTCCATGGGAAAATATGTCCTGAATTAAAAGGGAAAACTGACTTAGAAATGAGCTTCGGAACACTTCAAGGCTGAAGAAGACTGCATTCAAGCATCAGACCCCTGCATCCTACAGCTCCAATTTATACAGCTTACTGCCCGAAGCCTGGGGGCCTAAGGGAGGGAGCCTAAATCCAGAGACACAAAATGACATCCTAGAACTGCTGAAGTGGGCAGGGAGGACCTCAGTGTGGTCCCCCGCTGGGCTATTTCAGAGTTCTATCAGCATCATCACTAGGCCATCTTGGATACATATTGACCATCCCAGAAAGCCAGAAAACTTCTTTCTTACAAATCCTACTGAGATTTACATCTCTGTGATCCCAAAACTGTTCCCTCTTGAGACAAGAAATATCCGAATCATCTGTTTTCTCTGTTTTAAAAAGTCAATTTTTAAAAATATTGTTTGTTAAGAAATATTTATGAGAGAAGGAGCTCCTGTGTGCAAAGCAACTTTCTAACACATGGTCCATTTATTATGAAATTATTCTGCAGAAACTTCCTGTTGCTTTGTCTTTCTCCTTTTATGTATATATGTATGTATATATGTATGTATGTATCTCTTTAGAGATAGGTTCTTGCTCTTCTGACATCCAGGCTGGAGTGCAGTACCGTGATCACGGCTCACTGCAGCCTCGAACTCCTGGGCGGAAGCAATCCTCCCACCCCAGCCTCCCAAGTAGCTGGGATTAGCCACCATGCCCAGCTAATTTTTTATTTTCTGTAGGAACAGAGTCTCACTATTTTGCCCAGGCTGGTCTCAAACTTCTGGCCTCAAATAATTCTCCTGCCTCAGCCTCCCAAAGCGCTGGGATTACAGGCATGAGCCACCATGCCCAGTTCCCTTTCTCCTTTTAGAAGTGAATTACTCTGAACCAAAACCTTACAAGAGCAAGCCAAACTGTGCCTTGATTCTCTTTCATGTCAAAGTCTAGGTGGTAAAACATGGATAAGGGGCTTTTGACAAGAACAGGAGACTTCTTTACCTGGCTTCTCTAGTAAAGCTTCTAGTATCTCAGAGGGGCCATTGATTCTCCATACCTGGTCATTTCTCCATACCTGGTCATTTCTCTTTCCTGCTATTCCACTCAACCCTATCCTCAAACAAGGAAACCTTCCCTCCCAATTGAGTACATGATACTTTTATGTCTCCTCTGCTCTGGAAATGTCATTTCTGATTCTGCTGGGAAGGCAACCAATGGAGGTCTCAGCCTAGAGCCTTAATCCACTGTCCTAGGCATGTTCTCAGACTGGAAAAAACTGTTGGGAAACAAGTTCAGAACCTGAACTAGGTGAGACTGCAAATACTGGTATAGACAGGTTTGTTTTAATTTATAAGGTTGCTCAGCAAAACATCCCCTTTTCTGGAACATAATTAGTATGTTTTTAACTGCAGATGTAGAAAAAATTGTTTAGGGTACAGACCAATATATTTTCTTATGTTTATAAGGAAGGTTTCCTTCTCTCTGTTTCTCCTTTATCTACTCTTTACGAAACCTTGCAAGAGTAGACTAAAAGGGACCTCCTTTCATTACACATCTTTTTTCCTAAGAAGCAAAATGAACTAAATTAGTTCATTCACTCAGTACTGTAAATACCAAATAAAAAAGTCATAGACGTATAGATATAAATACTGCTTCTGTAATGATTTTTTTGTGTGTGTTTGTATAACTAGAGGGCACTGGGAGAAAGAGAAAAGAAATTATTCAAAGTTCAAAGGCTCCAAGATTTACTAAGAAAATAAGAAAAGGGAAAAAAAAGCCCAAGCATTCACATGCTAAGATAGCTGAAGGATCAAGTAATATGTTACCCCAGCATTTTCTTCAAAAGAAACGGCTTTTGTAGAAACTGGTGGAAAGTCCAAATCTGAACATTTTTTCTGATTATAATAAATAAAGCTAGTAATCCCTGTAGAGATTAAGAATGCAGGCTTTGGAGTTGCTTTCACTGTGCTGAAATTCCAACATACAGTCAAGGTTGAGAACACTGCTTTAAGTACTTAGTTGTAACTTCCTTTCTCAGATAGTTCAATTTGGCCCTAATTTGGTTTATAATTACAGCATTCTTTCCTTCCTTTTGAGAGTCTCCATCTGTACATTTCCCAAGTGTGTGGAAAGGGAGGGTGGACATCTCTTTCCCTCTCTCCCACCTGTGTCTTTGCATACCTTATCTTCTTAGGAAGACAGCATGACTATTGTTGTTAAATACAAAACTGACCCCATATTCTAACAAATCATAGTTCTTCTTGGCCCACAGCATTACTTTTTAATTTCAGTGATGGATTTCTAGGGGTCATGCATTGGCATTAGCAGTCTTTAAACACATCATCTCTTTTTCTCTTCCTTCCATCCACTGATTGTTTCTTGAGGGAGGCTCTGAGCCATTCACCTTGGTGATTCTTTCCCCCAAACCATATCACCCAAAATCAAGCTGCCAAGCCCAGGATTGGAGGAGGAAAGGTGGTCTTCTGGAACTGTATCCATAGGAATCCTTTCCGAACTGGCACTTTCATGGGGCATATTGAAGTATTGTGAAGACCTTGAGCAGCGACAGTATTTGGAGCCATCAGAAAGGATTTACCTTTTTTTTTTTTAAGTCTTTAGTTTATGATCCTTGTGCTCAAACCAATAATCTTTAACCATTAGTACCTGTTTTGACATATGGCCAGAAATTTATTTTAAAGAACGGCATTAGTTAGCCTTTTCTGCATAAAAAGTCACCCAGTACTTAGTGGCTTAAAATTTAGTGGGTGGTTCTGGTCTGGGATGGCTCAGTTAAGCTCTGTGGAGTTTGCTTATGTGTCTATAGTCAGCTGGGGCTGAATGACCTAGAGTGGCCTTATTCATGTCTGGTGATTAGCAGACCAAGATGGGGGTAGGGGACAACTGGGCCACCTGTACCTCATCATCCAACAGGCTGGGCCAGGCTTCTTCATGAGCAGCAGTAAGCAGGGCAGGTGCCAAGATCAGCAGAAGCAGAAGTTGCAAGGCTTCTTGAGGCCCAGGCTCAGACATGTACAATGTCACTTCCACCGCATTCTTCTGGCCAAATCAGGTCATAAGGCCTGCTCAGATTCAAGGTGGAGAAATAGACTCCATATCTTGCTGGGAAGAGCTGAAAAGCACCATGGCTATTTTTTGAAATCTACCGTAATAACGAAGCACCTGTATTTGCAAATTTTTATACACATAAATTAAAATGGATTTGAAGTTCTTCCAATAGTAGGGTAACTCTCCTTGTATTCAAATAAATGGGAGAAAAGGGGGTGGGAATTTCCCATGGTTATGATAATGAGTGGTTCATGTAAATATCATGGGTCATGAAAGAAAAAGGTTTTGAACAGCTGCCCAAGAGACAGTGTAGTGAGGTGGAAAGAGCATGAATCTTAAAATCAGACAGACCTGTGTTCAAACTCCATCTCTCCAACTTGTTAGTTGGATGGCCTTGGGCAAGTTATTTAACCTGTCTGAACATCAATTTCCTCACCATAAAACAGGAATAATAATACCTAAGGCACATATCTGTTGTGAGGATTAAATAAGATTATGGGGTAATGCCCAGAACCTAGTAAAGAGCCATTTCATGGTGCTAGTTTCCTTCCTTGACCCCTTAATTTTGTGAAATCGGTGTGTAGTGGGCATAGTGATTCTTTCATTCAGAATCAAAGCTGTCCCACCCCTTTCCCTTCCAGATACCAGCCTGTCTTTTTTCACATATTGCATATCTTTGAGAGATGACTTCAATACAATATTTTTCAACCTGGGATCTTTGCAATGTTTGCAAACATAAACTTACAGTTAAAAATTCCAAGACAATTATTAGCTTTGGTGCTATAGATTATTCACATTTTTGAGTTGTGCATAGCTTGCTTTTTCTTTATGGTCTGGATATACTGTGCAATTTTGGAAACCCACCATCAGAAAAGGAGGCTTTGAAATAGTAGAAGTTGGGCAGCAATGTATGGGAACCATGTTTTTTCAGAAAGGATGCATTTACATTGGATAAGGTTTTCAAACATATCCAGGAATTCTATGTAGTGAGGTTAGTCTTTGGGGGCTAGAGGAGGCCAGGTTGGGCAAAACCTTTGCTTAATCTTCTCCTCTGATGCATTCTATAGGGCTCCATTTTGGCTAAATCATCATAATTCCCACCAAGACAGCACAGAATGATAATGGTTTTATTTATTATTTTATATTCATTGCCGGTATATGCAAAGTTTTATAGCTTGCTATAAATCGAGAGGGATTATCACAGCTGTTACTTATTTTAACAGGTCACAATAGAGTAGTTTATGCCAGATGGTTTGGAGAATTTTGAGGGAGAAATTTTATACAGGCAGCCATATAGATACTAGCTTGGGTAGTCACACCCTGAAATTAATTTACATTTGTTATGATATAAAATATATATGAATAAACACATAGTTCCTTATGAATGAGTGATCCATTTTATAGCAGCTATTTCTTCTGGAAGTCAAGGGAGTCCCTTTGTGAGCAGTGGTGGGGCAGGAGCAATAGTAATGTGCTGCTACTGGGATAGGTGAGAAGTAAAGCTCCACCACATGCATAGCTCTGGAGGGGACATTCAACTTGCTCCAGGGAAGTAAGCCTTGGAGACAAAATTGAGTTTTCATAATTGGGTCTCAGCACGTATTTGAGTCAAAGAGAATAAAGCAGGAAACTCGCCCTAGGTAAACATAAGGAGAGAATGGGTATGGTATAAATACAGTAGAGCTAGAATTGGGATCCTCGAGGTCACCCTCAAGGTCAGTCTGGGACCAAAAGGTTATCCAGCCCTGGGCAAATCACAGAACATATTACTTCCCTTGCAGATGCTGAAGTTTATGGGTAGAATGGCCAATTCTGGATGCTCAGCAGAAACAGGAAGATAAAATAAGTACTGATGATCAGAAATCATTTTAGAAGGTATTTTTGGTTCCAAGTCTCATAGAAAAATTGACTTACACAATGAAAGACGTAGAGAAAATTTTACAGATCTCTACCCTCCTTATTTTATAGATGAAGAAACAGACCAAGAGGATCATTTAAATATGATCATCTTAGTTTTTTCAGTAAAGAAGTAAAATCAGACTGTCAAAGTATTTGGGCTCCATTGGCTTCCTCCAATCTTTCTCCCCTTGATCCAGCCCCACGAGTTCCTCTCCTGTATCCCACCTCATGATGGGAAAGGACCACATTCCCACCTATCAGAATAATCCAAAGACCAGGTCTAAAGCACACCTGGATTTTCTTGGTAAATTGTCTGAGGCATAAAGTTAATATACCACCTCTTGAACTGAATTAAAACTATTTAGCCTTGTAGAGTCAATTCTTCCAGCTCCTGTAAAATAGGAGTCAATTAAGATCTGTTTGTGTCAACAAAATAGTAAATTAACCAGCAAAGGTAAATTTAAAATGGGAGATTTGGAGCATATAACAGCTAAAATCTATATGTACAAAATCAGGAAATGACAGTATTTTGACAATTGAATAGTCCATGCATGTTGAAGGACAGAACTGGAATCTGTATCGTGGAGTCCCCCAAGATGGCTAGTAGAAGAATGAAAGCTTTGAAAATTTGTAAGCTCAGCAATACAGAAATACCCCCACTCTTCTCAGGGCTGCTGAACTTCCAATAACTTCAGCTTTCAGGAATACAGCACCAAACCTGGAAGTAAGTGAAAAGAGTTTCCCAAGGCTACAAATAATTGTCAGCAAGCCCACATGTATCCTTTTGGCTCTTGCTGGAGAATTGGTAACTCTTCTTTAATGGACAGATGTTTCCCAGCCATGGGTGTCTGTTATCCCCAGCTCACTGGAGACTTAAACTCTGGGGAAAGGAGCTAGAAGAAGGTTGAGAAAGGAATGATAATGGAGAACTAAATACCAAGGAAAGAGCATGGAAATCCACAAAGGAGTCTTAGAAATGTGTTACCATAGAGACCAATAATAAGCTTTCTTAATAAAGACCCTAAGTAATCAACAAAACATTAAATTGTGTTTTGTAGCATCTGATTAAAGAGACAGGAAAGTGAATTACTCAAGGTAGGCTAATTCTGGTAATAAACCCCCAATATTTCAGTGTCTTACCTCTCACTTTCCTTGCAGTTTAATGCTGGTTAGCTTGCAGGTGGGTACCTAGGCTCTTCCCATCTTAGGAATCCACCATCCCATAGAGCCTCTGTGTTCAGCCAGCAGGGAAGACAAGAAAGTGTGTGTAGGAATAGGTAAGAGTTTTTATGTGCCAAGGCTGGAGGCACACGTAACTTCTGCCCACATTCCATTGGCCAGGACTCAGTTAGAGGGCTGTACCTAACTGCAAGGGAGGCTGGGAAATGTAGTTTAGCTGTAGGAGAAAGGAGACAGTTTGGTGGACAACTAATTAGCCAGTTTCTTCTAAAGAAAGTATAAAATATGCTCAGAACAATAAGGGGCTTCAGAAAATTGTTCTTGGTTGGATAAACTTTAGTTATATGGAAAATTACCTGTGTAGACTTTACCATTTCCTGGCAATACCAGTTAAAGGAAATAGTTATTTCCTGAGCCACACTGTAGATCAGAGGTTGGCAAATTATGGCCCATGGGCCAAATCCCACACACTCTCTATTTTTGTGCAGAAGGTTCTATTGAAACACAGCCACATCCATCTATATATGCACCATCCATGGCTGCTTTTGAGCTACAACAGCAGAGTAGAGTAGTTGCAACAGAGACTACATAGCCAGCAAAGCCTAAAATACTTTCTACCTGGCCCTTTACAGAAAAAGTTTGTTGGCCCCTGCTATAGATCATCACTGTCCTAAAAAAGGACACATTTGCAAAATTGTCTGTGAGACCTGGTATCCTTGGCTTTCAGTAAAAACATCAGTATGTCGAAGAGACATCTGCACTCCCATGTTTATTGCAGCACTAATTGCAATAGCCAAGATATGAAATCAACTTATGTCCATTGACAGATGAATGGATAAAGAATATGTGGCTTGTATACACAACAGAATACTATTCAACCATAAAAAAAGAATACAATCCTATCATTTGCAGCAACATGGATGAAACTGGAGGACATTATGTTAAGTGAAATAAGCTAGGCACAGAAAGACAAACATGGCATGTTCTCACTCATATGTGAGAGCTAAAAAAAAGATCACATAGAGAGTAGAATAGTGGTTACCAGAGGCTGGGGATGGTGGTGTGGGGATAAGGAGAGTCTGGTTAATGAATTTAAAAAATTACAGCTAGATAGGTGGAATACGTTCTAGTGGTATATAGCACTACAGGGTGACTATAGTTAACAAGAATTTATTGTATATTTTGAAATAGCTAGAATAGAGGATTTTGAATATTTCCAACACAAAGAAATGATAAATGCTTTAGATGATCAATTTGCTAATTATCCTATTTTGATCATTTCACATTGTACACATGTATTGAAATATCATACTGTATGCCGAAAATATGTATAATTATTATGTATCAATTAAAATAATAATTTAAAATATATATCAGAAAAGTAGGATACCTATATGGACTGGGATGTAAACTCAGTCCTTAGAATGTCAGCTCCAACTGGGCCCAGACTCTGCTGTATCCCCACAAGCACCCAGCACAGTACCTGGCATCTGAGAGATACTCAATAAGGGCTTATATTTGAACCTTTGATCCATAGGAAGCTTCAGGTACCCTAACCACCATACAGGGGATAGGGGGACCTAAAAAAATGCAATATGAGCATTATGTGTGAAGACCTCAAACACAGGTAGGAAGGAACCATCTTTGTTGAGCTTTTATTACGTGCTGGGCACTATCATTGTGCTTTATTGTTTTATTTACTCTTTTAAGCAACTCTATAAATTAGGTATTCTTATTTTCATTTTACAAATGAGAAACTGATTCAAAGAAGGTTCAAGATTCAGAGAGTCAAATAATTTTCCCAAGGCCACACTTGTTAAGAACTGGAGGAGCTAGGATTCAAACACAGGTCTTTCTGGGTACAAAGCCTATGTGGTTTTCTTTTCTTTTCTTTTTCTTTTTTTTTTTTTTAACCTCTCTGCCATGGGACTTGCTAAAATCTCATTCAAATTTAAGCAATCTAGTTATATCATTATTTTTGCCATCACTGTTAACAACCACCTCATTATTGTAAAGATCAATACAAAGGAGAAAAGACAGGGCCATTTTCATTGCTTTGTGGAATTCTGCAGACTTCATTGTCAAGGCTCTCCCGTGATAGAGCAGACCTGAAAACCTGGAGCAATGCAGTTCATTTCCTTGGGCTGTGTGATTAGTGACTTGGCCACTAGCTACCCATGCACTTGCCAGGGATTGCTGTCGAGGGCAGCCATTTTGCTCACCCTAATGTAAATTCTCATGTCAAGACCTGAGAGGTTTGAGTCTGTACATGGTGAGGCTTCCTGTTTGAAGTTGATCTGAGAGCTTGTTAACATACAGATGGCCAGGCCTCACCCCAGAGTCTGATTCAGCAGGTCTGGGAAGGCCTGAGAAGGTGTATCTCTACCAAACCCCCAGGGGCTGCCGGTCCTTTGAGAAGCAAGGCTAAGGGAAGGACTTCCCTTTACCTTTGAGAAGCTCTGACTGGTATTCCCACCCACTTCACATCTCCCATCAGTAGCCAATCCATCAAGCCTTCCCAAAGCCTTAGGGGTCCAGGTCTGCCCTTGGCAGCAGAACTCCTCCCACTGACCCCTCGGTGACATTTGACATTATAAATCACCCAGCCTTCTTAAAACTCTTTCGTCCATCCCCCTGTTTCTGAGATGGGGCCCTTCCCCCCTTCCATCCTGGTCTCCTGCTTCTCTGAGTAATGTCTCTTCCTCTCTGATGACCTTTTCCTTTACCCACCCACCCCTTAAACCTTGGGGTGCATGGCTGTCTTCTCACCTTCACTGGGGGAGTGGCCATGCCATCTCCTCCCACCTCATCCTTCCTGTCCCAGCCACACTCTGTCTTCCGGGGGACTTCCACCAGATTCTCTGTCGTTGCCAGCAGCTGGCAGCCCTCCAAGGAGGCTAGTGGAGAACAGCTAACCCAGACTGACTTGGGTTCTAGGTGATACTTCATGTGACCACAATCATTAATTCACAGTAATGCCAATTAGGAAATATTCTTTATTTCACACACAGGCAAACCCCAAGATTTCTTATGACCTTGGCAAGTGGAGTGTTTCACAATTGTGAATTCTGGAGAAGTTACAGGCCTGGTGGATATAGTATTGCCCACACATGCAAATCTGCCCAGCGCCTAAACATCCCTAGTTGAAAATAGGCAACCCAGTCAGAAAAGAGTCAAGTTTTCCCTAAATAGGTTTCAAAGACATATTACCAAAAACAACATCCCACAAGTCATCTTTGGATAATTTCATTCACTGGGTTTCTTCTTGTTATGTATGGTATTAGGATATATCCCATAAGTGTTGTCTTTGAAGTGGCCCTAAATGGCTCTCTGCCTTCTGCATTAGGTCGCTATATGGAGAGCCTACCAACTTAAGCTATGGGCACACACTGCCATGGTTTTTAATCCTGGTTCAACCTCAGATCTGGTTTAGTAAATCGCCGCTCCCTGGAGATTAATACATGGCTGCAAAGGCATTGTCCTTGCAGTGTTTTTCAGCCTGGGCAGGGTGAGATGTGTCTAGGATGCGAGGTTTCAGCATCCGGAGATGAATGGGGGGAGGGGACGCAATGTCACATTTTTCGGGTGCTCTAGTCCTGTTATATGCGGGCACATGCTCTACGCCAGTCTCTGTCCACCCTCTTGCCCGGGCTGGAGGGGTTGGCACGGTCGGCGTTTCTGATTCCTTCCTCTGCTGTTGGCCATAGACTAGGGATAAGGGAGGTGAGAAGAGAGCCACGGGGGTGCGGTGCTGAGCAGCTGCGGTCGGTCCAGCCTGTTGGTGATGTGCGGAGCCCGCCGCCACTCTGGGCATGGGTAACGCGCAGCCCCAGCGGTCGCGCTACGGGAGAAGGAAACACAGAGGTACAAGAAATCCGGATCCGGGATCCTCCGCAGCCTCCGGCTTGTCTAAGCTCACAGGCCGGGCTTTGTGGCTGGCTCCCGCGCGCCACCGAGTTTGGGGCTGGGGACTGAGTCCTGCAGCTCACTGCGGCTGGCAGCAGGGGACGGATTATTTTTAGCAGGTTCCCTTTAGCCCGGTGGAGCTGGGAGATACTCGCAGAGCCAGGCGGCTGTCCGTGGAGCATTGGTGCAGCCGTGCCTTGCTGCCCCGGAGGTTTGGCTGCCGCAGTCCTCTCCATTCACTGAGCTGTAAATCGAAGCTGTCTACACCGACAAGGCTCTCGATCCCAGCGTGGCCCCAGGGCTACGTCCCGCCCAGGTCTCCCGGCACCTGATTTCCCAGTGGTCAATTAGGTGTCTCAGCCTGCAGCATTGAAGCAGTGGAGGGGCCGATGCCCCTGCTTTGATGGAGCGCGCCGTGCGCAGAGACCTCCCCAGTCGACTTCCTCATCAGAAGGCAGCATCCATTCATAATTCTCTGCCTGTGGACCGAGTTAGGCTGGAGCTGGGCATGGACTCCTGCGATCTCTCTTTTTGCATCTGAAGGAGAAACTAAGATAAAAGGAAAAGGAAGGGGGAATGCAGTCCTAACGCAACAATGCGCTGGAAAGTCCCCGAGAGGCCTCTCTTTTGCGGGGAGAGGGAGAAGAGGCAGATTCCGAGCCCAGCGCCCCAGCCAGCTGCTGCTTCGCTGCGGAGCCGGCACGCATGCCTACCTCACCTGACGGCCGCATTCCCGGGGAGCCGGCGCGGGGCCCGGCGGCGCGCCCAGGGCGCACGGGCGGTAGGATTTCTGCACCAGGGGAACGATGCACGGGCGGGCTGCCCAGGGCCGAGCCTGAGCCTGAGCGGGCGCCAGGGGAGGCTAGCCTCGGCGTGGCGCCCCACCGCAACCCTCCGGGATGCTCCGCGACTCGCAGCCCAGGCCATGCGGGTGTGTGAGATGGGACCAGCCTGGGGGGAGGGGGTATGGGCAAGTGACATCATTTTAAACTAATTTCTCGCACCTCTGGGTGCTGGGTGAACTTGGGGGTTGGGGGAGGCTCGAGGCCAGCCGCGCGCTAGCCCGAGAGGAGATCCCCCTTGGTCGAGATCTGAGAGCTGGGTCCCCTTGGCAGAGCTGAGCGAGGGTGAGCTGACAGTCCAGGTGGACCGCGCATAGCTCGCAGGGGCAAAGGGAACAGCGCTGGCTTTCAGGGGTCTTTTATTATTTTTAAAAGCATATTGCAGCTGCAGCTTTTAAGTTTGCCGCCTCCTCCCTACCCTGATCCCGGGTTCTGGGGCGGGGCGGCACTTTCCCACGCTGCCTACCCTCTGGGTGGAGGGGTCTGCAGGGGCTGCAGCGCCTGGTGTTGGGTTTCCTGCAGGGGGAATGAGGATTCGACGGCTCTGTGAGTGGAAGGGCGCCCTGAGGTTTGGCCTTTTGAGGGCTTCTAAGGGCTGGGGAGAAGTCGAGGATCCCGCTTGGTGCCCTCTCCTGTTTTCCTGCCCTGCCACTTGGTGTTGGATGACATTTTGCCTGTGCAGGGGTTTCACTGTCAAGGAGCTGTGATGCTGTAAGGCAAATGGACTGTTAGGATGAGCTGGAAGAGAGGGGAGTGAGCTGGAGCTTTTCCTTTTGTGGCAGTGTTAACCCCATCGCCCCCACCTCTCTGGCGCACCTGTCCCCTGGGGTCACCATCTGTGCGCATGAGTGGGGCAGCCTGACCCACTAGCCATTCCAGGGACAGTGAGCCAAAGCTGGACTTGCTCAGGGCATGCTAGGCCAGGAATGTGTGGGCAGTGAAAGAGCAACACCCTTCCTCACCCCCCTGCGGGGAAGACTCAGCAGGCCCCGCCATGATGGTGCACAGTGTTTTGCCATACTGTGGTATGCTCTGGAGTTTTGGAGCTCTTGTTTTATGAGGCTTTTATTTTACAGTTTCTTGCCTCTTGGTGACCAGTTTGTTTTTCACAGCTGCTTGTGAGCAAGGCAAAGATAACGAGCATCTAAAAATAGCCCTGCAGTTGGAGGTACAGCTTGGCTTGACCCCGCTATTAGAGGGGTGGGGTCTCCGTTACCAGCTCCCTGAGGGTGGGCCAAACTTGGGCCCCCAGACAGCCTCAGACCAGGTCCACACATCCTTCAGAGCAATTCACCTTCAGGTCTCAAGGCAAGGCAGGGATGCTGAGTGCTGGTCCATGTGAGAAGGGCAGCAGCTCTGAGAAGCCTCATCCATTCCCGGGTGAGGCCCAAAGCCACTGGGCTGCAAGGCTGGAGGATGGGAGCCTGGACAGGGGTCCCTCTTTTGCCCCCAGCCATGGATATCCATCCCTGGCTTTACATCCCCTGGTTGGATCCAGCCATATGTATGGGGCTTCCTCCTTTGCACTTTAAAGCCAACAAGCAACTCCCTCACAGTGGAGTTCGTTCCAGAATACAGAGGGACAAAAGGGGCCAGGTGGCACTCAAACCATGCCAACTTCCTACTGTGTTCATAGCAGCTGGGCTACTACTCTTTCCTTTCCAGGTGGAAACCCCTGGACAGTTGGGTGAGGAGCCTCTTCCTGGTCAGCAGGAGGGTGGCGCCAGCCTGTCTGAAGGGGGCCGCCTCCAGCTGATGGTGAAGAGGCCGCCTGGAATGGAGATAGGAAGGGACTGAGGACTTTGCAGTGATTGCAGTGGAAGCAGGAAGTGCAGGTCTTCTGTGGGTCCTAGATTCTGTGAGCCTGCTAGGCTCCCCTCATTATTTATTTTCAAAAGCCTTCATTTCTTCCCTGTTCACTTTTTCTTTCGTGGTGATGGTGGTAAAGTCCAGCTTGAAGAAAAAAGGCCCCCTCTGTTCTTGATTTGGTTGGATGATAGGATTTTTATTTTTTTTGGCAAGAATGCATTAGCAATTGCTGAAAAATGTAAATGCCTATTTTTTTCTCCAGTGAAATAAATGAACTAAACAGCAAGGGAATGTAAGGGCAAGCATTCTCTGTTCAAGATGGAATCTACCAAGTGATTTTCTCCTCTCTTTCAAAATGAATTTTGATTGAAAATTTTTACCTTTATTTTCTGTATGTCATAACTATAATCACTGGGCAACTATTAAGATAGAGATCGTGACTGGGGGGAAGGAAGAGACCAGGAAACAGCACCTTTGAGATATCCATCATTCCTCTAGTCTTCTAGTGGAGACTTGCACACAGTTGCTAGTTTATCTTTAAAATTTCCACCATCTTTGTGTTCCCCATGGAAGACAAAGGATTAATGATGATGAAATGTAGTATAAGGCCAGTGCAACAGTGGCCAAGTTTGGCCAGCTTAGAAGAGTAGATATGGGAAGACCACGGGTTGAGATTTCAGTTTTTTAAGAACATCATTGGCTTGGCTCGACCTGTACCAAATAAGATATCAATGATCCCTTGGTCTTAAATAGAAAGGGCTGCTTCCTCTTGAAGATCAGAACCTAAACCAGCAATTGACTAGAGACCCACAGTGAGCATATTGGTCAGGGAAGGATAAACACCATAATAGGTGAGCCCCAAATTTCAGGGTTTAACACAATAGCAGTTTATGTCTTACATAATGTCAAACCAGCTTTTTGTCTTGTGATTATAAGGAACCTAGTCTCTTCTCTTCTTATGAATCTACCATTCCCTAGGGCCTTGAAGCCCCTGCTGGGTCTTCTGCATCCAGAAGGGAAAACAAGAACATGGAAGATTATCCTGGAAGCAGCACCTCTCACTCCCACCCACATTCCATGGCCAGAACTCAATCACATGGCCACATCTAACTGCAAGGGGACTGGGAAATCTAGTCTGTGTGCAGTTTGTGCTATGGCAGTACACTCTCTGGCATGGAGGGGCCCTTTTTAAGCTCTACTTTGAGATTGGACTTTGGCTCTGGACAAGTCATATGGCAAATACAGATCTCCATCTTAAAAATGGTGGTAATTCCACCTCCTCTTTCCTGTCTCAAAGGGATTTGGAAAGATGTAGCAACATAAAAGGCTCCTACAGGGACCATCTGGTCCAACCTCTGTAGGCAAGGTCATTATCATTTTCCTCAATTTATAGATAACTTTCCCCATATAACACAGCTGGTTTATGGCAGGGCTGAAATCATACCTAGATCCCCTTCTCTTGGCTTAGTGCTCCTTCTACCATGCTATGTTGACCCTGGCATCTTATGAAAACAGTTATATAGGATATTGTTTCTGAAAGCTGACATGCTTTCATAATGTGTAGTCATTAAAAGTGACTTCATATGATTTAAAATCCAAGTATGATCTTCTTCTGGTTCTTACTGTATAATCACTTATAATCAGGCAAAGAATAACCAGACACTAATCTATGCCCTGCACACATATAGCTCATTTAATCCTCACAATAAGCCTAGGAGGTAGAGGTTATTATTATCCCCATTTTACAGATGAAGAAACTGAGGCACAGAGAGAATAAATAACTTGCCCAAGGTTTTACGGCAAACAAGTGACAAATTTGGGATTCGATCCTGGGCACTATGGCTCCAGAATCCAACCCTGGACTATTTTACCATACTACCTTTCTGATCTGGTAGACTCCTTCTCCAGCCCTTTCTGAGATGTCCAATTGGGACATTTTTAATTTCCTTTTTAAGTGAGTGACCTTGAAGATCCATGAGGGGAGTCATTTGTAAATTTGCTGAGGCATGTCTTTGAGCCTCAAGCATATAAAATGGATACACAGGATTGAGCTACTCAGCTAGTGAAGAAGCTCAGCTCCCAACCTCCAGCTCCAACAGCCCAATGAAGCTTTTTTTTTCTTTCAAGATTTTTGGGATAGACACTACTGTGTAGTCCGTTACCACTGTGAAGTAATAAAAATGTCTGTTTCTTTGTGAAAAGCAGCCGTGGTCAACCATAACCTTTGGTGCAAGATTAAGAGGCAGTTGACTTGGTAGGGGCAGGCAAGGCCATCATAGTCACTTAACTCTGGAAGAAATTGCTTTTTGTGGTTGTTTATCTATTGTTGCAGGAGAAACCACCCCCAAAATTTACTGGCTTAAGATACAAGCCAATCTATTGGTTCAAAATTCTGCAATCTGGGAAAAGCTCAACTTGACAGCTCTGCTAGTCTTGCTGGTGGTTGGTCAGATGGTATGTCACCTGCAGGCAAGGTTCAGCTGGGTCACTGGGCTGGCTGTGCTTATGTCTCTTTCTGGGTAGTCTCAGGGATTCTCCCTCTCCACATAGTCTTTCCCAGTGGTCTTTCCATGTGATCACTCCAGCAGGGTAACTGGATTTCTTACCTGGCAACTCAGAGTGCCCAAGGGTGCAAAGGCAGGAGCTTCCAGGTTTTCTTAGGTTGGGCCTGTGTCTTGTTTTACCAACAGAATGAGGCAAGTCACAGGCCCAGCCCAAACCTCAGGTAAGGGAATTGACCAAGGGCATAAATAACAGGAGACCTGGAAGTAGACATCCACAAAGGTAAAGTCTGAAGCTTCTGTATTTACAAAGTTGAGGATTCCCAAAGATCTCAGGAGGAGTTGATGGTACATTAAAATGTAGGTTAGATAAAATCCATTCCTTTTGCTCCAATGGAGCAAGACTATTATATTAATAGATGCTTGATTCTTTCTTCATCCTGAAACTAACGAATCATTTATGCCCTACGGAAGCATCAAGGCTGTAGATGTGACTGCCCAAAGAGAAGGGGAACAGAAGTGTGTGACTTCTGCTCTCTTGCCGCTGCCATACTGTCTCAAAGGTATCCATTTTTTAAAAGGTATCAATACCTATCCTCAGACATAAACTAAGGATAGTTTCTGAAAAGGCAGGAGCATACCAATTGGATGAGAAGACAAGAATATTTATTTTTTCTTTTTATTATACTTTTAAGTTCTGGGATACATGTGCAGAACGTGCAGGTTTGTTACATAGGCATACATGTGCCATGGTGGTTTGCTGCACCCATCAACCCATCATCTAGGTGGTAAGCCCCGCATACATTAGGTATTTCTCCTAATGCTATCCCTCTCCCCTTGCCCCCCACCCCCTGACAGGCCCCGGTGTGTGATGTTCCCCTCTCGAAGACAGGAATATTTCTAATCTCCATTTACTTTTCTCTGGCAAGTCACACATTCCGAGGGGATTCAGCATGCACAACAGGAGTCCCTGCCTGCCTCAGGAGGTAGAGCTGCTCTCCTGCAGAAACAGGCTAGTGGGTTCAATCCATTGGGACTCCATTTCAGATTATTTTCCCCAGGCTTCTGAGTCACTGTAGTCAGTGAGGGTGCAGTGGCTACTTTGATTCACTGTCTACCCCTCTTCATCAGGGCTCAAGCACTTATTCCCCAAGCACTCATTTGCCAGGGCTAGGCGCGGTGGCTGACAGCTCACAGCTGCATCCCTCTTTGGGAATTGTCCTTCCCTGAAGAAAGTCACCCCGTCTAAGGTCACATTCCTTCCAAGGGCAGCACTCATCTGATGAATGGTCAATACGGTAGTATAAAGGCCCACTCACCTTGCCTCAACTCAGGACAATTCTACAGGGCCATCCCAGCTCTAGAGCTCCCCATGGGATGGGCTGAGCCTTTGTTGTGACTCTCCTAGCCCAACTTCTCGCTCTGCCCAGCCCTGCTTAATCCATTTCCTCCACAGGTGTTGCCCCAGAGAACATTTCCTGATATGCTTCCCACACCCCAATTTCTGTCTCAAAGCTTACTTCCAGGGAACTTTCCTGGAGGTCAAGTGAAGGAGGGGTTATAGATTGGGCTACTTCCTACTACAGGCTGGGCCACTGTGGGCACACACAGAAGTGGGACGTGCAGCCTGGGCCTTCCCCAAACTTCCAATTGAGAAGACATGACAAGCACTTAAGTGACAGCATGAGAAGTTAAGCAAACATAATGTACCAGAGTCACAAGTAAGTCTGATGCCTCAAGGATTTTCCCCTCCTCATACTACCCCTTACAACATCCCCCAAAGTTGTATTTTGTGTTTTTTTAGGGGATGGATGATTCATGACATTGATTATATGGTTAACAATTGTGCCTAAGTGCTCTCCCACCTGATTATTTCTTCCTTTGGGCATGGCACTGGCAATCAAAATTTATCTTTCAAATTAAGGCTATAATTATATTTTGATAAAGATCTAGCAATTCAATGAGAATGAAATTTTGAGGGTTGCCAGGATACGGATGACTCTGGGTTATAGAGAAGGGTTTGCATGCAGAATACTAATAGGTGGTTCAGCGCTCTTATCTAGACCTTTCCAATAGCGTCTGATAATGCAGGCCCATCAAGTACTGTTTCTCTGCTATTATTCTAGCAGAATAAAAGTGATGAAAGATATAAGCAGGGTTTTATGAATGAAAAGGTGATTCATCAGATGTCTTTTGGTCTATCTCACCACAGTTAAGAAATACAGTAATAATAATGTGGTGTTACCTCAAAATCTAGGAGACAAAAAGCTTTCTCTTATTTCCTTGCCTCCTCTTTTATTGTAAATAGAAGCAAAATGTCTTAGATATTGGGTTATTGTTTTTCATTGGGAATAGGGACCTGTGTTTGCAATGGTGTTGACTCCCAGGAAAATAGAAACAGTAGAAATTGGTATGATGTTATATTTTGACTTTTCTTTACTTTTCCTTTCCATTTTACTCTGATTATTATTCATTCATTCATTCAACAAATGTGGACTCCCTAGTATTGTGCAGGCTCTGCTTGAGGAATCTAAGAAAGTTTAAAATGGATAACCATGCATGGAAATAATAAATAATGACACAACACAGTAGCATCCAACATGTCATTTCGTGGCATGGAGGGGAGAGGGAAGGAGTAATATTTTTTGTTAAGTGAGATGTAATTTACATACAGTTGAGTTATGCATAAGTCTTAAGTGTTAAGTTCAATGAGCTTTGACATATACATCCATGTAACAACCTCCCAAAACAAGATATAATGCATTTCCATCATCCCAAAATGTCTTCAGTACTCCTTTCCAGTCTCTCTCCCACACCTTTTGGCAACCATTATTCTGATTTCTATCATATAGATTAGATTCACCTGTTCAAGAGCTTATATAAATTGAATCATAAGTATGACTTTAAAAAATGTCCAGCCTTTTTCATTCAGCATAGTATTTTTGAAATTTATCCATGCTGTTGTATGTATCAGTAGTTTATTCTTTTTATTGCTAAGCAGTAATCCATTGTAAGAATATACCATACTTTATTCATTGACTTAGGCTGTTTCCAGTTTGGGGATATTATGAATAAAGCTTCTAAGAATATTCTTGTACAAATCTTTGTGGATTTACATTTTTTGTTTCTTTTTGGTAAATATCTAGGAGTGAAATTGCTTAGTTATAGGGTAAATGTATGTTTAGTTTTATAAGAAACTGGCAGAGATTCTTCAAAAATTGTATCAGTTTGCACTCTCATCACCAGCATATCAGGGTTCTAGTTGTTCTGCATCCTCATCAATACTTGGTATGTCAGGAGCCATTCTAATGGATATGAAATGGTATCTCATTGTGGTTTTCATTTGCATTTCTGTGATGACAAATAATGCTGAACACCTTTTCACGTGCTTAGTAGACATTCATATATCTTGTGAGGTGTCTAATTAAGCCTTTTTCTCATTTTTAATTCTTTGTCTTTTTATTATTGATATTTTTTATTTGTAGTAGCTCTTCATATACACTGAGTAAAAGTTCTTTGTTAGATATTTGTATTGCAAATATTTACTCCCAGTCCTTACCTGCCCTGTTTTTTAATAGTGTTCTCTTGATAAGCAGAAATTTTTAATTTTGACAAAGTCCAATTATCAATGTTTTCTTTTATGACTAGCCTCTTTTGGGCACGGTCAGAACAATCTGCTTCCCTCAAGTTCATGAATATTATTTCATACATTTTCTTCTAGGAGTTTTATGGTTCTAGCTTTTATGTTTAGGTCTATGGTCCTTCCCTAATTACCGGTTGTGTATGGAGTAAGGTAGGGTCAAAATTCATTTTTCCCCATATGTATATTTAGTTGTTCCAGAACCATTTGTAAAAAGAAAACCAGAAAACTCCTTCCTTTCTCCCATGGAATTGACTTAACGCCTTTTTCAAACAATCAGTTCAACTGTGTATGTGTGGGTCTATTTCTGAATTCTCTGTGCTGCTTCATTGATCTATAATGTCTACTTTCTTGCCAAAACCACACTGTCTTGACCTCTGTAGATTTATAGTAAGTCTTGAAATCAGATAGTAAAAATCCTCCAAATTTGTTCTCTGTCAAGATTGTTTTAGCTATTCTAGAACCTGTGCATTTTCATATACATTTTAGAATCAGCTTGTCAATTTCTTCAAAAAAGCATGGTATGATTTTGATTGGCATTCATTTGAATATATGGATGGATTTGGAGAGCATGGACATTTTTAACAATGTTGTATCTTCAGGCCCTGGATATGCTATAGCTTTTGATCATATAGGTCTTCTTTAATTTCTCTTAGCAAAGTTTGCAGATTTTAGTGTAGAGGACTTGTATATTTTCTGTTAGATTTGTTTGTCCTTTGTATTTGATATTTGTGATGCTATCATAAATGGTATTCTTTTCATTTCATTCTCTAATTTTTCATTACTAGTTTATATATAATAATACATAAATAATATATAATCAATTATATTTATATGTATGTATATATAAATGCAATTGATTTTTATATATTGACCTTTTTGTATCCAGCGACTTTTCTAAATTCACTCTTTAGTTCTAGCAGTTTTTTGTAGATTCCATAGGGTTTTTAACCTACACAATCATGTTGTCTAAATAATGACAGTATTCTTCTTTTTTATCTTTTGTCTTATTACACTGGTGAGAGTGTTTTTTAAAATTCTTCCCAATCTTAAGGGAAATCAACATTTCACCATTAAGTATATTACCTATAGATTTTTTTTTTTTTTTTTTTTTTTTTTTTGAGACGGAGTCTCGCTGTCGCCCAGGCTGGAGTGCAGTGGCGCAATCTCGGCTCACTGCAGGCTCCGCCCCCTGGGGTTCACGCCATTCTCCTGCCTCAGCCTCCCGAGTAGCTGGGACTACAGGCGCCCGCCACCTCGCCCGGCTAATTTTTTGTATTTTTAGCAGAGACGGGGTTTCACCGTGTTAGCCAGGATGGTCTCGATCTCCTGACCTCGTGATCCACCCGCCTCGGCCTCCCAAAGTGCTGGGATTACAGGCGTGAGTACCTATAGATTTTTCAGAGATGCCTGTCATCAGGTTTCCATATTAGGATTATATAGACTTCATACAATGAGTTGGGAAGTGTTCTCTCCTCCTCTATTTTCTAGAAAAATTTATGTAAATTGGTATTATTTCTTCCCTAAATGTTGGATGGAATTCACTGGTGAAGCCATCTGGGTCTGGAATTTTCCTTGTGGTTTTTATTAAGAATTCCATTTCTTTAGAATTTACAGGACTACTTGTATTTTCTGTTTCTCCTGTGTCCCTTGCTAAGTTTTTCAAGGAATTTTCTGTTTCATCTAAGTTGTTAAATGTATCAATACTGTAGGCTAGAGTAGGCAGAAAAACCAAACATATCACCTGAAGTAGGACTTTGAAGAGAAGAGATTGGCTAGACAAGGAGGGGAGTCCTGGGGAAAGAATGGTGTGAGAAAAGACATGGGGTGTGGGATTACCAATGGTGTGGGTTGTTTAATATGGATTATCCCCATCTGGTTGTAGTGGAAGTTTTGGGTAAAGAAGAAGTGGAAAATGATGATAGAAAGATACCTTGGAGCCAGATCAATGACAAATTGTGGAGTTTAGATCTTATGTAGGAAATGAAAAACCCCTATATTATTTTCAAACAGGGGCACGGCCTGCAGAAATGGTATTGAGGGAAATGATTTAGAATGATGGATTGGTGAAAGGAGAAGGGTAGAGGTAAATGCAACTCTTTTAGAATGGTGCAGTATGCAGTGGTAAGCACTGCCTAGGTGAAACAAATTTGATAAAGAATGGAGCTAGGACCAAGTAGGGAAAGGCCTCTGAGTATTTCTCTGTACACAACGTGGTGTTATGCACCTAGTACAAACTTATCACACTCTTAATATTTTCTCTGTTCCCATATCCATCTCCTCACCTGGACATCCAGCTCCTCTGGGAAAAGACCCCAAGGTTTATCTATGCTAAAGTACTAGTGCCAGCATGCAGTACACACTTAGTTAATACCAAGTGAATGAATGAAAGCTGAAAATATGAATGAGCAACTGGATGAATGAATGAGTGAATGAATGAATGAATGAATGAGCAGGCAGGATAAAAAACTGGATTCATCAGGATAGGATAGGCTATGCTATGATAACAGATAAGCCAACAAAGCTCAGTGCTTTAACACAATAAAAGTTCTCTTCCTTCCTTACACAAAGTCTGGTGTAAGTCATGTACCCTCCTAGCAGCACGCGAAAAGAGAGAACAAAGGCTCTTGGGAAGTTTGGTTAAGGATCCAGCCTGGAAGTGGTGTACATCACTTCTGCCTACATCTCCTTAGCCAACACTGAGTCATTTGGCCCCCATAGAACTGCTGAGAAAGCTGGGAAATATGGATGTGGAATGGAAATTTGGTAAACACTAAGGACACTTAGAAAGGAGCAAAAGGGAGCTCTAAAACCTATTTGTTATTGCTTCCAGCCTGAGAGAAAGCTAAGTCCTAGAGATGTTAAGGGACTTATTGAGGACTCCCCATACGGATTACAGATTACTTCTGCCAATAGAGCTCAGACTCTCTGGCCTGCCTTTCAGGCTTTAATATTTATAATCTCGTGGCTCACTTATTGCTAACTAATTTTTAGAAGCCAACTCCTCCAAGAGGAACTGTGAGCAGAACGAAGCACTAATAGACTCTGCCGTTGGTTACGTGGTAGCTCCAGCCAGAAGCACAAATGGAGAGAGGCAGGATATGGGTTAAGGCAGGGAGTTTTGAGGATAAACCTCCCAGGAGTCAGCAAAGCAGTCCTGCTTTGGGAGGCATCTGTGCTAAGCTCATGCCAGCTGCCTAAAGAGAACTCCACATCGTCTGTGATCTGGAGTCTCCTGTTCAGGATCAAACTAGCTGCCTCCACAGGGCCTGGAATGCACGGCGAGGGCTCTGTGGCTTTGGAAAATGCTGCCGAGGTGTCTCAGGTGGAGCCAAAGATGTGAGGGGAAGCACCTCATCTGCCGCAGGAGGGTAAACTAGATGGAAGGAGGTTGTGTTCCTCAGCCAGATGTAGGTATTGTTTGGTTTTCAGAGTGGTGTGAGCATCACAGATGATGAAGGCCAAGCACATGGGATGAAGCTTGGCCTAAGGCGAGTTCTCAGGAGAAGGTGTTGGCAATAGGAGGATAACCATGGAGCAGGAGAAAAGAAGCCTCTCATCTTTCTTAGATTTGGCAAGGAGAGGGGGCATCAATGACAATGCATAGAGCCTGCTGCCTTCCCCTGGAGGCAGCTTCCCTAAGCGGGGTCATGGACAGTCTCCCAGCTCCCCTGCACCAATCAGTGGTTCCACATCAGACTTTTCTGCCTCACATTTTTTTTTCCTTTTTAAAGGTACAGTTAAGGGCCAGGCATGGTGGCTCATGCCTATAATCCTAACCCTTTGGGAGACAAGGCAGGCAAATCATTTGAGCCCAGGAGTTTGAGACCAGCCCTGGCAACATGGCAAAACCCCATCTCTCTAAAAAAAAAAAAAAAAAAAAAAATTAGCCAGGGGTGTTGGCACACACCTATAGTCCCAGCTACTCAGGAGGCTAAGGCGGGAGGACTGCTTGGGCCCAAGAGGTCAAGGCTGTAGTGAGCTATGATCACGTCACTGCACTCTAGCCTGGGTGACATAGTGAGACCTTGTCTCACACACACACCCACACACAAAAGTACAGTTAAATAGAGTGAAATTAAGAATACAAAAAAAAATGACAGAACTCTCAGAAAATGAGCCATCAGAGAAATGAGAAGTGAGCATATTGGAGGAAATCATGAAAGAAAGGATTAAAGGAGATACTGTAACTGTGAAATGAGGAAAGTAAGACCTGTTCTAATGCCCTTTGCCTCACTCCTTCTGTTCCTGCATTCTGGCTTTGCTGTTCCTCAAACATTCAAACAAGATCTGACCTTGGGTCCTCTGCACTTGCTGTTCTTTCTGCTTGGAATTCTCTTACCACACATTTTCACACAGCTCACCCCTTCACTGGATCAGGAGCCTGCTCAAATGTCACCTTTGCAGAGATGCCTTGCCTAACTACTATCTTAGTTTGAATTCCCCCAGAAGTAGACCCTGAGACAAGGATTCAAGTACAAGTAGTCTATCAGAGAGATGAACCCAAGTAACACAGCAGGGGAGTGGGGAAGTGAGAGGGAGAAGGGAAAGGATCTAAGAAAGGTATGCTATCAAGCAGCCACCGTGTGGGTAGCTGTGCCTCAGTCCTGCTGAGGAACTCTGGGAGATAGTGTAGAACACACTTCAGAGTTATCTTGACCACAGAGGAGGGCATCTGTTACTGCTCCAGTGCGTGCCCTGTGTGTGGGCCAAGCATTCTCCCATTGTCAGAGGGGAAAAAATCACCCTTAGGCAGAGGGTCTTGGGGAATCATGAGAAGCAGCCTTCTGACTGTTGAAGTGAATGCTGAAGGCACATTGGCAAGGCAAGAAGCATCTGCCACAACATCCTCTCTAAAATAGCAACCCCATCACGCTTTATCACCTTGTTCCACTTTCTGACTTCACAGAATTTACGCCACCTGACAGTACATCTGTATGCTTATTTGTCATCTATCTCTCCCAGTAGACAGCAAGTTCCAGGAAGACAGAGAACTCATATGTCTTTCAGTGCCTCAGACGGAGATAGTGGGTGTTTGGTAATTATTTGTTGAGTGAATGACTATTCAGAGAAAGACTGAAACTCGTTGACATCAATATTATCCTCAGCACATGAAAGAGTGAGAGAAGCAGGGCAGAAATCAGTTGCAGGAACGAACGTAAGCATTGGACAATGAGGGCCATAGTAGGGTCTTCAATATGAATGGATAAGAACGTTATTCCAGTTTCCTGGTCTGATGTTTCTGGGGACTTAAAGATTTCATCTTTGCCATGGCCATAACAGCTATTATTTTTTGACCTATATACCAAATGGAAACAACAACAACAACAAGAGTTTCTTTGCAGGCTGGGAAATTTAATATATCCAAAAGAGGGCACCCTAGTCTTGATCCACTAGAGGGCTCAGGCCAAGGACAACAGGGAAAGAAATGTGAACGGGACAAAGGAAGGAAGTAGGGAGAGAGAGTGATGGAGAAAGTGCGGTTCAGGGAAGCAGGTGGCAAAGGAAGGGCCTAACAACCTTGGAGTCCTCACTAAAAATGGAATATTCAACTGGGATTTTATTAACTTTGAGATGAGCTTTTGGGGACCTATTCAAGTAAACACAACCCACCCCAAAGCCCCAAATCCTCACTTGTTACTGTAAAGGCCTGTTAGTCCCATAGTTCAGGCCCTGAATGCTCTGCTCCAGGCCCCTGGCTTGAATTCACCCCAGGAAGAAGAAACTTCTGCAGTATGTTGTTGCTGAAAAGGCAGCTTGCCTGGGCAGCCCCAGTAGATCCTGCTCTCTGTGGCTTCGCAGAAAACCCCATCACAAAGGACACTGGCATTTCTAGAATGGACTTGAGCCCATAGCTACTATTGAAAGAAGACTCAGAAGTACACAATGGGAAGCTGACACAATGGTGAAAGGGATGGGAATCTGGGCATCTCTGTGTGCCACTTGTCCCCAGTGGCTTTTGTTCTGGAAAGAACAGACTTTTCTGTGGGTGGATAAAAGGCAAATAAATGTTGTATTCACCAAACCTATTGGTTTGACAGCTTTTAAAAGCAAGTTACAAAAAGTCAGAAGAGTGGCCAAAGCTCATTCTTAAATAAAATGAGATTCCCAAGTTGTGTTTAGGTTCCAATTGCCTTCTCTTCAATACCTTTATCTTTTCATGTAAACATTCTTGCCCTGATATTTAATTCCTCACAGAACTGACAGAAGAAGCCTCATAACCACCCACTAACAGGGGTCTGTGCTATGTCTACACAGGACTGAATCCGCACATTTAATTGAATTCACTGGCAACTTTTGGGAAACATCCAGTTAGAGGACTGGTTTATGGGTTGTGTAAGTGTAATGAAATAATTAATGGTTCTCATTTGTTACTGGAATGACCAGATTAGCCAGCTGTTTTTGCAATGTCAAATTCTGTCAAAAATGCTTGTGTCTGGAGTTGAAGATCCATTGTTAGAACAGTCAGTGTGACCCTACATGTGGTTTGGGCCATTGCTTGGGTTCAAAACAGACCTTTAGTCTGATGACACTGACTCATTCCATTCGGTTTGCAGGTTGGTGTCATCTGCAATTTCACCTCTATTCCAATTGCTGCATGGGTTTGAGGGCTTAAAAAAATAACACACAAAAAAGTACTTCCTTACTCTTTGAGGTTATGGAGTAGCCCGTTCCTTTTCTGATCATGATCTTTGGCCAAGTTGGTCTGGCCTGGATGTCTCTGAGTGAGTGAACTCTGCAACGAAAGTCACTCTCTGGGGCTGAAGGGTGCCCGAAGGCCAGAGGTGGTGTTGGGTTGGGTGACTTCCTGAGAGGGTGCTGGGAAGGCATCTGAGCATGGGCTGGGCCACAGGCACTCCCAGTTCCTAATGCACTGCCTGAGGATCCTCCCTGAAGAGAAATCAAACTCACCCTTTGGGCCAACCAGGTGCTTGCAGCTTTCACTGGCAAGTCTTGGCAAGGGGTGTGTTAGAACAAAGAGTTACTCCACCTGCAGATTCCAAGAGCTAATTTGAAGGTTGAGTTAGAGAAGAAAAAGCAAAAGAGGGGAGAAAAAAAGCCAGCACTCAGCAGAGCTGCAGCAGAAAAGCAGAGCCCCATTTAGTGTACCCTCCTGCACAATCTTCATTTCTGTGGATGCCCCAAAGCAACTCCTAATTCAGCCTGACTCCTATGCATCAGGCTTTCAAGGAAAAGCTTTTGTTAATACTGACTGTAAATTGAGGGGGTGGCTTTAGCAATGTTTTCTGAAGAACAAAAACTTTGGCAGATTATTTCTGTAGCACACTGGTGTATTTAACAACATTAGACAACCTTATTAGTTCATAGAGGAAGCATTTATGCAGTACCTACTATGTGTCCAACACTGTGCTTGATGCTGAAATATAGAGAATAAATACTCCTTGCCCTGAAAAAGCATCTAGTTTGACAGGGAAACAAGCAATTAAAACAGTGTATGGGTGGTCCTGTCTTGTTAACCCAGGTCCCCGATTCAGAACTGATCACCATTTAGGGAGGGGCTGTGATAGGATTACATTTGTATAATAGTAGTCTAGAAATCATGTCTTCTCAGCAAACTAAAAGAGGAAAAGATGAAAACATTGGTCTTCCCCTTACCTAAAAGTTCCAATGACTTAAAGGGACATAAAAGCATCCATTGACATGATAGAGCAGTGAAAGCAGAAGCCCACTTCTGGTAAGAGCTGGTAAGATACCAAAGCACTGGAAGGGCGAGCCTCTAACTGCACTCTTGCCATCTGAGTTGAGAGGGATGGGACATACAGGAAGGAAAAACTAAAGAAAAGCACATAATCAAACAATGATACAATAGAAGCCATGTCCTAGGCTAAATAGGGACCAAATGAGTACTCATAGCAATGATATAGCGAGTTCATTGAATTAGTGTACCATTAGCTGCTGTAACAAACCCCAACATCTCAGTGGCTTAATAAAATTCAGGTTTATTCCTCACTTGCATAGTGTCCAAAATGGGTTTTGCCTCATTGGTGGGTAGCTCTTCTCCTAGCTGGAATTGAAGGATGCAGATTCCTTCCATCTTAGGAATCTACTGTCTTCAGTAGATGACTTCTAAGGTCTCTGTACTCATCTTCATCAAGAACATGAAAGGGGATGTGTGGGAGGTTTCAATGGGCCAGGCTGGAAGTGGTGTGTGTCACTTCTGCTCACATTCTACCAGGTGGACCTCACCATATGGCACACCCAACTGCAAGGAAGGCTGGGAAATATAGTTTAGCTTTGTGCCCAGAAAGAAGAGGAAACGGCTTTGGTGACCAGTGAAGCCAGATGGCCACTCTGAGCTACAGGAAGAGGTCATTCCACTAGCTTTCAGCTCCATGTGGACAGGGACCCTCACTCCCTCTCCTTGGTGTCTCTGATGCCTACACTTGAGAATCTCAGGCCTTCCTGGTCAGTAGGTCGCCATTGTCATTTCCTCAATGCCGCACCTCCCACTATTCTTACTCTCTTTCACATCTCCCTGTTTTAGTTCATCAGAGTGCTTATCACTACCAATGACATTCTTCCTTATTAATCAATTTACTTACTGGCTTTTGTCCTACCTGGAAGTAAGTTCCATAAGGACAAGGACAATGGCGCATGTCATGTCCACCATTCTATTGCAGTGCCTAGCACAGTGGTTGGCACATGGGAAGTCCTTAATAACTCATTGATCAATGAATGAATGAACCAACTGGGCCTTGGGAGGTCTTGGATGGCTTCACAAAGGAGGTGCAACTCGAGCTTGGTATTGAGTAGAATTTGTCTGGGAGGAGAGATCAAGTAAAGAAAGGACAGATTAAAAGGAGACAAAAAGGACCACAAGATATACAGATTGAACCATTTATGGAATTGAGCCAGATCCATTCAACTCACGTTTGAGCACCTATTACACACAGGTCAGTGTTCTAGACCATTGCTTAGCTGGAAGATGAAACACACACACACACACACACACACACACACACACACACACACACACACACACACACACACAAGAAAGCTCGTCTGAGCCAGGGACTAAGACACTTCCCTTTACATAAGAGGGTTAGGCTTCAGCTCCACATCCCGGCCACCAAGGCCCTCCACTGAACCACTTCAGTCTTCCTTTCTGGGGTGAACATGGTCTCCCCACACCAATATCTGCTCCTTTGTGGGGAAGTGATGTGGGGCAGAAAGATCTTGGGCCTTGGAATCAGATGTATGTGCTTCCAGTCCTGCCTCTATGGCCCTCGAGCAAGCAACTTAACCTTTCTGTGCCTATACAGTAAGTTGGAGATAATGAAATGTTCATCCTGGGTTTATCATGGGAACCAAATAAGATTAGCTATATTGAGGGCCTAACCTGCTGTGTGGTTCATGGACATGCTCACTAAGTCATCTTCATCTTCTTCCTAAGCAGCTCCCTACCTGCGCCTCTCTGATTCACATGACTCCTGGCCAAGCCACAGTGAACTACTCCTGGGACCTATATCAACAGACTCATTCTAACCTTCATATTAGGTTGGATCACAGGAAATTGCTAATATTAAAAAATTTTTGCCTCAAAAGGGAAATTCCAAATGGTTTAACCTAACGCTTTAGCATATGCTGATCTCTCCCAGCATTTGCTGATCCTATCCAGCCCTTAACCCTCCTCCTACTTCAATGTTACCTCTTCCCTGCACCCCTTCCCTAACCAGAGAGCATGTCTTTTGAACTTGTGTGGCAGCCCACTTGATCCTACCTTGGATTATCACCTAATTTGTCTAATATGGCTACCAGGTTATAAACTGCTTGACGGCACTGACGGTGTTCCTTTCTCTTTAAAGCACCTCTGCACAGTCCCTTGGACATAATAAGAGGTGACATGTTTCCTTTCCCAGACCCAAGTGTGATTAGCTGGGGCCTCCAGTACACTCGGAGGGATTGGGGTCAAGCTTTGCTGATGATCCTCCGCACCATGCCAGCCAGCACCGGGGCCCAAGGCACTTATTCTCCAATGCGACCCTCTAGAATCAGTTGCCTGTTATAACTTTGCTCTCTCTTCTCCCCTCATCTCTGTCTGCCTCAAACCAACCGGAGAAGAGAAGCACAAAATGCCTTGAACTTGGGAGGGGGAAATAGGGTGTCATTTATCTGGCTTGAGCGATTATTGAGTTTTTGGCTCTTCATTTGCTTACTTAAGAGTTGTAACGTTGAACCACATGAAATTGCCAATATTCAACTATTTTGACCTACAAAAATGTCAATTTCATAGGGTTCAACCTAGTTTTTAGTATTTGGACTCAGGCACAATCACTCAGGGGTGAAGCTGTCTGATCCCTGTGTGTGGTCTACTCACCAACTCCTTGGTAGAGAGATCCCCATGGAGGCTACTCATAGCTTCTGATGGGCCTGTGGCCTTTAGTAGATTCTGTCATTGCTTGTGGAGTTTCCATCATAGGCTCTGGATTCAAAAAGGGCTAGTTCATATTTCCCTTTTCCCTGCAGGTGCCAACATATGTGTTTGATCTCTGGGATAAATGCCAAGACCTCCAGACTTGAGTTTTCAAGTCTTCTGGAGATCAAAGGCTCTCCTCATCACTGTGTGGGCTTCTCTGTGCTGTTACTCAACAAAGCAAGGCCAGCTCCTGCAAGGGCCAGTGGCAGAGTTCACGAGTCAAGGAAGGAAGGGGAGGAGCTCCTAGTTTTCGAAATACTGCAACATGTGGAGCAGATGAATGTGAAGGGAAGGAAGGCTTTATGTTTTTCTCAAATAAACTGGAAACTTAAAATGCAGGAACTTTACATGAATTTTAGTTATTTATTAACTAGATCCACCTGAATGGGATGGCCAGGAGCCTTTCATAGTTTTCTCATTTTATGTACCCAAAGGAATACACAGGACCTTAGCAATCATTGCACTCAACACCTTCAGTCATTTCATGTGACTTCCAAACAAAGTACCCTTTACTGTACATTGCTAGTAGAAAATATCCTAATGACAAATGAAAAACAAAAAGAAATCTAAAACTGAATTAAGTTGTCTTATTGTAGTCATTTTGCAACTATTCAAATAAGTAATTATGCCATTAGGAATCAAGATTTTCAGCACAAGAGAAAATAGATCAATTATAAAATCAAGGAAGTTAAATTAAAATCTGTAATCTTAGATTTGAATTGGCAATAATGTTTTAAACTCATGATTTATTTTCACCTTCTGAAACTTACATATTTTCTAGTCCTGTCTACTGAAGAAGTCTAGAACCAATGACAACCTAGCAACGATGAATACCCCTACCATGCAGAATGTGGTCTCTAAAGTCTGTTTCCTCTGAGAGGAGTCAGGGCTTCTTCAAGAAAGGGCTGATTCTAGGTCTGAGGCAGCAAATGTGCAAGATGAACGTAGGACACCTCCCTTGACACCACTGCACACTCAGCTAGACTCAAGCTAATTGAGTCTCACAAGAGAACCCATCTCTTCTGACACCAGAATGAATCCATTATGGGTTAAGTATTTGCCACTCATCTAGCTATGTCTATTATAGAGAGCACATAACTCATTACAAATACCTAGGCTTTTGGGATGGAAATGTCCTTGGAAAAGAATGTCTTTTGGCTTGCAGGCTCATGTATTTATATCTTCTTTGTTGGCCCAATAAAGAGCATCACTTCTCTGCTACCTGCAAAGATACTAATTAGCAAGTAGTGATTCTAAGTAAGTGTAGTGGAGGTGGTATGTGGGGCCTTTTGTAAGTATTTTAAAATTTTCCATCATCACTTATGCTCTCTAAGTAGATTTTAAGAGACTAACCTCCACCTAGGAGAAGGGATTTATTAGCATATATAATTGGATGTCATGTGCTAATTACCTTACTGCTTCACAATCTAACCAAGCCAAGGGCATCTGTCCAAGAGGACAGAAGAGGCTCCATGCGCCATATTGGAAAATAGAACCCTTTTTTTCTTATATCCAGTGGCTGAGTGCAGTGGTTCTTGAATAAAATGGCGATTTTCACATGCTTTTTCTGACCTGCCTGTCCCACTCCAGCTCCATTTTCTTTCCTGGGATGTCAGAGGCACCCATGTTTATGATACCTCATCTTAGTTTGAACAGGAGTGAAGCGATTTTAACATGTCATACTCATCTTCATGGGTGCATTGCCTCCTTTCTTCTCTATTTTTCCCATGGAGAGAGCCTGCTCTCAAGAAACTATGAGTACTAAAGGATGATACTCACGGTCTTCCCTGTAATCAGCCTCACCTGGTTCATCTCAAATAATGGAAACAGATTTGTGTCATTCACCAAGGAGTTTTATTTTTAACCCTTGTTAAACCCATAACTATTTGTTTCGCTCTCCTGAAAGAGCAAATTCCTTATTTCCGATCAGTATTATCTTTCTATACTTTTACTTGTTTGCAAACTTGCAACACTGACAGTGTCTCTTCAGGGGGTGTGGGGCTGATGAAGTAAGGATTGGGTCAAGCCCCCATTTCTCCTACCCTGGTTTAAGCTCAGGCGTGGAAGCCTTGAAAACTGGCACAAATGTTTCATGACTTGGTGATGGGCTGGTCATTTTCAGTACAGGTTGCTGAAAAGCAAGCACTTTACTGCTATCTAAGAGCACAGTGGCCCTTCTGGTAAAGCTAACCTTGGAGTTGAACTAATTATTAGATTGAACTATTGAGATAGTTTTTTAAGGTCAAGATGGTTGAATATCACCAATTTAATATGCTTCAATCTAATACCTACCTTGTTACCTGGCCTCTGTGGTCCACTGACTGGCAACATCAGCATCCCCCTGGGACTTGTTAGAAATGCAGATTCTCAGATCCCATCCGAGACCTACAGCATCAAGATTTCTGGCAGTAGAATCTGTTTTAACAAAGTCTCCAGGTGATTCCTATGCATACTGGAGTTTGGGAAGCTCCATTTTAATCTATTATGTTAATATTTAAGTCTGCCTTTGAGGGCAGCCTTCTTAGTTCCCCAATGGTGTGGTTTGTATCCATACAGCCTCACATACAATGATGGTTCCTGGTTAAGAACAAATATTTCCATCAGCATTGTTGAGGCAGGATGGTACATTTTGACAAGAACAATTATGAATCCTCTGCCTATTGTGTGCTCTGTGGAATGGTAGCTTAAACAGTACAATTTCTAGCTTTGCCAAGCGACTGCCACCTTAGTGTCTGGTGTTTTTAAAAGGATGTACCTTGCTGATATATATATATATCAAACACTAGGCCATGTGTACATCTAAGATGCCAGTCTGCTCCCCATCCTTTGATTAGGGAGCTGGACTCTGGGGTTAGCTGTGTCTTGATAGCCTCTGTTCAAACTGGCCAAGGAAAGGACAGCCCAGTTCATGCTAAGGAGAGCAAAATCTCCAGTCTGGCCCATAGCATACTCACAATCACATGGAGAATGTGGCCTCGACAGGGGTTTTTAAAGAGAGATGCTCCTTGCGGTCTGTGTTATAACTGGGAGCTAATCCAAATCCAATGCTGGGAGAATGGGTAAATAAACTACAGTGCACCCACCTGGTAGAACATTATACAGCTGTTAATAAGTATTGAGGTTGATTCACAAAGGAAAATTCTTTCATTTCGTTTTATTTTTGAGACAGGGTCTCACCCTGCCACCCAAGCTAGAATGCAGTAGCACAATCTCAGCTCACTGCAGCCTCCACCTCCCAGGCTCAAGAGATCCTCCCGCCTCAGAGTACCTGGGATTACAGGCGCATGCCACCACACCAAGCTAATTTTTGAGGTTTTGTTGTTGTTGTTGTTGTTGTTGTTTGTAGAGATGGGGTTCTGCTGTGTTGCCCAAGCTGGTCTTGAACTCCTGGGTTCAAGTGATCTGCCTGCCTTGGCCACTGCGTTTGGCCAAATTCTTTTATTTTTAAAAAGCAGTATACAATAGAGTATATATGCTATATCTCAACTATTTAGAAACGTACTTGAAAAAATTGCTTGGAAACATGCTAGCATGCTAACAGTGGCCTTTGGTGACAGGATTAAGAGTGGCTTTTTGTTGTTCTTTTAGACTTTTTTGAATGACTGTGGGTGTGTGTGTGTGTGTGTGTGTGAGAGAGAGAGAGAGAGAGAGAGACAGAGAATTAGTCTGTTCTCACACTGCTATAAAGAAATACCTGAGACTGGGTAATTTATAAAGAGAAGAGGTTTAATTGGCTCATGGTTCTGCAGGCCGTACAGGAAGCGTGGCAGCATCTGTTCCTGGGGAGGCCTCAGGGAGCTTTTACTCCTAGTGGAAAGCAAAGCGGAAGCAGGCTTCTTACATGGCAGGAGCTGGACTGAGAGGGGTTGGGGAGAGGTGCCACACACTTTTAAAGAACCAGATCTCATGAGAACTCACTATTGCGACGGCAGCAGCAATGGGGGTGGTGATAAACCATGAGAAACCACCCCTGTGATCCAATCACCTCCCACCAGGCCCCACCTCCAACACTGGGGATTGCATTTCAACATGAGATTTGGGTAGGGACACACATCCAAACCATATCAAAGAGAGAGAGAGAGAGCTGTATTTTAATCTTTGTAGCCCTTTCACTACTACATAATAGACATTTAATAAATGCTTGAAAGAAATAAAGAATAAATGAATACTACCTCATAAGCACTTGGAGTGACAGGGATCCTGTCTTAGCCATCTGTGTGTCCCCTAGTTCCTAGCCCAGAACTTTGCAAAAGTAGCTGCTCAATACAAGTGAGTGGGTTTGAATGAAGGCCCAGACTCCCAGAGCTGCTGGACATGTCAACTTTATCTAATACATTTTTCCTGCTGAAAAACCAAGTTTGTACTGCACCTGAGTCAGTGCTTTCTATAAATCAGAGACTCTTCTAAAATATCATCAGGCCCTAGAATGTGTACTATCTCTCTAAGGTTGTGCCCTCCCCCACTCACTTTCCCCACCCCTGCAATTTTTCTTTGTTTTACCACATTCCCCTCTCTACCCCTTCTCTCTAACCTCTTTTGATAATGCCATCCATCCCCTCTCTAGACCCCTGTGAATGAGAATTTCTTCTTTGTATTGAATCTAAATGTCTTCTATTGCAATCCTGTGGATAAATGAAACCCATAGTTGGTGCAAAACCCCACTTGAGCTATTTGTGCCAATTTCATTTCCCTGCCAAAGTATACAGGGAGTCATTAACAAGTAACAAAAGCAATCAAACACATTTCCTTCAAGAATTTACATGGGACAATGCCTGGCATTGTCAGGGATCTCAAGAAGTATAAGCTGTGGCTCCTCTTGTCAGAGGCATAAGGATGTGGCTGCAGATGTGTATGGCAATCTAAGATAGTCTGTGAGGAGTGCAAATGAGAGGTGGGAAACAGTGAGTGGCCCAGCAGCTTGGGAGTGGGAAGTAGAAGGCTTTTGTTGAAGATGAGGCTTGGAGGGTAGATAGATGGCAAACAGTGCAGGCATTCTAGGTATACAAGCCAACCAAGGTAACCAAGTTGGGCTCTCCTTTTTCCCTGATCCAATCCTCTTATGAGTTATTTGCTCTGGAAAACTCAGAATGCAAAAGAGACAGAACACAGGGAAGGAAAGGAGTTCAGATATTTCATATACTGAATACCTGAGTACACTGAATACCCAGCTATCTATCTTTAACCAGAATGAAGAAAGGGGGGGGGGGTGTGCGTTTCCACTGCTGTAGCAAAGGTTTTCCATCAATGTCATCTTTCCCTGATGATATGTATACTCTAAGTCTCAAAGTGGCTTATAGTTGTTACTGGTAAATGGGCAGGGCCCTCTCTTGCAGCCATAGTCTCCTCAGAGCAGCTCTTGGCGGGTGTGTCCTTCTGTAAATAAACACAAGGCAAACCCTGGCTTCTGTGGCTGGTTCATCTCAACAACTGCTCTCTGAGCTGAAGTGCACCTGGAATTTTAAAATAAAAATGGATGGAATGTGTACTATCCACAGGTGAGAAGTGTTTTTTTTCCCCTCCTAAAGACAACCTGATAAATGTGAAAGGTAGAAAATAATGACTGAGAGATATGAAGGGTGCAGAAGCTAGGCTGATTATCCCCATGGGAGGAAGAGGCTGCTGAGGGAAGTGCATGGGCCTGGGCTCAGAAGACATTGGCTTTGGTTTTTGCCTCTGCCAAAAATCAGCTCTGTGATCTAGGGTCAAATATTTTAATCTCAGTTTTCTCATCAGCACATGAAAGGAGTGGCCTAAACAGTGGCTTTCACAGTGTTTTGACTGCTATTCAGAGTAAGAAACACATTTTTACATCACAACCCAGCATACACACACACAAACACACACGTGTGTGCACATGCACATGTGTGACACAAGTGATAGCTTCACAAAACAACACTGCATGCAGTGCTCTTGGGTATTTTCCAGTCTGCTCTATTTTATTTCATTGTTTCTGTTTGTTTGTTTTTTAATTATACTTTAAGTTCTGGGGTACACGTGCAGAACGTGCAGTTTTAAAATGCTAGTCTTGACCTGCTAAATGGATTTCACAATCCACTAATGTGCCATGCTCTTGCAGCTTGAAAAAAAAAATACAGAAGTCCAAATTTCTGAGGTCCCTTCCATTAGTAGAATCCAATGACTCTGCTAGATGCCTAAAGGAATTTTCTTAAAACAATAGCTGAGCTGTGACAGATGACTATGTGCTTACATTCTGGAGGAGGTGTCTGGTATAGAACATGGCAGCAGAATGACCTGAAGATAAACAAGTAAATTACAAACTGCTGCTAAGAAGAATGTCTAGGACTGCAACTCTGCCACTGGCTCAGAGAGTTAGGATCGCTGAGTCATTACACTAAATGCTGTCCAAGTCAATAGATGGCAGAGACTTGGGGACATTGAACCTGTCAGAGAGGTCACAGGCTCCCCAGTTGTGGGCAGTCTTCTTTCCAGTTTCCAGAAATGAGACCCTCAAAGAGTGATCTTTAGTAGCCTCATCTTTGTTTATACTTCACTCAACAAGAAGACAGGCAAAATAAAGCAAAAAGAACCTTGGAGAGCTCCAGACTTTCCTCTTGTGAATTTGGACCCTGATCCTGGCCTCCCAATCTTCTTTTGTTTTCAGCCCAGGAAAGGGAACTAATATTTATTAAGCAGTGACACATGCCAAGGATGTTGTTACTTAATTGGAGCCTGAACCACTGCATGAAGGCTCTGTGATTCCCCTTTCATAGAAGACTTGCTCTGGATCACACTGATGCTGTGATCCATCTTTCCATCCAAGAGCCCAAGCTCTTTCCACCAGCCCATCCTGCCATAGCTTAACTACAGAGTCTGGGTGGATTTTGGTGACTGGCATCAAATGGAGGGCAGGACAGGACAGGGCAGCACATCACTCAGAGATCAAAAAGTTCAAACCCCTCCTTTGTAAAGATGGGGAACTTGAATCCAGGAAAGGTTCAACGACTTGCACAATGTCACATGGTGTCAGAACTGCAACTAGAACCCAGGCTTCTACTGGTCTTTCCACAGGATGTTGGACATTAAAACAACCATGGTAACAGCAATAATTAAACAGTCTTCCTGGTATGAAGCATCGTTTTGTTTTAGAAGCTGGGAAAACTATTTCTAGGGGAAAAATTGTTCTAGATCCTTTTAGCGTACAAATAAACACACAGATATGTTCTCCTGTTCTGTAAGTGTTGGAATGTTTCAAGATGCTGGAATTTGTTAAGAGACCTAGATCTTTCTGATGCTGAGAGGTGAACATGAGACACCTCATCCATAGTGGGGAACAAATCTGAATTATTATGGTTCTACAGAACAGGAAGCCCAGCAAGGAAAGACTCTGGGAAACTGGCTCTGGCTTTGGGCTGCTCTGCAGGTGACAGGAGCCTTGGTGGTCCTTGCTCTCCTTGTACTTTACCCTGTTCCTTCCTCCAAACTGCCAAGCAGAGTGGGCAAGGGGATGGTTACCGAGGAAGAAAGGGCAGGCAGGAATAAATGGGTTCACTTGGTGAAATCCCCTTCCCATCCTCCCAATAGATCTGAGCACTCAGGCAGCAGCAACAGACACCTTAGGGAAATTTCCCATTTTGCCTACCAAGCTGATGGCTCCTGAGGATTGGCTTCAGCATAGCAGGGACCTGGAGAACAAACTGGCTATGTATCTGTGACACTGACAATTTCAGGTGCTTATTAATTGATTGATATGCCAACACACTCCTCCCTGTCATGGGGCACCAGAACGGATGGTTTGTGGAGGGATGTGTTCCTGCCCACAAAGCTATGTGTTGGGGGTGGCTGTGGTGGTAGAAGGGCAGGAAGAAGATTAGCAAGATGTGGGTGGGTAAATGTGTCTGCAGGCACTCTGAGAACGTTTAAAAATTTTTCTTCCCTCCCTTGAAGGGGTACAAATTCCATTTCTGAGTCATTTTGTGCATTTTTCTGAAAATTTCACCACATGTAGCAGTCAAACTTTGATCTCAGCTGTCACCTCCCCCTTCTTAAGGAAGAAGGAGTAGCAGGGGAGAAAGCCAGTGTGGGGTGGGGATGTGAGGTAAGGAGGCTTTCTAGGAAGGGAGGCCAAGAATAAGCATTTTGCACTGCTCCCGGGGGCATAAAGCTGTAAGGCAATGGGATGCTCACAAGGCTAGGAAAGAGAGAATCAAATGAGTAGCACCCCTAACAGGGCAGGGGAGATGGGGTTAGAGAGGCTGGGGCAAGACTAAGTTTGCCCCTGATTTTTACCCCTTCCCAGTCGTTCATAAAACCAAGCTTCCTCCTGCTCTTAGAAACGGGCCTAGTCTTTCCAAGAGAGTGGCAGCCACTAGTTTTCCTTAATGTCTAAGTTAGCTCATTTCAGAGGACCCCAGTGACCATATCCATCCTTCCAATACATTACTATGAATCAAGATCTTGACAATTCCATTATCTCCAGTGTTTGACAGGGGAATGAACTAAGATCAGTCTATAAAGACTTTTCATTGCCCTGTGGACATTTCCTGCGATGGCATTTTCTTTCAGCAGTTTGCTTTTGTGGTTATCTGTTTGTGGTGTTGTCTTTCTGATATAATAGAACACATCTTCCCAACCTCCTGCTAGGCACTTTCTGGAAGAGTCACTCAGTTCTTGGTTATACCTGATGCTATGGATGATACAGAGAGTAGCAGTTCTGAATCTTTGTTCTTTATTTTGAAAAGCACTAGATCCTTTTTATGTGGCAGATGGCCCATTCTCACTCCCCTACCCCATCACCCTTAGCTTAGGGAAACTTATTTCAATATTGGTTTGGGAAAGAGTGGCAGCTTAGAAGCCAAACAGAGATGGTTTCTGATCCCAGGTCTTCTACTTACCAGGTGGATGACTTAGCAAATTTACTTACTTTCTCTGAGTTCCCATTTCCTTATCTATAAAATAGGGGCAATATTTTCCTCTTTGAGTTGTGTGCGGGTACCATGATATTATTAATATAATGCACCTGGCTTAGAACTTGGCATATGGTTGGAGCTTCCCACAAGAGCTTGTAGTCTTAGATGAGGGAAATGATACATCCAAAAAACCTTTTTCCTGTTGTGGAGGATAAAAATGACACATAGAGCCTTATTTCCTGTTGTAACCCTTGTCATTATCTTCCCCTTTCTTGGGGAGCAGTAACAGAGGGGAGGAATTGACAAGACAAAGCAAGTGACTGACTCTAGAGAAGTAGATAAAGTAGTGGGAGTGTGCATTAGTGATATGGTTTGGCTATGTCCCCACCCAAATCTCATCTTGAATTGCA
Organism: Homo sapiens; assembly: GCF_000001405.40. Taxonomy (NCBI): domain Eukaryota; kingdom Metazoa; phylum Chordata; class Mammalia; order Primates; family Hominidae; genus Homo; species Homo sapiens. The sequence continues at coordinate 17,683,941 of NC_000023.11, forward strand.
CCTCCCATAATTCCCAGTGTCATGGGAGGGACCTAGTGGGAGGCAATTGAATCATGGGGGCTGGTTTTTCCAATGTTGTTCTTGTGGTAGTGAATAAATCTCGTGAGATCTGATGGTTTTATAAAGGGGAGTTCCCCTGCATATGCTCTCTTTGCCTGCCACCATATAAGACGTGACTTTGCTCCTCTTTTGCCTTCTGCCATGATTGTGAGGCCTCCCCAACCATGTGGAACTGTGAGCCCATTAAACCTCTTTCCTTTATAAATTACCCAGTCATGGGTATGTCTTTATTAGCAGCATGAGAATGGACAGACTAATACAATTAGTTTTCTATTATTATTTCTATTATTGCATAGCAAATCATTGCAAACTTAGCACCTTAAAACAACACCTATTTATTATCTTTCAATTTCCATGGGTCAGGAGTCTGGGTATGAGTTGACTGGGTCCTCTGCTCAGGGTTAACTGGGCTGAAATCAAGGTGTCAGCTGGGCTCATCCCATCTCATCTCATCTCATCTTAGGCCCAGAGTTCTCTTTCAAGTTCATTGGTTGATGGCAGAATTCAGTTTCTTGAAGTTGTAGGAGTGAGGCCCTCAGCTCCTAGAGGCCACCTGCCATTCCCTGCCACATGTCCCTCTCCACAACACGACAGTTTGCTTCTTCAAGGCCAATAGGAGAGCATCTCTGTTGCTTTTTGTCTCTTTTAAGTATTAACTCAGGATTATACTCTCTCTTTTGATTAACTCAAGTCGATTGAGTACAGACCGTAAAACCCTTTTCGACTTGTAATGTAACTAAGTCACAGGTTCTTCCCACACTCAAGGGAAGGGGATTATACAGGGTATGTGCACAAGAAGGCAGGAATCTTGGGAATCATCCTAAAATTCTGCCTATCACACAGTGGCCCCTGGACGTATGCAAATAAACAGAGGAAAAACCTTCTTGCTTTGCTTTGTTCCATTTTTATGAGAACAAACATTCCTAGGGCACTAAGCCTGCTATCTTGCATAACTTAGCCATGGTGAGATTGTTAAAAAGGGAGGAAAAGGGAGCATGGTGAACCCGAAGATGCAGGGCAGCCTTACAATGGCAGTGGAGCAGCTCACGAATGAATGGATTCAACTGTGGTTGAACTGTTACTTAGGAAAAGGAATAGATTTTTTAAAGAAGGAAAAGGGGGACAGTTTTCCCTGGAAGAGCTCCATTAGTGGCTGTCTGCCTGCCTCTAGTGGACACGTAATACTAGTTAATGCTCTGTGACCAAATGACGTCACTGAGAGCAAAGGCATTAAAGAGTTTTCCTCCTTTCCCTGTCTAAGAGATAGACAGGATGGTGGCAACTGATGAGTGAAATGTTCACCTGCTAATGTGTGGCAGAAATCCGATATAGCTTCTCAATGGAGAAAGAAAAAGATTTTGGAAAGAAAAAGGTGATGATCCCTGGCCCTGCAGGTTGTCATTGTGAGGGTTGGTTCTTCCCAGGAGCCATGACTAGGCTGCCCATGCTGGAACTCATGCATTACTCTTTGTATCTGTGAATTCACAGTCCCAAGCAGCAGGCAGAGTTTAGCAGCCCAGGAACTCAGCACTGGCTTGCCCAACAAGCACAGTAGAAATGTGTTTAGGGTATCAGCAAAGCATGGGCACCAAAAAATGCTTTTTTTTTCAGGTAACTTGATATTTAATATTTAATAATGAGGGAAGAGAATTTGCTGAACATCTTTACACTAATTTTATGATATGCCAATTGATTCTGAAATTTGGGATCACCTGCTGCAGAAAGGTGGACGTGGAGGAGTGAGGACTATAACCTTTTTGGCGTTCAAGGCCTCTAGAGTCTTGATGCCTGAGACCATCCCTAGGGAACTGTATAATACCAAAATAGGAAAAGTCTTCCAGTGTCATTGCTCCCAAACTATTTCATCCAGGCAGAATCACAGTTAAACCATTTTGCACAAAGCCAGAGAACAAATGCTTTATGAGGGTCGGGATTCCTGTGTGTTTTGTTCTGTGCTGTGTTCCAACACCTAGCACCATGCCTGAGACTAAGAGCTACTTGGGAATGTTCCATGGGTGGATGGATGTTTCCATTTTCAGCAGCGTCTTCCCTTCCCTCATGTTGCCCAACTCCTTTCACTCCTACAAGATCCCAAGGCATCATCAGAAGACATTTTGTGTTTCTCAAACCTGCCTGATGATAAAAATAACTTTTCATGTAATATAGATTACCAGGCCTTTCTTTTGGAAATTCTGATTCAAAGTCTAGGTTGATGCCCAGGAATCTGTGTTTTTGACAAGCACTTCTGATGAGCCTTTTCTTCAGATGAACATTAAGATAAATAGGAGGGGCTCAGGTTTTCCCCACACAAGAATTAAAGAGCCATGGCCACTTGACCTGGTTTCTGAGGGGCTGTCAAAAGTTACCACCCTAAGCCTCTGGTCAGCAGTGCTGAGGGAATGAGGGACTAGAAGAGTCTTCTGGTCTACCTCTTAGTCACCTTGGCCCAGCCCTGTATCCTGGCTCCCACCTTCCTGAAAAGACGAGCCTAAGGGAAGGGGTGCTCAGAAGCCCCTCTACTTCTAGGACTGCCCACCTGGCTTCTTGCCCATTCTTTCCACAGACATGCTTTCTGTTCTGTCCCTTCTCCCAGCTGTCATGAGCACATGAATTCATGGTCCTCTCTGTTGGGTTTGGTAACGACCTCTGCCCCATTGGGTAGGAGTTGACTTTTGCATGCAGGGAGAGCCTGATTTCTCAGTCAATCCCCCATTACTGAACCAGAGTGGAAAGAGATGAGACTGGGAGGTGGGGGGAGCAGGGTGGGCCCAGGACAGGAGTCTGGATCTGGATAGTGTGTCTGGAGGGTAAAGCAGACTGGGCCAGTTCATGCCATTCCCGAGGCTGACAGGCTACCCAGGTGCTTGTGAGGTCCTCTTTGCAGCCATTTCTTAGTAAAAATCCTCCTGGTTCCTAACATCTGCTTCCAGCAGAATTTCTGTTTAACTCATGGAGAGTTCCATCCTAGGATCCCTGTGTACATGAAGAAGATGAGAGTGAGTTAAATGCTGTGTTTGGGGGAAGGAAGCCTTCCTTCCTTGATCTCTTGGATGAGTTGCAAAAACTCATCTTGCATCTGCAGTTTCCCTCCCTTAATACTCATTACCTCTATGATGGTTTCTTTAATGCGTATGCTCACCCCTGGGTGAAACCAAGGAAGAGCAATGCTTTGAAAGATGACAGGCAATGGAGCCGGTAGGTGTAGGGCATGATAAGGATACCTTGGGGACGGGACCACAAGGGACAGAGGCAGGGCAAGGTATAGGCCGAAGTTCAGGTGGACAGCAGGGGCGGCGTGCAGAACTACAGCTCTGAGGCCCTGCGGCCAGAAGGCTGGAGCTGAGGCAGCCTTTCCATTCATCTCTGAGGCTTTCCTCCACATTTTTCAGAAACAGGACCCCCATCTCCACCCCCAAGCAGGCTAGCCAGGGGCTTGTCAGTGTTGATGAGCGACTGTGCCAAGGGTGAGGAATGAAGGTACGGAGAGGAAATTAGCTAGTCATAGGTAGACGGTTGGTGTCTTGGAGCCTCCCGTGCCTCGGCTCAGGGGCAAAAGTTGTCCCTATCAGTATCATAAATGCCAAACCTTTCTCCGGCCTTGAGTTAGTTCTTAATGTGAATGCAGTAGTCTGGACTTCCACTCCACCCAGACTTTACTCCTGTCCTCTTCCCCACCCCAGGGTTGGCCAAAAGCACAACTTAAAGCCACTGATGGACAACGCCCTGTTTCTTGTCTTGCAGCCGTCTCCAACCTGGACATAGAGAGTAAGCTGAGTGTGTACTACCGCGCCCCGTGGCACCAGCAGCGCAACATCTTCCTCCCAGCCACAAGGCCACCCTGCGTGGAGGAGCTGCACCGCCACGCCCGGCAGAGCCTGCAAGCCCTGCGCAGAGGTGACAGATCCTGGGCTTGGGGGCTTTTGCGGGAGACAACTCGGAGGTTGTCCCATCCAGGTGTCCTCTGTCCCATCAGCCCCAACACACCCCCTTATTATAGCAAGTACTTTGAAATGCTCCCGTTTCTACCCTGAAATGAAATCCATGGGTAATATGCCCAACCCATACACATAAGAAAAAATAATATTATGGTCTAAATATGATAATAAAGAGAAATTAAAAGGAAATTATTGATAATAATATCTATTTCAATATGCAAATGCTCAGGCATGACCTCACTAGAAGACATCATGAAGCAGTCAGATGTCTGCACTTGTCAAAAGCAAGTCTGGATTAAGTACAGACCTTCAGAAACTATTCCGAGGGGCAGGAGGGCATGACCATAAAAACTGGTACATTCAGTATATATTAGATATGGGCAAAAAATAAATACTTTGGATTAGAATGAAAAGGGAATTTGGCTTGACTCATAAATAGGCACTAGGTTTTTCCCCTATAAGAGATTCTGATGGAACATTTAAAATTGTGTGAGACCTGGGACACATTTTCATTGACCATCCTCTGCATTATGGGATGGCTGTCATCTTTGGCTCCCATCCAATCATTGTAACAATTAGAATGATCCCCTAGAGGGCTCTTCTGCTTCTCTTGAGAACCAGTGATCGGTCTAATGCCCCCATTCTTTAGTGGGACACGCGGAGGCCTAGAAAGGTGAGGAAACTTGCTCAGGGTCACACATAGCAGGTTAGGTGTGGTACCAGGACCCAACCTAAGCCTCTGAAATGCCTGCCAGAGCTCTTTTCCTCCTTGCCATACACTGTGTCTCATGGAAATAGGTACTGATGTTTACATGTCTCTCACAGTCCTGAGAAAGCTAGAGATAGGCTCATAGCAGTCAAAATAGGAATACAGTTTTTTCTTACACTGGTTGCTTTTCAGTGCCTTAAAACCATTCTAATTAGGACAAGGGGAATAAAAAGTAGCTTCATTGTTTTAGAGCCCCCTAAATTGGGTATCAGAAGGGGACATGTCAGCTTTTTTTGGCCTTTAGATTCTTGCTATGGAGATAGATGGTGTCTACACATTCAATGTCTTTCTTCCAAATTCCCTACACTCTTTTAAGAAATGGCATTTTGCAAAAGTATTAAAATGCAAGTAAAATATTTTAATGTCATTATCAAAGTGGAGAAACAAAATGGTGATATTGTTTTCATCTTATTTATTCCACATTTGTATAACTCCTGCCTTTTCCCCATCCTTATCTTCAATAGTTTGTTGCCTTCAATTATCATCTTTTTTCCCTCCTCATCTTTTTTCCCTTCCTCATCTTTTTTTCCTTTTAATGAAAGAGCTAACCTCCTAATATCCCTAAAGCAATTGTTTCTAAAAATTTTCCTTGGTTATTAGGGGAAGACATTGTGACACTTACAATGAAGAGTGATGATCAGTATCCTGTAGAAGCATCTTTGGCATACTTACCATTCACTTCAATTTTATAGTTGGCTAAGAAGTTCTTTTTTAACTTAAGCCACCTTCTGAAAATCTTTCTTTCCACACTTGCCATTCCTTTGCAGCCTGGATTAGGCACCCTTCCCATAATATCCTGTGCATCCTCCCATCCTGCCACTTAGAATCTTATAATCAACCACTATGGGCCTGTTTTACCAACCAACCACTAATAAGCCATTAATCTATGAGCAACTCAAGGGCAAGGATGATATCTTATTAATTTATTTTATTCAAAGCACTTAGCATGAAGCTGACATATAGTAGGTCCTCAATGAACATTTGTGGAACTGAATCAAGTTTTGCAAAAAACTGGTTGAACATTGAGGGCACAGGATGACTATAAAGGAATCTGATCGTTCTCACCAAATCCTTTCTCAGGTCCCATCATTAGAAATCTTGGGTAACATTAGCCCTTTAGGTATAATTATTTTTATCCCTTTATTTTATTAATAAGTCATCCCTGATTAGGATTTTATGGATTCCACCAGATAACACCAAGCTGCTCGTAAACTATCACATTTCACTGCTTTGTCAGGTTTAGACTTAAAGCAGAACTGAAGAACAGCAAGTGCCGATATCAATTTTCTCTGAACTTCCTCCTGTGGGGCGGTGAGAGAGGGATGTGGGGCCTCCTGGGGTTTGGAAGGAAGACTGTGGAGATGCGTTTTACCCTCCACAGACTGGCTTGTTTTGCGGTTGGCTCAATAGCATATCTTGGGTGTAGTAGTTTTAATAGCACTGCAGAGAGCCATAAACAAGAATTATAGCCATCATGGAATTAAAAACATGCAGTGTAGAATTAAAATTAGAAAGTGACTTTTTTTTTAACCTTGTCCAAGAAACACAATAGCATACTGCTGTATTCATCAGCATAATCTGCTTCTGCCATCTGGTGGCCATGAATAATACTGACCTATCAGACAACTGCCATGCTCAGCAAATGCTGCAGTGAGCATCCCTGTAGGTTCTCTATTTGGACAGCTGGAATAGCCTTGCTTCCACCATGAGGGAGTGGATAATGAAACACAGACAAATGAGGCTGTGGTGACAGCAGCTCTGTGCTTCTTTTGGAGGTGAGACTGTAAGGAGAGAGCTGGAGGACCAAGATTAAAACCTAGAAATTGGCTGCCTTCAAGATCTGCTTGATAGCAAACCCCCCAACAAATTTTATTGAAGGCAAGGGAGTGTTGTAGAACCTAAGAGTCAAAAAGCAATAACGTATGCTGCCCACAAGGAATCCCTGGTCTAGTGGAGAGACAGACAAGTAACCAGGTAATTTCAATACAGTGATAGGGAGGCTAAGAAGAAATGTACCAAGTCATTTCATAGAGCTTCAGGGAGGGTTTTGTGGAGGATGTAGCATCTACATGTATTTCAAGTTATTTAGGCTCTGATTACTTTTTTTCCCCCTTAGTAATTCTTTAATGCTCAGAGCCAGTAATGGCTTTATGTGATGCTATCATTTATGTTCATAAATCATGGAGAGAGAGATTCATAAGCAACTATAAATAGATAATTATATTTTATATTTCCTTTCCTTTCAAGTTGGAGGCTGCAGCATAAGTTTCATTGGTCTAAGGGAATAAGGAGCAAGATTCCACTGCAGTTTCAGGCTGTAGTGGACTAATGTTCTCCCTACCTCAGCACCAGAAAAAGGTATTATTAGGGAGCCATTAATCTAGCCTGCCTACTCCCAGCCTAGAGCAAAGAAAGATATATGTTTAAGATTGTGTAGGAGGGGAGCGATTGAATGGAAAATTGAGTTGATGTCTCCCTTCCAACTACTCCCCTCCTTTCACTTCTTCCTAACCAGTAACACCTGTAAGTGACTCTTCTGTACGGATTTAAGAATGTAAACACTTTTCCTTGTGTTACCCATTTAGAAAAGCCCACTGTTTGCTTGCATAATGATGGTGGCATTGGAGGTGGGCACTTTAACAAGGAAGACATTTATCTTAAACAGCCTTCGGATAAACATTGACTTTGGAGGCAGTTTAGCAAAGACTACCTACATGGTTTTGAAGACTTTGCTCTGATTGCTTATGGGAGCCAACATTTGTCAGAAGAATCCCAAGCAAAGGGAGATGGGGAATACTATCACATCTTCTAGACACAGACACTACGTTCAGGCAGCGAGGCACACGGACAGCCAAGTCAGACATGGATAGAATCAGAAAGTTCAAGAGTGCTCAGTTCCTAGTTTAGGGGGCAGCACATTGAATGGGGCAAAGAAAATGGAGCCAGCATTGGGCAGGCCTGTCAGAAACAAGTAACAGGACCTAGAAAAGCGCATGGCAGTAAAGGCACCCACCACAGCCCATTCGAAATACAGAGAAATGTAATACATTCTAATTTTAAAAGACTAGACTTTAATGAAAGCATAAATTCACTCTCAGTCACTCAGCAAACATGTGATGTAAATACTCCCAACATGAGTTATTTCCAGGTACCAACAGTTGAAAAATGGACTCACACAAATTCCTGAATATGTAGCAATCAGCTCCCCTGAGCCAGTGACAGCCAGCTCCCGTACCCAGTGGGTGGGCCGGGCAGCTCTGTTTTGTCTGTGCCTACTTTCCACTCCAGTACTGATGGCAGCAAATCTTCCACTATGTTCTCAACTTTTGTTGTTGTTGTTGTTGTTGCTTATGTTGTTTTGAAATAAGTCACACTGAACTCAGAAGTGAGCCCTCTTGTACAGATTATGAGATGGATCCACTGAAATGTATGCATCCAATTTCATATTAATAGTAAGTGAAAGTTCAATTAAAAACCATTCTGAAAATCTTATTTGGTATTCAAATTAGCTAAAGTAATGAAAACTCACTTTTTTTTTTTTTTACAGCCTTTTGCTAACACTCCCAAGGGGAAAAGAGAAATTGAAAATGCCAAGTGTATTTCAGTATTACTGCTTTTTCTCCTTCTCAGAACACCGGAGCCGGAGCGATCGCCGAGAGCAAAGAGCAGCTGCCCCCCTTTCCATTGCAGCTCCTCCACTGCCAGCCTACCCTCCAGCTCACAGCCAGAGGAGGCGTGAGTTTAAGGACCGTCACTTTTTAACGGTAAGTTTGGTGGCCACCTGCAGCCCTATGCTTGCTGCTGAGGAAACATCAGTTTGTCTGGGAGTCAGTTTCCTGCCTCCCAGTGAGAGAGGCTGGGCTGGCTAAGAGCTCAAATCATGGGCATTTGGGAACAAATTAATTTCCCTTCCTTTCATTCCTGAAAGAAACGCCTCTTTTTTGGAATACAGACATATTTTTTAGTTAACTGGTAGCACAATGCAGTAAAGCAAGAATAATTACAGACTAAAATCAGGAAAAAAAATACATACTTCAAACCTCGGTTCTTCTGCTTGCAAGCTGAAGGATTCAGGATAGGTTACTTATGTTCTTTGCCCTCAGTTCCCTCATCTGTAATATAGGGATATTAATAGTACCTGGTTTATAGGGCTAGAGGATTAAATGAGATAAGGCATGTAAAGTGCTTAGCCCAATGACTGACTGATACAGAGTAAGACCTCAAGAAATGTTAACCACAGCTGCCACTACTGTTATTACTGGTAAAGTGACAGCATGGCTGACTTGGTGGGGTGAACTGGTAAAGAACTTAAGTGATACGAAAAATTACCATTTGAAGAGTAATCATGTCATCATTTCATGCTTTCCCATTCTCCAAAGGAGGCTAGTTCTCCAGGGTAACTTAATACCATGGTGACGTCATCGCCTCTGGGGCTTTCAGCCCTGACCAGATGGATGTGGCTGTAACTCAGCCCAAGCCCTCAAGCATGGGTCACAGATGATGAAGCTGAGCCCATCTCAAAACACCTGCAAATACTATCAGCAGCCACTACAAACACATCACCGCAGATGTGCCTTCTGGGGCCTCAGTGGGGACAACTGAGCACTTTGTGCCTCTGAGCAGGCATCATTGAAGTGAGGGACTATGGCTTTTGTGACCAAATCAGCCCACACTGCCTGTCTGAATGTCTGCATTCCTGCTGTCTTGTCATTCTGGTTCAAGACCCAAAGTCTAAAGAAGTTACAATAGTGTGGGTACGAGTTAAGGTTTTTATTAGAAATTAAAATTGCGTGTATGACTCTAAATTGTGCACTCTTACGGCTTTTACAATATGCAAGAGAGATGCAAAATATTTGGGTCACATGGTGCCAAATATCCAGCCAAAAACAGACTTTATCTAAATGAACCCACATGATATAACATCCAGATAAGACCTTGAGTGATAATGGACAAAATATAAAAACATTTTTCCTATTTGTAGCTGGACTGCAGGCAGGTCCTTCAGTGCTCATCAAGTGCACACTGAGCGCCGTGTTGCACTTACTACATTGCTGCACTGCAGCCCAAGGATAAGAAAAGGAGACAAGGGCCTCTTAGGGCTTTCTAGTTCTTCAGATAGAGCAGTTTCACATGCTAGTGATTTGTCATAAAGCAGAAGTTCTTAAGCAGCTCAAATCTGCTTGCTGAGGCATTTGCTTTTAATGAGGCATTTTCTGCATAAAAATGCTAAAATATTTTCCCATTCATTATAACATGTTTTATGGCTAATTAAGTTGGTTTTCTTGGAAGGGGGAGGTGAAAGAGAAGAATTTTGAGCATTTACAGAAATTACATAAAAATATAACCCTTTCTCATGATCTGCATAATTTTTAATAATGTCTAAATACTAAAGTAAGACTATAGGAAAAGGCTTAAAATGACGAATAGCAACGAGAGTACATCATTTACTTACCCAACAAACATCAATAAGAGAAGACTATGGATTACACTTAGGTAAACTTCAGTAAGTTTGTCCATCCCAAATGATAATACTTAGTATTTCTAAGTAATTTTAACTGTTTTATTTGTTCAAGAGTTTGGGTCACTACAAGGATTAGAAGATTTTCATTTGAGTTATATCCCTTAGGCCTGGATAGAACATAGTTCAAGCTCACAAGACTGTATATTGCTGAAAGACAAATGGCTGCAGGTATAGAGACAGGAAATTTGTAGTCAAATTGCTGGATAGACACATTTTCTTAGACAACTCTCCTTTCATGTTTGAGATTTGGTGAAGGCATGCTTTTCTTCCTTTAAGAAAGCATTCATAATGAGATTGACATACAGTCTTCTGCAACTCTGCAGGCTATTGTACTGTACCTTGGTCATTAATGGCATGGACCATGAAGCTAAACTGCCTGACTTTGAATACCAGCTCTACCACTTGCGAGCTGTATGACCCTGGCAAGTTAGTCATTTCAGTGTCTTGGGGATAGAAGTAGATAGTACCTCATAGCCTTGGCATGAGAATTGAACGTGGTAATACATGTAAACAGTACCTCATACATAAGCACTACATAAACATCAGATGTTATTATTATTATTAGCCAATCAATTCCCTGAAGTATCTATAATATGGTGATAAGATCATAGGTCCAACCGTGTTTAAATCCCAGCACTACAACTTTTTGGATGTGTGACTTGGAAAAAGCTATTGTATCTTTCTGACTCCCAGTCTCTTTATCTGTAAAATGGGGATAATATCAACTTTACAAGGTTGTTAAGGAGGCTAAATATGATGTTTTAGAAATAAGATTAAACTATGTATATGTATTTGTGCAAGTGCCTAGCACAGTGCCTAAAATACCTGAATGTGAGTCTATATTCAAAATCGTTTACAATAAAATTCTTACCATCAAATGAAAAGCCTATAACATATACTCACATATAAGACTAGAGGAAGTATAAATTGTTACACTCTTTCTAGAGGGCAAAACTCTAAATATTCATAACTTTGATCCAGCAATTTTACATCTAGGAATTCACCCCAAGGCAATAATCAGTGTATGCAAAGATTTATTCACTAGGGTGTTCATCAAAGCACTGTTTACAATGGGAAAGTTAATCACAAATATCCCAAATGTCTAACAATAGGGACTTAGTTTAATGAATACTAATATAACTATAGGATAGAATACAATATCAAAAATAGTGTTAGAGAAGAATATTTAATGACATGGGAAAATGTATATTTTATTATCAGGGATTTTTACATAGTTTATAAATTTGTGTATAGTATAATCTCAAAAAATGTCAACGAGTGTATATGTATGTGTACATATACATACGCATAGGGGGAAAAGGCTGGAAGGTTGTATATCTGTGATTCCCAAACTGTGTGCTGAGGTGCCTTAGGGCACTGCAGTGAACTCCTAAGGGTGCCGTGGGATATTTTAAAATTTCAAGGGACAAAGTGTCATCTGTCTGGTGGCATCTGGTGATGGCTCCAAAGTAACCTCATAACTCCTACAAGTGAGAAGAGAGGATGCTTGGTTTCTTGACATTTAATTTGTACCAAAAGTTCTCCAGGGGGAACTCACAGGAAACAGGACAAGCCAATTTAGCATAAAACCCTAAACCCTTTGTTAGCTGAAAATTCAAGGAGTATCTCTAATTAAAGCCCATCTAAGAGTCCTTACTTATCAAGGGTGGCAAAGGAGGTCATTTCAGGGAAAAGCTTCCTTAAAAAAAAAAAAAAAGGGGGGGGGTATCTATTCCATCCTGCTGGATTTTGAAATTCTATAGCCAGAGATTAGTTTAAGATCATTTATTTGGGACATGAAGTTACTGTGGACCTGAGCTACAGAGAAGAGATCGAAACAAACGTCACGAAATCAACACTTGCACATAGCATCTCAACCTTTTCTTTAATGCACCACAGAAACTACAGCTTTAGGCTGGTAAAGGATCTGAAGAGTTATCTGGGCCTAGCTAGGAACCAAATGTAAAAAGTTTGTAGTAAAAATGTTCCCAAGGGCAATATGAAAGAGAAATTGCCTGGGATCAACTTCTGTCCACATGAACTCTTGGCTGCAGACTGACTTGTTAAGTGTCAGAATACTGATTATTTAGGGAAAGGTAGGGAGAGGAAAGGGTTCCCGGAGAGGTGTGTTTGTGTACTAAACAAAAACCCAGTTACTGAAAGTCATTTGCCTCCAGGCAGAATTTCTGGGTAATTTTTCTACCTTGTCTAGGCTGTGGTCAAATTGAGAATGGCAAATGTGTATCAAAACAGGAGCGTTTGCCAGAGCTGTAACAGGTAGCCTGTTCCCTGCAAATCCAACCATGTGTTTTCACTCTTGGTACTAACCATTAGAAGTAGTCTACACAGCCTTTCTTTGGTAAGAAACAATACTTTTATGTGCTCAAAAACTATTAGACTTAGACTTACAGTGCTGATGGCTGGAAAGTAGCCTGTTTGAGGCAATTGAATACATAGGTTTTTTGGTGGATCGAAATATACACTGAGACTCCCAGGTAGCTGACTATAATGGTGATACCCTAGGTCCCCATCTCCCATTATTTCCTCCAAAAATGATATAGAACAAGAAGGGAAAAATAAAACTACACAGAAAAACACACCATCAGCATAACTTGAGGACAGAGAATTCCCAAACATCAAATTGACTGTTAAGTAAAAGAGAGAAAACACCAAGTCTCAGCATATTTCCTCCTGTTACAAGGTGAGGGAGGGCAGATTCAGAAAGCCACATGGAAGAAATGAACTAGCAGTGGGTCCTAAGATTGATCTAAAACCACCACCAGAAAAATTGTCTGCCCTAAGTCTGAAAAATACTACAGATTTTTTCAGATAGACACAAACTACAAAAAAGGGCCTAAAAGTATGCATATTTTACAGGAGCAGTTTTCTCTATATAAAGCTTCTGGGGGAGACAAAAGACAAACAGGAAGGGAAATCTGCCCTTCAGCAATTGGGAGTGAAGAAGAAAAGAGGCAAAAAGGAAATTTCTAGGACCCTGCAAGACAAAATAAAACCAAAAAATTCAAGGACACGCAGGAGTTGTATGTGTCCTTCAACTCCTGCCTCACCACCAAAACAAACAAATACACTAAAATATTTGAACTTCAACAAACTGACAGAAGATGGTGCCATTAAACTAGGGATCTTGTGAAACACACCAAAGCCACACAAATGAGTAAGAGATAGATTAGCAGATCCACATAGAGTGATTGCAAAAGGTCAATGAAAGAATATATGAAGCAAGGGTTTTATGTCCAACCATGCTGTTCATCAAGTATAGAAAAGCAATTTTCAACATACAGGAACTTAGAGAATTTTGCACCCATGAGTCCTTTATGAGGCATCTACCACAGGACAAGCTTCATCCAACCAAGGGATAATTGGGGAAATGTCAGCAAAAGGATGGGTAGCATACATTTTAATACATGTAAATGTAGATCTAAAACTAAAAGTACAGTGGAGATGAAGATAGAAAACTAAGGTGCAATTTTAAATGTTGTGACAACAGAGAATGATACAACTAAAAATGAGAGAAGGGAGAGGTAAAGAAGAAAATAGAATAAGCTAATTGATCACTGTCTAGGCAATAAGTGGCTGTTAAAGGATACCAATAAGAACTAGTTAACCAGATAGTAAAGGCTTGAATAATAAAACAGAGGACTAAGGACATTAAAATGGTATAAGAAAAAAGAAGACTACTAGCAAAAAAAAAAAAAATACAAATCTTCCTAAATACCAAAAAATTGTTTTATATAAACAGAGAAGACAACACATCTTACAGAGGAAGAAACATAACAAATATAACAAAATACACATAATTATAACATTTATCAGAGTTTAGTCATATCAATGAATATGAGTGAGCTTAATTTGCCTATTTAAAAACTTTTCAATTTGGCTCACAAAGCAAATCCAACTATATGCTCTATACATTAAACACACACAAGATTTTTATTTATTAATTAGGTCCTGATTATTTGAAAAAACATGACCAAGAAAAAGAGAGAGAAAACACAAATAAAATAAGCAATGACAGGAAAAAATACCACTGAAACAAAAGAAATTTTAAAAATTATAAGAGACTATTTTGCAGACCTCTGTGCAAATAAATTTGAAAACCTAGATGAAATGGATAATTTCCTAGAAGAGTAAAAATTGCCAGAATTGGCGTCATTAGAATTGGTAAGCTTAAACAGACTGATTTCCATGGGAGAACCAGAAGAAGTTATTAAGGAGCCATGCCACTAAAAAACATCAGGCCTAGATGGTTTCCCAGAGGAATTCTACTAAACCTTCAAAGTCCAGATGTTCCCAATGCTCTATAAATTGTTTACAAACATTGAAAATGAAGCAAAACTTCCCTATTATTTCTTTTATGGAGCAAGTATAACATTGACACCTGAACTGATAAAGACAGTCAGACCAATATCACTCATGATTATTGATTCAAAAATACTAAATTCAACATTAGCAAACAGAATATAACATCATATTATATTAGGAGATTAATATACTGTGACCAATGGGATTTATTCTAGGAATGGAAGGTTGGTTCAATATTAGGAAATCTATTAGTATCATATATCATATTAACAGATCTAGGAGGGGAAAACCCATATGGTTAGCTCCTTGGATACTGGCTAAGCCTTAAACAAAATTCAATATCTATTTTTAATTAGAAATGCCCCTAATGTTTCCATACATATGTATATATGTATGTATATATATCTAATGTTAGAGAAAACCCCATTTACAGCAATAACAAAGAAGACCAAATACTTAGGAATTAATTTACCAGAAATGTGTAAAACTTATATGAGAAAAACTTTAAAGCACTCCTTAAAGACACAACATTAGACTTTTTCAAATAGAAAGACATCCCCTGTTCTTGGATAGAATGATTCAACACTACAAACAAATCAGTTCTCTCTAAGTTACTTAATAAGTTTAACACAATTTCAATAAAAATACCAATAAGCTTTATTTTATGGAGTTAGATACTTATGGGAAAACAAACATATAAGACTAGCCAGGAAAACACTGAAAAAGGAAACCTAGCCCTACCAGACATTAAGATATAGTTAAAGCCTCTATAATTACAATATTGTGGTATTGGCACATGAATAGACAGATATATCAGTAGAATAAAACACAAAGTCCAGAAAGAGACCAGAGTATATATAAAAACATTCAATAAAGGCAACATCACAAATAACTGAGGCAAGAGATGGAGTTTTTTAATGATGCTGGAACAACTGCATAGCCATTTGGTGAAAGGAAAAATTTGATCAGTGTTTCTCAACCTCAGCACTGTTGACATTTTGGGCCAAACAATTTTTTGTTGTGGGGACCATCTTGTGCATTGTGCAATGTTTGCCAGCATCCTTAGCCCCTCCCCTCACTTGTGACAACTCAAAATGTCTCCAGACACTGCACTATGTTCCCTGAGGGGATAAAATCACCTCTAGTTAAAAATCATTTAATGGGATGCATACTACCATACACAACAGTAAACTCCAAATGGATCAGGGACCTAAACCTAAAAAATGAAACCACACAAGTACTAGAAGAAAATATGCATGAACTATTCTTTGACCTCAGTCCAGGGAAACACTTTCTAACTTTGGCTAAAAATACAGAGGAAAGAAAAGAAAAAAGAAAAGATTGATGCATTTAAACAGTAAACATTTTTGCATGCCCAAACACCGTAAAGGAAATCAAAAGACAACTGAAAAACTGGGAGAAGATATGTGCAACAGAAAAAGGGCTAATACCTCTAATTGATAAATACCTCTTAAAAACTGAGGGATAAAGAAAAGAGCAAAACCTTGGAAGAAAAATTGAGGAAAAGATGTGAACAGACAATTCAGAAAAAAATATAGGCATGTTTCTTCAACTGAAGAAAAATTGTTCAAGCTCACTCTCAATTAGAAATGCAGGCCAGAGCATTATGCAGCCTGTAATCCCAGCATTTTGGGAGGCTCAGGTGGGAGGATCACTTGAGCCCAGGAGTTTGAGACCAGCCTGGGTAACATGGTGAAACCCCGTCTCTACAAAAAAATACAAAAATTAGCTGGGCCTGATGGTGCATGCCTGTAGTCCCAGCTACTCAGGAGGCTGAGGTGGGAGGATCACTTGAGCTTGGGGAGGTTGAGGCTGCAGTGAGCTGTGATCACACCACTGCACTCCAGCCTGGGTGACAGAGGAGACTGTCTCAAAAAAAAAAAAAGAAAAGAAAAAAAAGAAATGCAAACAACACTGAAATTCCACATATTACCTATGAGACTGGCAAAAATTAAACAATGTAACAATGTATTCTGTTAGTGAAACTGGAGAAACAAGCACTCTCATACATTGCTGGTGGAAATTCAAACGTGGTCCAACCTAACTGAGGGCAATTTGGCAATATCTAACCAAACTACATACGCACTTACCTTTTGCTTCTGCAATTCTACTACAGATACACCTCCAGTAATAGAAAAAGGTTATTTTTTTCAGCATTGCTAACAATTACAAGATGTTGGAAACAACCCAAATACCTATACATAGAAGAGTGATGGAGTAAAAGAAGCAGGAAGACCTTTATGAACTGATAAGGAGTGATTTCTAAGGCATACTCTTAACTGAAAAAGGCAAAGCCCAAAAAAGTGCCTACAGTATGCTACCCTTCATGTTAGAAAGAAGGGTATATAGTCATATAGCACATAATAATGTTTCTGTCAACAACAGACTGCATATAGTCTGCTGGGCCCATAAAATTATAATGTCATATTTTTGCTGTACCTTTTCTATGTTTACCTGTGTTTAGATATACAAATACTTCACATTGTTTTACAATTACCTACTGTATTCAGTACAGTAACATGCCACACAGATTTGTAGCCTAGGAGCAATAGGCTCTACCATATAGCCTAGGTATGTAGTAGGCTGTACCTTCTAGGTTTGTGTAAATACACTCTAAGATGTTTGCACAAGAAAATTGCCTGAGGACGTATTTCTCAGAATGTATCCCAGTCATAAGTGATCTATAACTATATAAGAAAATATACAAGTAGCCACTTATTTGCATAAAAGAAAGAGTCCATTCTGCTGTGACACAACATATGCATCCCTAAAAATCTCCACACTGTACAAAATTGCACAATAAAAAACAAAGGGCTTATGGAGAAAATGGGAGTTAGGGGCACAACATTCAAAAATTTCTTCCAATGACAACACACACAGACACACACACACACAAATAGGAACCTAATAAAATACAATAGCACAGTTATACACATTGTGAATGGTTAAAAAATACACAAATACTGCAATAAATTGGCACTTCACCCAGAAAAAGTCCTGGGGGTGCCTAGGGATTGGGCAACAGAAGGGCCACAGCTTGTGAGTTACTGGGAAGGACTGGAAGGAAGGTTACCTGAAACCGGAGGGAAGGTCATAACACCAGGTGTGGGCAGGTGTGGCTCCTAATATGTGGAGTGAACTGAGGTGGCTGGTAGATATTTGATATGTGTGTGTGTTATGTACTCTTATGCAGCTCAGTTCAGCTGTGTGCAGTTGCTGTGTTCATCTAGAGAGTCTCAGGTTATGCTCAAATGTGAATACCTAAGATATCTTAGGTATTCAAGTGATACCTAAGGTATCAATCACATTGGAACAATCAATCACATTGGAACAAATTTGAATCAATATCAGTCACATTGATATCGATCACAGTGGAACAAACTTGAATTTTCAAAACATGCGTTATAATGAAATTGACTGTACAGGAAGGAAAAACCAGAAATAAATGAGATGGATTTCCCTACGGGGGATGAGTGGGAGTGGGGTAGAAAGAATGGGAGGATGGGATGGTGGTGGCAGGTTCAAGGGGGATGGCATTTCTCTGAGTATATTTTTTGGGTTATAGCTCAGGTAATGTTTTATATATCCCCCCATAAATAAATAATTATCATCAACCAGGATGTGAGGAGAACCCCAAATGGAAAACAAACAGCACCAAATAAACCTAACTACATTACAAATGAATAACAACCACCCTGAAAGAGGTGGGGAAGAAAATAGCTAACCTTTAATAACTTTGGAAAGCAGTATTTTTGTTTCATTTTAACCACAAATATTTATTGATAGATTAATGAGTATAATTTTAAATGGAACAGTAAGGCATAACTGTGGATTAAAACACCTTGCTTCATGCCTGTAATCCCAGCACTTTAGGAGGCCAAGGCAGGCGGATCACTTGAGGTCAGGAGTTTGTTCGAGACCAGCCTGGCCAACACGGTGAAACCCCATCGCTATGAAAAATACAAAATTAGCCAGGTGTGGTGGCAGGTGCCCATTAATCCCAGCTACTTAGGAGGCTGAGGCAGGAGAATCGCTGGAACCTGGGAAGCAGAGGTTGCAGTGAGCCGAGATTGCACCACTGCACTCCAGCCTAGGTGACAGAGTGAGACTGTCTCAAAACGAAAACAAAAACATCTTGCTATACAACCAAAAGGGGAAAGTCATACACTTAGGAATTTTAAATATGCAAGTCAAAGAGCCTTTGAGGTACCCCACAGATGACTATCAGATAATTCTTCCCTTTTATACAATTCCTATATTACATCACTTGATCACAAAGTTAAAATTTTACTTTAAAAGGAATCCCTCATTCATTCACACTTGAGTCATCCCACCTGGCCACTCCCCTGCTTCCCACCCCTTCCCCATCCCTTTAAGGTGGTATTCTTTAGCCATTCCCTTCCTGAATAATTGTGTGGGTCAGGCACGGTGGCTCATACCTGTAATCCCAACACTTTGAGAGGCTGAGGCTGGTGGATCACTTGAGCTCAGGAGTTTGAGACCAGCCTGGGCAACATTGTGAGACCTCTGTCTATAAGAAAAATAAAAAAAGAAAGAAAGAAAGGAAAGAAAAGAAAAAATAGTCAGGCATAGTGGCGCACACCTGTAGTCCCAGCTACTCGGGAGGCTGAGGTGGAAGGATCACTTGAGCCCAGGAGGCAAAGGCTGCAGTGAGCTGAGATCCTGCCACTGCACTCCAGCCTGGGTGATAGAGCAAAACTGTGTCTCAAAAACATAATAAAAAGAAGAATTGTGTGTCCGTTTTCCTTCTTAAGCAAGGAAGCAAGCAAACAAGTAAGCAATGAGTCAGAGAAAGTCCACCAAGGGCAGATTTATGAATGAAGAGACTTACACAGACAGATGTTAGGATGACAGCAACCTGATTACTTGATTCAGTGAAGTCTAAACTAAGCTGACTCTAGCAAAGAAGCTGCACTGGCTTGCTCAGAGGCCTATCATTCCACCTCAGATTGGCCACAAATGCGAGACTCCATGTTTCTAAGGGATTAACAGTGGTCTACATGAGAAGCCAGGAAGCCAATATAACCAGGCAGCTGATGCTACAATACATTTGATGCTTTAGATCTCCATTAGGAGCTGACTATAGCTTCCAGCATAATCATTTGCCACATGTAAAATCCTTCAAGATACTGAGGACAATCTTTAAATCTCAGATAGGATCAATTAGGAATTTCCTTAACAGTAATCTATTTGAAAATGTGAAGTGGAAAGCATTCCAGTGCACATAACATTGAGGCATAAACCATGCTGCAGAGGTGTGAATGCAGGAGGCTCAATAGAGTGCCCAGCCTCCTTGTTCAAAAAGCCATGAGAAAGCCCCCAGGCATATTGTCAGAGCAGCCATTGTGGTGGCAATGGTGTCCCCAAACTAAGCAAATCAGCAGGCATATGGCTATTTTCTGAAGAACCAACACTGCACTAACAAGAGTAGCCATGTAGATATGTGTGTGGAGAATCACAGGCCAGAGAGAGAGAATGACCTGGGCAAGCCACCTAGAACACTTGGTTGTACACCTCGTGCCTTTCAAGAAGAGCATCTCCACTAGGTGCAGTGGCACGTGCCTGCAGTCCCAGCTACTTGGGAGGCTGATGCAGGAGGATCGCTTGAGCCCAGGAGTTGGAGGCTGCAGTGAGCCATGATGGCACCATTGCACTCCAGCCTGGGTGACAGAGTGAGACTCTATCTCTAAAAAAAATTTAAAAATTAAAAAAAAATTTTTTTTTGAGATGGAGTCTCACTCTGTCACCCAGGCTGGATGGAGTGCAGTGGTGCGATCTCAACTTACTGCAAGCTCTGCCTCCCGGGTTCATGCCATTCTCCTGCCTCAGCCTCCCGAGTAGCTGGGATTACAGTTACGCGCCACCACGCCTGGCTAATTTTTTGTATTTTTAGTAGATGGGGTTTCACCATTTTAACCAGGCTGGTCTCAATCTCCTGACCTCGTGATCCACCCGCCTCAGCCTCCCAAAATGCTGGGATTACAGGCGTGAGCCGCCACGCCCGGCCAAAATTTTTTAAAAGAAAAGCATCTCCATCAAGCAGACCTTTGATGACTGACTGGGCAGAATGGAGGGGACTAAGAGATGGTCACATTCTTCTGAGAGAAGTGTTGGTTCCTGAAAAGCTCCCAGAGAGACAACATCCCAGAGGCCCATTTATGAGTGAACGTAAATAAAAACTTCCAGACCACAGAACTTTCTTGCCAAGTCAGAAATATATTCAATAGGCACAGCTTGGGGTGCCACGTGGAACAGAGGGAATTTGGGGGGTTAATAAAAATCAGGGAGGCTAAAAGACCAAGTGCAGTTGCTGCATTCACACCCCTGTTGGGTGACAGAAGCAGGAAGCAAAGGACATATGGACAAGATTGAAGGAGCATGCGGAAGCCTACAGTCTAGTCCAGTGAAAGAGCTTGGCCTGGTTCCCCCTCTCACTTTCTCAGACTGGATGGATATGTGGCGTCAGCAGCAGAAGAGTGGAGATAACATTTAGAAATGGAGAACCAGTGAATTCAGGCTGAAGAGAAATAGACTGGGTGTACTATTCTGTAATGCCCTGTTTGCATCAAAGGCAGGCTTGTGTTGACCGAGCACATCTGGAGTCGTCATGCATCAATAGTAGCATTTTGGGAGACGGGGCATGATGGGGTAGAGGTGGGGCTGTTGGACAGGAGGACTCTCAAGTTCCAGTTGTTAAATACTAAAGAGCATGGAACAGTTTAGTCTCAGTTCTTCAGTCAAGAAATCAGATGTTCATTTTCTGTTCTATGTCCACCTTCTCCAAAAACTTAAAACATCCTGTGAAAGATATTGCATCATCCCCATCCCAGTTAGCCTCCTGGATGGTTCTGTCTGTGATGATGCCCAGTCGCTCATCTGAGTTATTCCCTCTGACCATTATGCATAGCTCCTGTAACAGCTCACTGCAGGAGATGTTGTCTAACATCTATCCAAATCATATAATTAAAAACCAAAGTGAAGTTTGCTGCTTCAGCTGTCAAGTGGTTCTGGTCCATTCACATCTTTGCTCCTTTCGTAATCATCAATGGGTCAGAAATGAGCCAAGGTTCTTATGAATCCACAGAAGTTCAGCTGGTCCTCCCCATCTTAACCAAGTGACCAAAGTTAATATCACCAGTAAGAGAACACACCTGTACATGGACCTCCTGATGTGATGCATTGAGATAACACTTCTGTGAGAGACCCTTGTCAAAAAATATGTTGCCTCAATCTAATCATGAGAAAACATCTGACAAACCCCAATTGAAGGACATTCTATAAAATAATTGACCAGTACTCTTTGAAAATGTTAAGGTCATGAAAAACAAAGACTCACGCCTGTAATCCCAACACTTTGGGAGGCTGAAGTGGGAAGATTGGCTGAGCTCAGGAATTTGAGACCAGCCTGGGCAACATAGCAAGACCTCACTCTACAAAAAAAAATTTTTTTAATTAGCCAGGTGTGGTGGTGCATGCCTGCGGTCCCACCTACTTAGGAGGTGGAGGTGGGAGGATTGCTTCAGACTGGGAGGTCGAGGCTACAGTGAGCCATGATTGCACCACTGCACTTCCGCCTGGATGACAGGGCAAGACTGTCTCAAAAACAAAACAAAACAAACAAAACAAATTGAAGGGGATTGAGGAAATTTGACAACTGAATGCAATGTGCAATCCTGGATTGGATCCTGGTTGAGGAAAAAGGCATCAATGGGAAAACTGACAAAATTTAAATAAGGTCAATAGATTAGTTAATAGTATTTATCAATGCTAATGACCTGGTTTCAACAGATATACTATGGCTATGTAAGCTTTTCCATTAGGAAAAGATGGGTAATGAGTAATGGGAACACTGTGCTATTTTTACAACTTTTCTTTAAGTCTAAATTATTTCAAAATAGAAACACACACACACACACACACACACACACACACACAGTTGGCGCCATGGACATTTCACAGTTTCTGGGTTGGCACTTACACCGCTAGTGCTTCTGATGGATATATGACTTCAGGTGAAGGTGAGTTCACGCAAGAAATGCTTAGTGCAGAGCTTCTTTAGTTTATATAACAAAATCTAGAAGATCACAGAGAATCTGATATAAGGTGATTAAAAGCTGTCACGGTATTGAGCACTTTGGCTCCACGCACACTGTCATAGCATAGATTCCCATTTCAGACTATGGAGTCAGTTAGCCATAGCAGTTCACCCTCACCCGCTGCTGAATGGAATGTTCAGCTCATTGGTTCTCATCAGTCATGTCTCTCAGTCCAGGCCTGGATCTGCAAATACTTGGGACATGCACTTGCTCTTCTCTTTCGCAAGCCTAAGGCAGACATTCCTATTCAATTACAGCACTGTTTTCCACTGAGTCCACACAGCCACTACTCACCAGGGTTAGCACTTGAGTTGAAACATCTCCTTTTTCTGCTTTCACCCTGCAGTAGAGTCCATGAGGACCCTTGAAGCCCAAGTCCTTGCTTAGATTCTGATATCTGGACAGATAGGCAAGGAGGTCACCCTTCCTTAAATGTAGTGGGATGCCAGCAGTCTCAACAAGTTTTCCTCTCCAAGCCTCATCAGAATGATCGAGGGGTGGGATATCTGATGGTCTCTATGGCAGTGGATGAAGATACTTGGTATGAGACGGAGCCCCTATGGCAAAAGTTGATTTGGTTCCAGAGGAACACTAAGACCTAAATCCTCATCATCAGGATCAACAGTGAATTCATTTCAACATATTGCCTTTACAGTTGTATTGTTTGCCAGACTTGATAAAATTAGCCAGGAGCAAAATATCAGGGATTCTTTGTCATTTCACAGCCTGATAATCCAGGGATTTTAAAATAAAAGACTGATGTCAAAACAAACCTTTCTTTTTACCAAGGATGTGTCTTTGAAGGGCAGGGGACATTCCAACTGCCTTATTGGGAAAGAAATGAAGGAAGTCACTCAAACTAGGACCCAGACCATCTTAGTCTTAGTCATAGTTCAGAGCTATAAACAATGACCATGTTTACTCTCCCATTTTCTATCAGGAAGAAAAAAACGGGTCTTATGAGAAAGCAGCTTCTGAGAAAAATCAAAGTAACTTACAGAGGAGCTAGCCAGGAGAGAAGATCAAAGACTAGAGCTGGCAGGAAGGGTGTTTCAATAGTACTTGACCAAGAGTACAAGAGTACTATAAAGACCTTCTCACTGCCTTGTTTTCTTTCCCATCCCCAGCCCCGTCTTCTCTTGTTCATCCTCTTCCATCCTTCCCTTTCTCTGTGGGTTCATTTAAGATTTTCAGTTTTCCATTGGTTTACAATAGAGTTGGGATTGAGAAACGCTGATCAAGCCTCGCCTTTGCTATACAAGAGTTAGACATATCCAGACTTGTCCTAGACAAGTCTATTTTACCTTTATAAATTGTCTTCATAGTTTTACAAGCTCTCTCAGAAGTATTCTGTTGTTTTATTAACTTCTGTCTAAAATAGTTCTGTCCATCCAAATTAAGTCTTTCTTGCTTTGGCTTAGGTGTTCTCTGTATCTCAGATAATTTGCTCCTTTAAACCAGTTAAGGAAAATACTAACCTTGCTATGCGAATCTCTGACATACAAATTATTCTGTGATCCCAAACCTTCAGCTCCTCCATTCTGCCCAAAGAAATAAGTTCAAATCCTTAGCCCAACTCTCCAGACTTTCTACAATTGGGTCCTAACTTACCTTTCGAGATAGATTTCCCACAAATCCTTTGCACGGACCATAGACCTCAGCCAACCCAAACTACACATGCTTCTCCAGAAAACCTCCTGTACTCTCGAAACAATATCTCCACTTGAAATGCCCTTTCTCCCATTGTCTTCTCATTGACTCCTTCATTTTGAAAAAAATTAACTGAATGCCTACTATTAATAAGTACTAGAAGGATACAAACACGAATGAGACATAATCTGTTTCATCCAGAGTACATGGAGACTAGAGGCAATTCTATTGTATTGACTTGAAGGTGTGAATACCTAACTGGTGTATGGTGTTGGAATGGGGTGGGGTGGCAGGATTAAACTTCATGGGAAACATAGTATTTGAGAAGGCCTTGGAGGATGGGGTAGAATTTTGATATGAACACTGGGAGGAAAAGGATTATAGACTGAGGAAACTATGAGAGGCAGGAGATGGAGTGTATACACATGAGTTCAAATACTTTGCTTTGGCTGGTAAGAAAAGGGGTGTGTCAATAGAGGGCACTGGCTATAATGCTTCAGTAGGCCAGATATTGAAGGATCTTGAATGCCAGACTAGAAAGTTTGAATTTATTCCATAAGCCTAGCAAATTATTGAAGGGTTTTGGGCACAAAAATAACAGTGACCTGAAGGAGCTATGCTTTATGACAATATCAGGGTATGTGTGTATAGGATTAATTTCCTCAATCTCTAGAGATTGCTTTTTGGTTTAGTAGAGAGAGGAGCGTTTGATGTTAGTGTCAGGTATAAGATTGCAGAAGTGGTGATGCCTATATACCTCCCATTTAACTCACCTGTTTGGTCTTTGGAGAAGAGAGATGGATCTTGGAGACTGGCTATAAATAGCTGGTGACTTTAGTTGTATCTGCTGTTCACATGTGGTATTTTTCTTGAAGTAAATCAGCACAACACCTGGCCTATGGAATGATACAGCTATTGACCACAATAAATTCTTTTCCCCTCTATACCCATTTTCAAGGCTCACCAGAAGCAGTTTGCTTTTGAGATCATGTCAGCTCTCCTCTCTGCCATAACATAAGCTGCAGAGATCATTGTCATCTTGACACCCCACATCACGCTGGTTCATATTGTCCTGATTGGACTCAGAACAGGAAGCAGCAAGGACCTTAGATACCTTAGTCAAGAGCAAGCCAGAGGGTAAAAGCCTGGTTCCATGTGCTTTATCAGTCAGGCTCCAGTCAGGAAAACAGAAACCAAGCCAGCTATTTTCACAAAGGGAATTTAACATAGGTACATTATTATTACAAGACTGACAGGGCAAATGGGAAACTGAGGTGACACTGAGATAGTAACAGCAGCAAGAAGCTAACATTCCCAGGGCTGGAGGAATGGAAGGAAGGGGTTGGAGTTATTGGAGCAGCCTGCGGTACTAGAACTCAGACCTCTGGAGAGTAACCGTGGCCTGGCTGGTGCTGGTGCCTCAGGAGCTCTGGAGCTCAGAAGCTTCTGAGGAACTGGGACCCAGACCTCCGAGTATGGGGTGCTGCCTGCCAGGTGCTAATGCATCAGAAGCTCCAAAGAAGGACCACACACAGCTGGAATCTAGAAAGGGGTACTGGACGGCTGGGTCTGACTAGCATCTCTGACAGGGGCCATAATGAGGCTGGTTCTGGGAGTGAGGAAACAGATGAGGGCTGAAACCAATTGCCATAGCTGGGGGCAAAGGACCACTGCTGGGACAATGCTAACAGAAACAGTGAGTGCCAAGAAGTAAGTCCCTTCTTCCTCTTCCAGCCTTCTAATCTCCCTCTTGCGCTCCCACTGGAAGAACCTAACAGGGAGGAGCTGGCAAGAAAGAAATGTTTGCAAAGTCCCAGCAGGGCACAGAATAGGTTCAGAACTGAGAAACAATAGCTTAATAGCCAGCACAATAGCTAATGAAAACATTAGCCAATGAGTCTGGTTCATATTAAATACTGTGAGAAATAGAGAAAACTCCTTAGTTTTGGAATTCTTTCTTTCTCTTTTAAATATTGGCCTGGCTGTGGAACTGTCAATAAAAGTACTTGTGTATACACATCATTACAGAATATTCTCAGGTTGACATTCTGTTGCATGCCTGAGACTTTTTTCACTGTTCAAAATATAGGCAGACAATGGAACACCACTCACAATAAAAAGGAATGAATTATTGATAAACACAACAACTTGGATGGATTGCAAAGGCATTATTCTGGGTGAAAGAAACCAGTCTCAAATGGTTACCTAGTGTATAATTCCATTCATATAACATTTTCAAAAAGACAAAACCATAGAGATGGAGAACAGATTAGTGGCTGACAGGGGTAGGGGTTGGGGGAGGTTGTGACTATAACAGAATACCACAGGGGAGTTTTGGGGGAGTAATAGAACAGTTCTATGTCCTGATTGTGGTCATGGTTACAAGAGTCTATACATGTGCTAACATTAATAGATCTGTACTCAAAACAAATAAAAAGGGGAAAACAGTAAAGGCAGAATGTGCATGGTTTGTGTGTGAGGTCTTACATTTTTTGCTTTTTAAAAATTTGCAGTGATGAGGTCAATTATGGCTCTGCTGAGCTTTAGCCACAGCTGGCCTGAGTTAGCAGTGCAAAGGTTCCCTTGGAGTGGGCCTGAGTGTGTGACATTTCTGCAGTTACCACACGCCTCTGACTTCCCCAGCTGAGGGCCATGGAGGAGTGCTGCTGTCACTTCTGGGCTGTTCTGTTGACTCACATTTCCAGCTTCTCTGATATGGGTGAGGGTATTTGCACTGTTTGTAGCAGTTCAAAGATTCTTTCTTCCCTGCACTTCAAAGCCTGGCCTGCCTTTTCCTTACTCATGTCTTTTATTTGGTTCTAGCAACCTTTGAGGGTTGATGGAACTGAGTGGCCCTTGGCAGTGGCTCCACTAATTGGCAAAGCTGACCACAGGGGATGAATAAGATACTGGCATCAACATCACAGTGATCATGGTCCAGTGGGCCCTGTTTTGTGTTCTTGACAGTACAGAGCAATTCCTGGGAATAAATGACTGTGCTGACCAGCCAGCAGGAAGCATTCTCCATCCTGGGCTCCCTATAGCCCTCTTTTCCATTCATGTGGGGACTATTTTCCACAAATGTTCCAAAACATAATTGGTTATGCTTTGCACATTTAAAATGCTTCATTAATAGGATGTGATTAAACAAAGTGTTCTTGAACTTTAAAATATATAAAATTATTTTGCATTCCATTACCCTAAGAATTTTTGTTCCATTCCAGCTGAGATCAAAAGGAGAGAGAGAGATGCTTTGCAGTCACACATTCTCTTTCAGAAAGCCTCTTTTTGGGTGAAAACTGCACCATTGTCATCGCCATTCAAGCTTTGCTCACTAGGGACAGTTGTCACACCCCAAACATCTACCAACAGGATAGGATTTAAAAGTGAATGAGCATGTACTCTTTTGGTGTCTTGGCTGCTTATGCTACATATACTTTTTTGAGATTGATGTTATTGTGTAGTTTTCCATTGTATGAATATAAGATTGCACAATCTGTTTATCCATTCTGCTGTTGGGAGATAGTCAGGTTGTTTCTAGTTGTGGGGTATTGTTTGTTTGTTGACTTTTATGAATAAAGCTGCTATAAACTTTATAAGTATTTTATAAGTATTTTTGTGCAAGTTTTTTGTGGACATATTCATTTTTCTTAAGTCTATATACCTGAGATGGAATTAAAGGGTATACATATGTTTAAGATTAGATACTGCCAAATAGTCTCCAAAGCTACACCATTTTACACTCCCACCAGCATTTATGAGCATTCCAGTCACTCTACATCTTTATCAACATTAAGTGTTATTAATCTTTTTCATCTTAGCCCCTCTAGTCCACAGTGTGGTTTCCTTTTGAATTTTCCTGACGAGTAATGATGTCAAGCACCTTAATATATGCTTATTGGCCTTTTGTGTGTGTGTATATATATATATATATATATATATATATATATATATACACACACACACACACACACATATATATATGTAAGGTCTTATTCTTGTTTTCAAATGTAACACATTTGTATACACACACACACACACACACACACACACACACATATATATATATATATATATTGCAAAGTGCCCCTCAGGAGAATCAAGAAAGTGGTGATAGCTATATCTCTCAGGGAAAGGAAGTAAAGGTATGATTTGGAAAAGCAGACTTATCAATAAGAGGATATTCCCCAGGCCTGAATAACAATGCTTTTTTGTGTTTTAAATAAATATTAATGTATATGGTGGTTAAAGAAATAACTCAGTAGGCACCTGTTCCCAAATATCCCTCTCCACAACCATTACCCAGAACTTCGCCACGGTGATTGGAATAAATCACTGTGGATTGGGTTTTTCATGATTTGTTGTCAGCACCCTAATAAGGGTGCATTTTGGGCTTCTTTCTAACCTTGAAGCTGGCTGAAAGGTTAGCGTGAAGGGTTTAGGCACTTGGGGTTAAGGATGGCATGCCAGGTGGGAGTGCTGCATTCAGGTACTTTGGGTAAGCATGAAGGCTCTGACTGCTGAGGAGAGAGTGGTGACAAAGGTCAAACCCAGAAAGGGAAGAAGCCTTAAAACAGAGAAAGCATAGGATGTGCCTTAAACTTCTGCCTACCTCTTCATTGTGTTTACCCATGATTGTTCACCTTGATGAATGTCGGAGTTGAGGAGAGGGGAAGAGGGAAGCACAGGGTGAATGTAGAATGATGTTACTAAACATGTTGGGAAGACAAGAGCACAATGCCAACCTTTGGGAGATTTTGAGACAGTCTCAAGGGAATAAAAAAGTACTACATAATTGTAGCAACAAGAATGACATGTGAAGAAGGCATTGTCAGGCTTCTTGAAGCCTTTGAGAAAGATCAAAGGAGTTCATATTTATATATGATACATCCACAAACACTCCTGCACAGGAAAAGCTGAGGCCAATAGGACACAGTATGTGCACAAATGCAAGGATTTGGTTTAAGGACAAACGAGCCCCATGGTAGAGTGAAAATAAAAGCCCATATCACCTCACTAGAAACCCAGTGTGGTTTGCAATGGACATCTTTGCTGTAAGGTCTTATTCTTGTTTTCAAATGTAACACAGCATCCAGCCTCCAGTAAATATTTTTCATGTTTAAGACAGCATGATAGCAATAAATCAGCTCTGAAAGTCAACTGCTATAAGTGCCATGTGGTATCAGTTAGATCACAAACCAAAGCCAATTTTTCAAAACATTTCCTGCTGGAATACCCACAACATTTTAACAGATGTATTTTGGGCTGTTTCGAAAGAAAATAAGCCCCCATCAGCATATAAAATATAACTCAAAAGAAAGTAAAATATGGAGTGGAGGGATTATTTTTTCTTTTGGTAGTAAGAGAAAGATTGGGGATCATCTTGAAACCCTTGGGGAAGTGCTTGTTCATAGCCACGAAAGGGGAGAAATTAACTTTTCTCACACACATACCTCAAGAAAGACTGGAGTTTGAAAAATCTTCCTTCATTATATACCAAAGACATTTATTTGGCTGCTTTTGAGCATAATGTTTGTTATTTCTTATTCTGAACACTGGTCATAAGTATAATTCTGGCTTTTGTTGAAGCAACTCATGGGAAGCTAGGGAAAGGATTTGAGGATATGACTGATGAGGCCAGCAGGGACAGAGATGAAGTGAAGGCATCAAAAGAATCATCTTTTGTCAGGGACAAGATGGGCATGGCTGGTAGTTGCTGATTATAAAATGCTGCAAGTTGGAGTCTGAAGCTTTTCAAAATCAGTGGTAGAAGGGCCAGAATAGGAGTCTGGAAAAGGAGGAGGAAATTACTCTTTTTTTTTTTTTTGTATTTTTCTTCAACAGTATATTATGAAAAATCTCAAAGGTACAGAGAAGTTGAAAGACTTGTACAGTGAATATGCATATATATACCCATGAGGGAGAAATTATTTTTAAACTGACGGTTTGTTTCCACTGGGGCCAATTTTGATCCACATCAAATAAATGATCTTGAATGAATGAATGAATGCCTAACACACCTCCTACCACACTTATTCTGGGGAAACCAAAGTTGTTCACTGCCACTCTTGTACTGAGTGATGATTCCACAATCAGGAGTCCCCTGTGGATCTGCTTCCATTATCTGTTGTTTTGGATGCTTCCTGCTCATGCTGTCTTATCTCCTCCTGTGCTTTGCTGTCTTTGACCTTGTACTGGATGTTGTACTGAAAAATTATATGTGGGTGGCAATAATTTGATGTTATTTCTCTAGAAGAGAATTTTTGTTTGCTTATGCCAGGCACGTGAGCATGTTAGCTGTACAACACATATTTATTGAGCGCTATTGAGGCAGTAAAAATAGAGTTATGAACAAGAAATGGTTAGTCTTTCTCTGAATAAGCAACGAGATTCATTTAAACAGTTGTGGAAGAATAATTTAGTTCATATAAGTTTGATCAGCATCCAGCTTTCCCTAACCTTATCCATCAGCACCCATTAAGGCGTGGCAGGCTGAGCCATGCAGAGATGCCCTGAGGTAGCAGTTCTCTTGCAGTTGTATTTCTTAGATAATTTAGAAAAAATATATACTGTGAACTGATTATTGCATTCATTATATAAAAGTGTAATCAGAAATACTCAGAACAATCTTACTTCTTTTGACTAAACATCCAGGAAAGAGGATGCTTTATTTTATTTTTAAGGTTTTTAAAAAAATATTTCAATGGTTTTTAGATACAGGTGGTTTTTGATTACATGAGTGAGTTCTTTAGTGGTGAATTCTGAAATTTTAGTGCACCCATTCACCCAAGCAGTGTACACTGTTACCCAATATATAGTCTTTCATCCCTGACCTTGCTCCCAAAGTCCCCTGCCCCAAGTCCCCAAACTCCATTATATCACTCTGTATGTTTTTGCATCTTCATAGCTTAGCTCCCACTTATAAATTAGAACATATGGTGTTTGGTTTTCCATTCCTGAGTTACTTCACTTAGAATAATGGCCTCCAGTTCCATCCAAGTTGCTGCAAAGGACATTATTTCATTCCGTTTAATGGCTGAGTAGTATTCCATGGTGTATATTTAACACATTTTCTTTATCCAATCGTTGGTTGATGAGCATTTAGGTTGGTTCCATATTTTTGCAATTGCAAATTGTGCTGCTATAAGCATGCATGTGCAAGTGTCTTTTTCATACATGACTTCGTTTCCTTTGGATAGATACCTGGTAGTGGGATTGCTAGATCAAATGATAGTTCTACTTTTAGTTGTTTTCAAATTTTATTTAACTTTTATTTTAAGTTCAGGGTTACATGTGCAGGTTTGTTATATGGGTAAACTTGTGTCATGGGGGTTTGTTGTACAGATTATTTTGTCACCCAGGTATGAAGTCTAGTACCCATTAGTTATTTTTCCTAATCTTCTCCCTCTTCCCCCCTCTACCCTCCCATAGAACCCAGTGTGTGTTGTTCCCCTCTATGCGGAGGGCCCTCTAAAATACTAGACTAAGGCAGTTACTAATTAATGGCAGAAATATAACTGTATATTTATATACTTATAGCTCATTTTAATATTATAAACTTAAATACTCTGAATCTGCAGACCATCTGCAGGGACTCTAGAGCTTGTGTCTAAGTGGAGGAACCAAAGAACACAATCCCTCCACATCCAAGCTCCAGAGTACCTAGTTTCAACCCTCACAAGCTGGAGGTTGGAGCTACTATCAATATAGTGGAGAGACCAATTAGCTGAGGAGGAATCTGCTATGGAGTGTAACCCAAGGAGACCTTAACTCTCCATCACAATGACCACAACTGAAAAGTCTGTGCTTTCTCTGAACTTGCCATCCTTAGTCATTGTCAGGTGTGACCTCATGCTTATTTAATGGGGTGGGTGGGTTTCTCAAACAGATGAAAAATGAAGTCCACTCCTCACCCCTCACTACTGGAAAAAATATTCAACAGGAGAGCTGACTTAGGAGATTTAAGACAAACTACCATAATTTATGTATTAACATTAATATCATTCTGCAGTTTCTGACGGTGTGATTTTTTGAAAATACTTTCATGAGACACCAAAGCTTTTGGTTTCTTTGAAGTAGGTTCCTTTCCCATGTAGGCTTTGCTATCAGGCTACCTTTTTTCCTACTTAACATGAGTTTTCTCTCTCATTTACACACCCTGGTTTCTTACTTGAGACTTCCACATCATTGTCTGTGGCTGATTTTTAGGAGAGAACCAGGTTAGTGTCTGAACTCGGACCACATATATCACATCTGTCAAAATGGTCACTTTCAGCAAGGGAGCCATAGACCCTACAAAATCATTAGTCTTAAATAAGATCTAGATCAAAATTAACTGGGCCCGAGGAGGAGACATTTGCTTTGCTTAAACATTAATGAGCAACTCTTTCAGTTAAAACTTAGAAAAATAGAACAGAATTAGACACCAAGCTTTCCCCACAAAAACGCATGTCTGCCATAGGCTTAAGAATAACTAGGCCCAGCATCCATCCTTGCTTCCATCAGAGGAAGCAAGGATCACTGGCAGTTTCCTCTACTTGTTTCCACCTGTTTGCATGAAGATGGTAAGTCCCTTGGATTCTGAGGAATTTACTTCCTCCTGAGATCTTGAGCATTCCCCTTACTCTTTTTTTTTTTTTTTTTCCCTCCGAGACAGAGTCTTGCTCTGTCACCCAGGCTGGAGTGCAGTGGTGCAATCTCGGCTCACTGCAACCTCTGCCTCCCAGGTTCAAGCAATTCTCCTGCCTCAGCCTCCCGAGTAGCTGGGATTACAGGCATGCGCCACCACGCCTGGCTAATTTTGTATTTTTAGTAGAGATAAGGTTCCACCATATTGGCCAGGCTAGTCTCGAACTCCTGACCTCAAGTGATCCGCCTGCCTTGGGCTCCCAAAGTGCTGGAATTACAGGCATGGGCCACTGTGCCTGGCTGCCCCTTACTTTCTTTGGGGTTCCCATCACTGCTAAAACACACAGAGACAATATCATTCAGGTGCACAAATATTTTGATGAGTTCTTACAGTGATGCATCATGGAAGACTGAAAGGCAAATCAAATGTGGCCTCTGACCTCCAGGAATTTGCAATCTAACAAATGAAATAGACACATCCAGGGCCAATTCCTGTTCCATTAAAGCCATGCTGTAGGATAAGTGCTATAATAGAGGCCCAGCTGAATCTAAAGCTGATATGGCTTAGAGTTTTAAAAGTTTCAGTGGCCTTCTCAGTAGATCCTGAAGAGGGGATTCTGGTTACCAGATTATTCTCCAGATAGGACTGGCTATATAATTTCTGGGGTCCAGTGAAAAGTGAAAATGAAGAATCCTTTATTCAAGAATTTCAAAACAGTGACAGCACAACCTGAAACCAAGTATGGGGGCCTTCTGAGTGCAGGGCCCTATGGGACTGCTACACAGATCACACACTCATGAAATTGGCCCTGTCTCCAAATGTGGTCTATGAATAGGAGAAAGAAGTAAATTTTGAGCAGTCTAGAGAAGGAAATTACACATAGAGAATTTTCTTCCAAGTAGTTCACAAATAAATAAATAAATAAAATCACTCCAACGAAAGCAAATAATTCAATCTTCTCCAAATTAGCAAGTGGTGTTGGAATCTAAAACATAACAAAGTTACAGTTTGCAAAGACATTTTCACAGATATTTCACAGCTACAAGGTAAGTACATTAATAATAATAATTGTTGTAGTAGTAGCTGGCACTAATGTACAGCATTTATTAAGTGCCACGATTCTTCTAAGTCTATTACATATACTTTACTCATTTAATCCTCAAAACAGCCCTGGAGGGAAAATTCTATTATTTCTCTATCTTACTACAGATGAGGAAACTGACCTTGGGGAGGTTGAGGAATTGCCCCTGGCCACACAGAAAATAAGTGGTGGAGGCAGGATTTGAATTCAGACAGTCTAGCTTCAGAGTCTGTGCTCTTAACCACTATTTATGCTACCTCTGAAAAAATAAAGATAGGAAGGAAAGGAAGGAGGGAGGGAGGGTGGTGGGAGGGAGGAAAGGAAGAAAGGAAGAGAGGGAAGAAGAAGGAAGGAAGGGAAGGAAAAAGGAAGGAGAGAAGGAAGAAAGGAAGGAAGGAGAGAAGGAAGAAAGGAAAGAAGGAGAGAAGGAAGAAAGGAAGGAAGGGAGGGAAGGAAAAAGGAAGAAGGGAAGGAAGGGAGGGAAGGAAAAAAGGAAGGAGGGAAGGAAGAAAGGAAGGAAGGAGGGAAAGAAGAAACGGAGGGAGGAAAGAAAGAAGGAAGGAAGAAATTAGGAAGGAGGGAAGGAAAAAAGGAAGGAAGAAGGAAGGAAGGGAAGTAGGAAAGGAAGAAGGAAAGCAAAAAGGAAGAAGGAAGGGAGGGAGGCAAGGAGGGAGAGAGGGAAGGAAGAAGGAAGGAAAGAGGGAGGGAAGAAGGAAGAAAGGAAAGAAGGAAGGAAGGAGGGAAAGAAGGAAGGAAGGGGGAAGGAGGGAAGGTAGGAAGGGAAAGAAGAAAGGAAGGAGGGAAGGAAGAAAGGAAGGTAGGAAAGAAGGAAGGAGGAAGTAAGGAAGGAAAGAAGGAAGAGGAAAGGAAGGAAGAAAGGAAGGAAAGAGGAAGGAAGGAAGAAGGAGGGAAGGAAGGAGGGAAGGAAGAAAGGATGGAGGGAAGGAAGAAGGAATGGAAGAAGAAAGGAAGGAAGAAAAAAGGAAAGAAGGAGGGAGGGAAGGAAGGAAGGGAAGGAAGAAGGGAGGAAGGAAGGAGGGAAGAAAAGGAAAGAGGGAAGGAAGGAAAGAAGGAAGAAATAAGGAGAAGAAAGGAAGGAATAATAAGGAGAAGGAAGGAATAATGAGAAGGAAGGAGGAAGGGAAAGAAGGAATGAAGGAGGAAGGAGGGAAGGAAGGAAGGAAGGAAGTTATCCCAGTATATTATTTTATTAATATCATAGATTTGGCCTAACCAGTATACACTGTGTTGTGTGCACGTTTTTAATTTTTTCTTTTTTTGCATTTCATGTTCATAGTTTAACAGCACCCGTTCGCCCTCCCCCACTGAATGTTGCCACATGACCCCGTGGAGTAGAAAGGTATTGGTTCTGAGAACATTCCTTCACGGCCCTATCCCACTCTGTCCAGACACTCTTCCTTTTTTCCCTCTTTTAACTTTATGGAAAACTTTCTTGTTTCTAACTAACGGTTTTTCTTTAAAATCAATTTAAAAAGTGGTATTTTCCTAACTTGAATTAAATAGAATATAACTTAGACAGTCATGCCATTTGCCTTTTTCCCCCATTCACTGCCCCCCACTCTGCAAACTGCATCACCTAACACTACTCTTGGACTTTGTAGTCTGGCAGAGGAACCTTTTCCTATATTTAATTTATCAGAACTGTAAATGTTCAGCTTCTCAAATCAAAAAGGAGAACAAGACAAAAGGATTCTCTGGCAGCCAATCGTCCTGTCACCATTAAATAAAAAGTGCTTTTGGCTGCTGGTCAGAGCTTGTAGTCAGGTCACTATCCTGTCGACACTTTGCAGTCCATTGTTATTCAAGGAAGGAATCGCCTACAAAATGAAGCCTCTGGTGGTGGGGGGTTTCTCTTTATTGCTCATTCTCTCTCTTTGTCTCCCTCTTTCTCTCTCTCTCTCTCAATCAGTTTCTCTCTCTCTCTCTCTCTGTATGCACCAAACTTTTTTTCTTTTTGGAAGTTACCTAGGAAACAAAGTCTTTTGTTCTCGAACTTTATTTGAGCTATTCGCTTCGCTGGGAATCTGCACAAAAGCTGAAGAGAGAAAGAAGGTTGCAATATTTTACTAAAACGTTCATGACGAACATATTTTTCCCAAGGGGGGAGTCATATCCTGTTGGGTGTGTTGGGGGGATTTGCAGAAACCTCTGACAAGGTAAGTAAATGCTGGGGGTGAGTTTAGACAAGTGGCATTGGAATCAGCTCTTTAAGGGGACTTGAGAACAGTTCATTTGACAATAGGTGAAATCCTCTGAGTCAACAGGGCATGATATTTCCAAATGTAAAGATGGGAAAATTTTTTTTGATGATCCTAATTTTAGGGCAGAATATTATTAAAGTCTTACTGGGATAACAGCAAAAGATATTTATTTTATACAGATACCCACCTTCCTCCAAATTGTGTAAAAAATAAATAAAACTAGGTTGAGTGGTGAAAACTGAGTCTTTTAATCATCTAGTTTAGAAACCCAACCCTGAAATCAAAACTGGGATGGAGCTTTTTAAATAATCTGGGCTAGGAGCCCAACCCTGAAATAAAAGTTAGACAATATTGATATTTATCAAAAGTTTGGATGGAGAATTTTCCAATGTCATGTAGAAATCAAAGCCCCTAACTATACAGCTGGAGGAAAAGTCTCGCACCACAAAGCTGAAAAGAAAGTAAACTAGGACTCTTTCACCTTTCCTAATTTGAAAAATAAACTCACTGGAATATTTCCCCCCAGTAACAGCATGTGTATTTTCCGCTATCGTTGGTAGGGGGAAATTCTTCACTTTTGCTTTTCCATGTGCATACAAGTGTTCATGAAACTGAATTTTTAAAATGTTATTAAAAAATGCCGTAGTCCTGGAGTGAAATTAACTCCTCATGTTTTAATGTGGCTTCTCAGATTAGGTTGGCTTGTCCTTCAGGTGATGGGTTCTGGAATGTCTCCTGACTCCAGGTTTTCTGAACCTTTTCATAGGTGTCTAACTCATCTTCTTCCTTTGATCCTAGTCATCTAGAGATCTCAAAACTTTTGATAGAAATTTATGGTGAGATAGCTTGAAAGTGGATCTGTCTTTCATTGGAGTAAAGACTCAATTTTCTTTGGTGTAAAGTTTGGGGATTTCTGGCTACCTTGTCTCTCCTGTTAATTCCATTTAACCTGAGAAGCATGTTTATTTAGCCCATTTCTTTCCTTTTGTGTTGCTTGACTATTGAAATAATACTTGTAATTAGTTGTGCTTACTAACTATTTCTAGGAATTCTTCCTTTGTCCTAAGGGCCTATTTCTGACCTCATTTTTTCTTCTCTAAACTAGGAAATTCCTTATATGTGTGCTTATGTATAAACTATGATGGCTGAACCTGATTGTACTTTGTTTGCAGTCCCATCCCCCAGAGGATGAAGATACAGATGTCATGTTAGGGCAGAGGCCGAAAAACCCAATACACAATATCCCTTCCACACTGGACAAGCAGACCAACTGGAGCAAAGCACTACCTCTCCCGACGCCAGAGGAGAAGATGAAACAAGATGCCCAAGTGATTTCTTCTTGCATTATTCCCATCAATGTTACTGGTATCGTTCTGGTTTTTTCTTAGGGGCAGTCGGGTCAGAATATTCTGTGTATTAAATATGTTCAAAATCTGTGCTGCTAAGAATACCATTTTGTAAACAAGTAATGCCTTTTTGTCATCAAAATACAAACCCAGAGGATGTTCGATATGCTTTTGTCAGGTTTTGAACATCAATTTACATGTTTTCCGCGGGCCACTTGTTATGTAAATTATGGACAGTTTCTTTTTGAAAAAAATCACCAAATAGCTCTTTGGCCATAGCTGACTGAAATAATGGAGAAAGCGGCAGTGATTAATCATATGATAATGATGTGTGGCACTGCAAGAAAGAAAACAGCAAACCCAGGCTTCTCAAACTGCAAGTAATGGTCCTGTAGGCCAACTAGAAAATCTGTTTTCATGCTTCCTTGGATGAAGGTAGGCTTTTTAAAAAAGACTGTTAAGACTTCTGTATTGATTTGGGGGATTTTTGACCTAAAAATATATGGATACAGAGATGAAGGCTGAATTCTATTTTAAAACCAGCAAGGCTGTCTTCCTTTCACTCTCTTTTTTTCTCCTCCTGTGTACTGAGAGTGTGAATATTAGTCTAGATAGAATGGAAGCATAGCCAGACCTTTCTGAAAAATTTATTGGCAGCAGTTATAAATTCCACAATTGGATCTAGTAATCTTAGTCGTAAGTAAAATAATGTTATAAAATATTCTAACTTTCAAAGACATAAATGGTCTATCCATTGGGCTTTCTTACATCTCTAATAGTTACATTTTAACTTATTTGTATATTGAAAATTTCAAAACAGCCATGTTATGACTGATTTTCATATTGGTACCATGTGACTAAAGATTGCATGTCACTTGAGATGCATGTTGCACACAGCTATCATTAACCCCACTCAGATTTCTCTCAAATAAAGTGGGGAAGCAAATGGACCAGATATCTGGGACAGATATTATTTTTTTCCTGAGAAAAAAGGAGTCCTAGTTCATGGGTCTGTGGTGAGTTGGGAGTTAATTTTCCTGATGACCTATTCAACTTGTAAGATAAATTATTCTAAAGATGTGCCCCTATCTGATCTCCACAATCTAAATGGGATGTATTAGGGGAGTTCAGCTGCCAAAATGGATCATTTTGGCACCCTCTTAAGCTAATTTTCATTTCTGGAAACCTCTGATTATTAGCAGCACGTGCTTTTTTCATGGCACTGTAAGTAAAATCTCATTTTCAAATTTAGTGCTATGATTATGGGCCATTATTTTATGATTGAGGGAAAGGGACACTTTTTCCTTCTGCTTTATTTCAGGAACTCTCTGATTAAAACTTAGATCAGATGTTGATTTCAAGAGCTTTAATGAGAACATTGTTAATGATGTCCACATAACACAAAATGTCTGCGTCTATATATAATGCATTCTATAATTACTAAGATCAGAATGAAGGATTTTAATTTTGGGTTGGAACTAAGAAAAATTCCATTAGTAAGAATTCTCCAATAATATTGTAATTATTCATCATATGATATCTCATACAGATTTTTCAAAGTGAGTTCTAGAAACTGTTGGCACTGTGACGTTAAACAGAACTCAACTCTTTCATTATACAGCTGAACCAAGACTTGACACACCACCCAGCCCCATGCTTAACAATCAGGATAAATGATGAGGTGACCAAATTCCAAAGCACGGCATTGTGACTTTCTGAGGCAAAGCTCACTTTGAAAAATCCATGGTGCAGACAAGAGTTTGAGTTCCTCACCTCCCCTCTCATCATTCTAGTTGTGATGGGACTGCATGTAATGTTGATAATGTGATTATGGAGAGAGAAACTAACAAGCACCATGGTTTGCCCTCTGTGTTTACAAAAACAAACCTATGGGATAAAGACTGGCAATTCCAGCTTTACAGTTGGTATAGAAGGTGGATCCATTTAAGTGCAGAACTGGGGACTGCCTTGTATGTTTATTTTATATTGAAAAGACATCTCATGCTAAACCAGAAAGCATTCAGTTTAGTAAATAGAAGAAAGTAGACAGAGTTGGGTGATGATTTAAAAAAACAAATCCTTAGACTGTTGAGTTTCCTCACAGCAAAAGAGGTGTGTGTGTGTGTGTGTGTGTGTGTGTGTGTGTGTGTGTGTGTGCGCGCGCGTGCGCGCATGGGGAATGCAAGAAGGTTTGGACCATAAGAGATGGAGGGAACAAAACCTCACAAAGACGGCTTTTAATGAAGAAATGGGTCAGGATATGTTAGCTGAGCTAATTCAGGTTATCATCCTGGCTGCTGATTTACTATGCAAAGGTATCAGCTTCAGAGAGCCCAGAAATAGATCAGTAAATAGTAGTAACTAAAGGTTATAAATCCTTAAGGAGCCATTTCTATGTGAGAGGGATTTTTTGGATGTCTTTTTCTCTTCTCTTTCTTTTGATTTTTCTTCTTTGCTTGTTTTTGTTGGCAGTGCAAACTGTTGTGGAGAGCTGCATTTAGAAGTAAAGCTTAATGTACTGCAGCATAATTTAAATAAGAGCTGAATAACAGCTCCCTTATATTTGTTCACAGGCTTAACCCAAACTCTTTCCTTACTTCCCGTCAAAAATATCACTGTGTTCCAAGTAAATGAAAATTTGTTTGCCATTTCTAAAGCTAATGAGACCTATTTGTGGGTTG
Organism: Homo sapiens; assembly: GCF_000001405.40. Taxonomy (NCBI): domain Eukaryota; kingdom Metazoa; phylum Chordata; class Mammalia; order Primates; family Hominidae; genus Homo; species Homo sapiens. Next base: position 17,724,296 of record NC_000023.11, read on the forward strand.
CAGGAGTTGGCTTTGACAGAGAGGCTAGTATACGCTGCTCTCTGGTTCATTCACAATCGGTACTACAGCGGAGACGAAAATTGAGGAGGAGGAAAACCATCTCGGGTATCCCCAGAAGAGTTCAACAAGAAATAGGTGTGATATCAAAAAATGTTAATGGTTAACATTCCTCCGCCTAGTACAGATGATAGGGAGATGAAATAGAAAAATGATTAAACATTTTAACTTGTAGAGGTTTTAAAATGGTGTCTATTTGTTTTGTATTCAGCAAGCCAGGTGGTATTACTTTTTAACTCTTTATTCTTGACTGTGAAGATTTGACCTTATAGATTTAGGCATATACATTCAGGTCTTACGGCTGAAATGTAATACTTAGCTGATTTTTGAAAGTTTTATTAAGGTAGAAATTGTGAATAAAAAGTAGCAGGAGTCAATGAAAGTTTTCTTTTTGGAAAATTGTAACTTAATTTAAGAGAGATATACTTTCATGTCATTAATTATTTTAAAAGGTAAATTCCAGGCATATGCAATGAAATATTGAATATTGATAATATGATACCTTTGGTGACAATGTTTCTGTTTAGTGGATTTAAAATATCTCTGCCTATGATTTTTAAAAAATTATTAGGGTATCATCTCTTGCAAATAAGATTTTTATTTCTAATAATGAGACCTATGATTTTTATTTCATCATGTTTATATTACAAAATAAAAATGAAGAGTAGTGGCCAAAAAGATAAAATGTACTTTAGTTTTTAAAAGTAGTCACTTATTGTGGCAAATTAACGTGATAGTGAAGAGAGGGATAATTCACAAAAGACATAAAAGCATATCTTCTCTTGGTATGTATATATACATATATGAGGGGGACGTGTATATACACCCTAAAGCATTTTAACTCTCACCTAATTCTATATATTGATTTTTTTTCTGTTAAAGAAAAAAAAAAACAGCTCTAACCTGCCAGCCCACAGATCTACAGACATAGCTCAGAATGTCTGTTGGTCTGCTGATATAGAAAATATCTCACTGTGCTTTCCATGTGCCCTAGATTCTGATGAATCACCAGTGGCCAGGGAAAGGAATGTGATTGTGCACACAAACCCAGACCCCTCCAACACTGTCAATAGGATATCCGGAACCAGGGACTCTGAGTGCCAAACCGAGGATATTCTGATTGCTGCCCCATCCAGAAGGAGAATCAGAGCTCAAAGGGGTCAAAGCATTGCAGCTTCCCTTTCTCATTCTGCTGGCAACATTTCTGCCCTAGCAGACAAAGGTGACACCATGTTTACTCCTGCAGTGAGCAGCCGCACAAGATCTCGGAGCCTTCCCCGGGAAGGTAATAGAGGTGGGGATGCTGAGCCCAAAGTTGGCGCTAAACCCTCAGCATATGAAGAGGGAGAGTCTTTTGTGGGTGACCATGAAAGAACCCCTAATGATTTCAGTGAGGCTCCAAGCAGCCCGAGTGCCCAGGACCACCAGCCTACTTTGGGCCTGGCCTGCTCTCAACATCTTCACAGCCCCCAGCACAAATTAAGTGAGAGGGGAAGGTCACGTCTGTCCCGAATGGCTGCTGACTCTGGCAGCTGTGACATCTCCTCCAACTCAGACACGTTTGGGAGCCCCATCCACTGCATCTCCACGGCTGGCGTCCTCCTTAGCAGCCACATGGACCAGAAAGATGACCACCAGTCATCCAGTGGCAACTGGAGTGGGAGCAGCTCCACGTGCCCCTCGCAGACCTCAGAAACCATCCCTCCTGCAGCTTCTCCTCCACTCACTGGCTCTTCACACTGTGACTCGGAGTTGTCACTAAACACAGCCCCTCATGCCAATGAGGATGCCAGTGTTTTCGTGACAGAGCAATACAATGACCACTTGGATAAAGTGAGAGGCCATCGGGCAAACTCCTTTACCTCCACTGTTGCAGACCTGCTGGATGATCCCAACAACAGCAACACAAGTGACAGTGAGTGGAATTACCTACACCACCACCATGATGCCTCCTGCCGCCAGGATTTTAGTCCTGAGCGTCCCAAGGCAGACAGCCTGGGCTGCCCAAGCTTCACAAGCATGGCCACTTATGACAGCTTTCTGGAAAAGTCTCCATCAGACAAAGCGGACACTAGCTCTCACTTTTCAGTAGACACGGAAGGATACTATACCTCCATGCACTTTGACTGTGGTCTCAAAGGTAATAAGAGCTATGTCTGTCACTATGCAGCCCTGGGCCCAGAGAATGGCCAGGGTGTAGGGGCTTCCCCTGGTCTTCCAGATTGTGCCTGGCAGGACTACTTAGACCACAAGAGGCAGGGAAGACCAAGCATCTCTTTCAGGAAACCAAAGGCAAAGCCGACCCCACCTAAACGTAGCTCATCATTGAGGAAGTCTGATGGAAACGCAGATATTTCTGAGAAGAAAGAACCAAAGATAAGCAGTGGTCAGCACCTGCCTCACAGTTCCAGGGAAATGAAGCTGCCTCTTGATTTCGCCAACACGCCTTCTCGAATGGAAAACGCCAATCTTCCCACCAAGCAGGAACCTTCTTGGATAAACCAGAGTGAACAAGGCATTAAGGAACCTCAGTTAGATGCTTCGGATATTCCACCATTCAAAGATGAAGTTGCCGAATCCACACACTATGCAGACCTCTGGCTCCTAAATGACTTGAAAACAAATGATCCTTATAGATCTCTATCTAATTCAAGCACCGCTACGGGTACCACAGTCATTGAATGCATCAAATCTCCAGAGAGCTCTGAATCCCAAACATCACAATCAGAATCAAGAGCCACCACCCCATCTCTTCCTTCTGTTGACAATGAGTTTAAACTGGCTTCACCAGAAAAGCTGGCTGGCTTGGCATCTCCATCAAGTGGCTATTCAAGCCAGTCTGAAACGCCAACATCCTCTTTCCCTACAGCTTTCTTTTCAGGTCCATTGTCTCCCGGAGGTAGCAAAAGAAAACCTAAAGTCCCAGAAAGAAAATCCTCACTACAGCAACCCTCTTTAAAAGATGGAACTATATCACTGAGTAAAGACCTTGAACTTCCAATTATACCTCCTACCCATCTTGATCTAAGTGCTCTTCATAATGTCTTGAACAAACCATTCCACCACCGTCATCCACTGCATGTTTTTACTCATAATAAGCAGAACACAGTAGGAGAAACACTGAGGTCGAATCCTCCACCGTCCCTTGCAATTACACCAACGATCCTGAAATCTGTTAACCTTAGGTCCATCAACAAGTCTGAAGAAGTTAAGCAAAAAGAAGAAAACAATACAGATCTCCCTTATTTAGAGGAAAGCACACTCACAACGGCTGCCTTGTCTCCAAGTAAGATTAGGCCGCATACAGCAAATAAATCAGTATCTCGTCAATACTCCACTGAAGACACCATACTGTCCTTTTTAGACTCTTCTGCAGTTGAGATGGGACCAGATAAACTACATTTAGAAAAAAACTCTACTTTTGATGTGAAGAATCGCTGCGATCCAGAAACCATAACATCAGCTGGTAGCAGTCTTCTAGATTCAAATGTCACAAAAGACCAAGTGCGTACAGAGACTGAGCCTATTCCAGAAAACACGCCAACCAAAAACTGTGCTTTTCCCACAGAAGGATTTCAGAGGGTCTCTGCTGCCCGCCCAAATGATTTGGATGGTAAAATAATACAATATGGACCTGGTCCAGACGAAACTCTAGAACAGGTACAGAAGGCACCCTCTGCAGGTCTGGAGGAAGTTGCACAACCTGAATCTGTGGATGTAATCACATCTCAGTCAGACTCACCAACTAGAGCAACAGATGTAAGCAATCAATTTAAGCATCAATTTGTTATGAGCCGCCACCATGACAAAGTGCCTGGTACTATCAGCTATGAATCGGAGATAACATCTGTAAATTCATTCCCTGAAAAATGTTCCAAGCAGGAAAATATTGCTTCAGGTATTTCAGCCAAAAGTGCCTCTGATAACAGCAAAGCAGAGGAGACCCAAGGAAATGTGGATGAGGCTTCATTGAAAGGTCAGTCACTGATAACTTTGTCATAAAGGAAATGTGTCTCATGGCACTTCCTGGAATTTTTTCTTATGTTCCCAATAATACGGTACAGCCCTGGGTGTTGGTTTCCCTCCACTATTTCTTTGCACTTATTAAAACAATTGAGATAAAAGCTTTTGTTACTGGGTGAGTAAGCTTTGACAGGTATCTCTCTCATTTTTAAAAAATGGCAGCAAGGTAATTTCTGTTTGTTTGTTTGTTTGTTTGTTTGTTCCCTGAGTCAGTGAAGTACAGTAGCGTGCTGGGTAACTTCCTCTTAAAGATTCTTCTGTTCTTATTTTAAGAATCATCACCGAGTGATGACTCCATCATTTCACCACTTAGTGAAGACTCCCAAGCTGAAGCAGAGGGTGTGTTCGTGTCTCCAAACAAACCTCGAACAACTGAGGATTTATTTGCAGTCATTCACAGGTGAGGCAACATTACCAAGTCCCCCAAAACAAAAGGTACAACAAAGGTTTTGCCCCTTCAGGTACTTCTCACAAATGCAAATACAGGAAAGCTTTTTGTAATTGTAATACATTCAGCAAAAACAAAAGCAAGCAAAGAATAATTTTTCCAAATCAAGTTGATAGACTGATATGCAAGTTGGGAAATAGGATCTTTATATAGAGTTTGATAGACCTCGATTGAGAGACTTTTGTAAGAGTGGCTTTATTTTTCCCCAGGAAAAGACATTCTGGAACAAGTTTTTATGTGAAAACAATCTGTGGTTAAGTGACTTGGAGTGAAAGCTCAAACTCTAGTGTAATCTCTGACTTTTGAATACTTTCTTGAACCTAAAAAATATGATCAAAGCTGTAGTCATACACCAGCAGAGACAAACAGAAGTTGATTCACCATGGATGCACCAAAATCTCAGAAATCACCACTAAAGAACTTATTCATGTAACCAAATACCACCTCTTCCCCCAAAACTTATTGAAATAAAAAATAAAAAACTCACATTGTACCCTATAACTATATACAATTATTTGTCAGCTTAAAATAAAATAAAACTTAGAGAACACACACACACACAAAGTTGATCACAAAACAGTCTCAAGTTTGAGAAAAGACAATACGTGTTCCTGTCCATTTTATAGCTCAGAACAAGTAATAATTTCTCTGTTTTTCTTTCTTCTTAGAACTTAAATTTCTTTAATAGTACTGGCCTTCATCCCCAAAATTAATGCCCATATTCCATGAATACAGGTCTTTTGGGTTGCTTTTCCAGGACAGTGTTGTGTCCATGCTGCAAAGGCATATTTCCTCATCTGCCCCCATGAGCCCTTGTGATCCATGGTCCATATTTGCAAAAATTATTCCTTATAGCTAATGACCAAAGAACAGAACAGGAACTAGCCCTTGGACACCTAATCTACATATAACTGAGCTAGCCAATCATGATTTGCCATGCCTCCTCCTTTCACAAACACAACTGTCTTCTTAGACCTCGGGAACCTAGATGGAACTCCCAAGAGATACAACTTGGGGATTGTCTTTTCTACCTCATAAAGTTATCATTTTTGAAACAAATTCATCGTAAGCAGCTTACAATCTTTTTCTCCTGGAATTCTACTTTTTATAGGAATTTCTGTTTTCTGTTGATGTGGTTCTCTCATAAAGAAGGAGTACTGCTGTTCAACAATTGTTTTAAAAGGAGCCAATCAGAAACACCTTCTATGTATACCTTAGCAGGCATACTTCTCTACTCAGAGGGTGAAGAACCATTAGTTTCTTTTCCTTCACCCCTGTGCCTAGTCTAAGCTCTGATTATATTTCCCTCACCCCCACAGTTTATCTTCAATCCCAGGAAAAATTACTAAACTGCTATGTAAGTTAAAAAGTTACTCCCAAAGGACCAAATGCTAGTGTATGGAATAGTGGACAGGACGTAAATAGTGGGGTCAGAAAGACCTGGATTTGAATCCCAACTCTGCCACTTCCTATGCAGTCTTGAGTAAGTTAAAACCTCTGGACCTACTCCCTTATTGCACATGGGAATGCCTATAGCTCACGTATTTGATTTTGATGATAACATTTTTTGTGTTTAGAATATGGTAGGTGCTAAAAGCCATTGTTAGTTTGAAAGCCCTAACTTAGTGGAGTGCCAGACACTGCCATATACAAGATATCAACCACAGAGGTTTCTGTGAACCAAAATCAAGCATATCTACACTTGTGAAGTTCACATTTTCTCTACCATATGAATCTTTAAGTTGATGAAAGTGCATGCTGCCTATCAATGAACTGAGTCATACTGAAGATCCACCAAATTTATGCCTGCTGATTTACCAAAGAAAATCAATAATATGATGATGGGAGTCAAGGTTCAATAGATGTATTGAGTTTGGTAATCTTAGACTTGCATTTGTGCAGGGTTTACTTATTTATCTATTTACTTGTTTATTTACATCACAGCAAAAAGAATTATTTTGTTTTCTTGCGAGCTTACAGTATACAAAGCTTTAAGAGCTCCAGAGATGGTCTGGGATTTCAATTCCCCACAGAGAGCTGGCTTACTGCTTAATATGCTCTTGATGCTCTTAGGAAGCTATAGGAAATGATACTTGCAGCCCAAGATGAATTGACTTAAAACGTCATTTAATTATGTTTTTATATGGAGGGATTTTAAAAGGTAGAATAGTATAATGTCTGCTGACATATCCATCATCCAGGATTATCAACTGTCAAACTAGGGCCAATCCTGTCCCACCCACACCTCCATCCACTTGCTTTCTCTGGTATTATTTGGAAGCCAATCCCAGACATCAGATCATTTCATCTGTATTGCAGAGACAGAGTTAATAAGAAAAAGTTATAGTCTTTCACCCCCTGGAACCAGAAGTATAGTTTAGTTAGCAGTATAGTTTCTTCCTTTTTTTTTTTTTTTTTTTTTTTTTTTTGAGGCAGAGTCTTGCTCTGTCGCCCAGGCTGCTGGAGTGCAATGGCGTGATCTCAGCTCACTGCAACCTCCGCCTCCCGGGTTCAAGTGATTCTCCTGCCTCAGCTTCCTGAGTAGCTGGGACTACAGGCATGCTCCATCATGCCCGGCTAATTTTTGTATTTTTAGTAGAGACGGGGTTTCACCATGTTGGCCAGGATGGTCTCGAACTCCTGACCTCAAGTGATCTGCCTATCTCGGCCTACCAAAGTGCTGGGATTACAGGTGTGAGCCACTGCGCCTGGCTGTTAGCAGTATAGTTTCTTAAACTTTTACAAAGTATCCTCTAGAACCTCTAGCCTCCACATTAGCCATTATCTGAAATGATCATCTCTAGAACCTAATTTGTGTCCTGGTTATCAGAGAATTTCTCTCAGACTGTGGGTGCTACAAGGACAAGGAACATATCTTACTTTTCATCTCTATAGCCCTAATGCTTAGTATCCCATCATATAGGACAGGCTCAAAATGCACTTTAGACAGATGTGTGAATGCGACTGAATACTTCAGTTTCATAAAAACGTGAACTGAGTGAGATGTTTGCCCCATTTTCTCCTTTTCTCAAAGATCCAAGAGGAAAGTACTTGGAAGAAAAGATTCCGGGGACATGTCTGTTCGAAGCAAATCGAGAGCTCCCCTCAGCAGTAGCAGCAGCAGCGCCAGTTCCATCACTTCACCCAGCAGTAATGTGACAACCCCCAACAGCCAGAGGTCTCCTGGTCTCATATACCGAAATGCCAAAAAGTCCAACACATCCAATGAAGAGTTTAAGCTGTTACTGCTCAAGAAAGGCAGTCGCTCAGATTCTAGTTACCGCATGTCTGCCACTGAGATCCTGAAGAGCCCCATACTGCCCAAACCTCCTGGGGAGCTCACAGCAGAGTCCCCTCAGAGCACCGATGATGCCCATCAGGGGTCACAAGGGGCTGAGGCATTGTCCCCACTCTCTCCATGCTCCCCACGAGTTAATGCAGAAGGCTTTTCCTCGAAGAGCTTTGCCACCTCAGCATCAGCAAGGGTTGGACGTTCTCGGGCCCCTCCTGCAGCCAGCAGCAGCCGCTACAGTGTCCGCTGCCGGCTGTACAATACGCCCATGCAGGCAATCTCCGAGGGAGAGACGGAAAATTCTGACGGGAGCCCACATGACGACCGTTCCTCCCAGAGTTCAACATAGACTGCCTGTACCAGGCTGCCTGGCAAAGGCCAAAACCCTTACTCACATGAGGATGGAGGAACAGAACAGAGGACTTGGGAAAAGTCTCAACTTGATGGGGTAGCATCACTGCTAAGCAATGAATGAATTTCTAAATACAGTATGTGCTGGGTAAACAGAAAGTGGTTTAGACATTCTTGATTAGTTTCCATATTTTAAGTAGCTGCAGTCTTTCATGTTTTTCTTTAGCATAGTTTGATTTACGCAATCTCCTTCCTTGTGAAAATAGAGGATACAAAATTGTCTAATTTTCATGACACCTAGAAAACGTTTTCCCAGAGCTGCCTATTCAGAAACTAAAGCCCTCACTGTCATTATTCTTTAAGAAGATGAAATTACTCTGGATGTTTGGTATTTTTTTACATTAAAACAAACTAAAGCAAAATTTAGAAGAAAGAACTACACATATGTAAATACCATATTTTTGATAAAAATGTGTAAATAGATTTATCAATGATGAGTGGACATGTGGTCAATTATCTACTGCACACCAACTGTTTATAGAATACACAAAAATAAAATGTAATAACTGTATTCTGTGAATACCATTTTCATATCAAATGCCATATTTAAATGTCCACCAATATGATTTCTGAGTGGTAAACCTCAAATATGAATTTTAAACTGGTGAACTAAAGGAAATCTTGAGGTCATATACTGAAATATGAATAAATTAAAATAATGAATTCAGATCTAATCATTTTTATGACAAATTGCAGCACCAAACAAACTAATAGCAACCCATGGCTGTGATTTGTTGTGTGGTAATTTGGACAGAATGAAAAGCATGCTTTTGATTTTTTTTTTAATCAGTGAGAGAAGTCATCATTCTCAACACAAAGCCCTGAACAACAGCATTTGACAGTGTCCTTTAGATTTTAATTTTTTCAATGGATTGCTTTAAAGAGAATGAGTAGGGAAAATAGTAGTTAATTTTAGGTTATGTTTTATATTAGGCTACTGGGGACATAAACGGTCATAACTAATGACTGTAATCATTAAACTCCTTAAACAGTTTAGAAATTAGCTCCAGGTTCTTAAACTAACAAAAATAAAACCTAAGCATGCCACAGAGCTATTGATTAATCAGTAAGTACCTGTAATGAGTTTTCAGTGAAGCTTTCTCTCTGTGCTGATGAGATTCATGCTACCTAAAAATTAACAGAAATGACACTGTGAACAATGTAGTTGGAAAATAGGTATGTGTATATGCATTATTTATACTCATTGTTAAACTGGGAATGGGGAACAGCTCTGGTTCACAATACTACATACAACTGAGTTTTTGTCTGGTTTTACTATAGTGTCTGCTTGATGGCAAAAGGGGAGGGTGGAGGGTGGGAGAGGAAATGTCAGGGCATGTGCTCTGATAAAATAAAGGCAGGGAAACAAGCTGAATTACTTGAAATTACTTGAATTTTCTTGTCTTAAAACTGAAAAAAAAATGTAGTTACACGTTAAAATCTGCAAATGGTTTTTACACCTCTGATTTTAACATGAACTTATACTAATGTTTGGAATCTTATGTCAGAAATATAAGCAGCTATGTACTTAGAATAGGTTTTGAATGGGAGAGGTAGAACAGAGAGAGAATTAAGAAGGGATCTGACTTATAAAAGACTAGAATGTGATTAGAGTGATAGAACATACCAATGTTACCAAGAAATTGACAAGCTGCTGGCTTTAAGCTTATGCAAGTGGTAGTTGGGAAAGTAGGAGGTGTGGAAGAGGGTTTGCATTTTGGATTAATTCATGCAAAATGAAGGAGGAAGCCTGGTCTAAGAAGATACTGTCTTTCAATAGAAATGATTTCTAAACTGCTACAGATTAAGAATAGATAATCTGATTGCTGTTGTTTTGTTTGTTTGGAAAGAAAAAAAATGTCTGGCTTCTTCTACTATTTGTTTTCACTACCAAACTGTGTTACTAAATTTCTTGTCATCCTTGTATGTAAAATGGGTGCTGGGGGTGGAGGGGTATAAGAGGAGGGAGAGTCAGAGAGAGTGTGTATGGGTGTGTGTGAGTGTGAGTGTGTGTGTACGCACACACACTGGGGATAGATAAGCTACCTGGTAAAGGGTTTGAACATTTACAAAATGTCACACTTTTTCTTAAAAGAAAAATATTTTGGGGTTTGAATAAAATGGACCACCATTTCTCATTGGAACCCATTAATTAAGAAAACCAGCATGGTTTGACACCACATGGGAACATGAATAAATCTGTCTCATGATTTGAAAAGTACACCTTGCAAAGTTTTAAAAATAAAGTTTTTAGGCAAATGCGATAAGAAACCGTCATTTCCAGTCACAGTAGGCGATCTTTCGTAATTTCATAAAAGCAGTTCGTTTGCAGTATGGCTTTTGTGTAGTTAGGGGTTTTTTAAGTGTGAAGAAAGGTATGTGGGCTTTAAAAGTGATTCTAAATCTTGAATAGAAAACACATGAATTGGCTTTAATAAAAATGTCACCTTTTTATTATTGACATTAAGTAATGGTACCATATATTTTTTAAAATACATATTGACTTGAATTGTGAGGCAATAAGATACCTTCTATATGTAATGATCACAGAACTAACCCTTATAATATAGTTTTACTTATTTTGTTTACTCTAAAAATCTATAGCAGAGTTTCTCTATTTTATATTTCATAGATTTAAAAAACCCAAATAAAGATGGATTTAAAATTCACTGTGGAAAAGAGTATTGAGTTACAAACTGAGAAGAAAAAGCAGGAAGTTCCCTAATAATCTGGAATATTCTACATGGCTTGATTACATAGCAAACAAGACCAAGATTTAGGGCTGTCTTTAACATCACTGCCGTCTTGAAGCAGGGTACACACGTTAGGTATTGTGAAGAACATCAATCCGAACTTTTCTTCTGTTGTTTGCACTGATGCGATTTTTTGTTCTTTTATGTTTATACAACGTATCTATGTTGTGTAGGGGAAATTTTTTCATTTTTTAAAAATTCTACTTTGGTTTTGTTGTTGTTTTGATTTGTTTTTGGCTAAGTAGAGGACATGGACTAGTTGTAGCAAACAGAACATGCTGTTTGCTCTTGCCAAAGGTCAGTGAGTGAGTGCATTTGCTGCAGTGGTGGCACGTAGAGAACTAGATGGTAATAAAGATTTAAAACTATGAAGAAGGTTACAGTGTAACTATTTTGGTACTAGAACCAGTTCATGCTGGCCGAAACGACAATGGTTTATGGACTTGCATCCATTTTGTATTTTTGTAATATTTGTAAATATGAACTTTTTAAATTGCTGCAAAGATGGTTTCTTTTGTAAGATGTTTTCAACGTTTACATTCAATCCAAGCCTTTGTATATTTTAGAGCTGTGCAACACTTTAAGTCTTGTATTTATTTTTAGTAAAAATGGTGACAGTTTCATTGTGAACCCCTCTCAAAAAAAATGTATCAGAAAAGTTTGATTACCTAGAAAGTGTGTATAGAAACTGCAAATAAACGTGACTGCAATTAAACAACCGGTTTCTCTCTTCACTGTTACGTAATTGATTTCTTGGGGCTTCGCAACAGTGTTTTACAGGCAACAGGACATAAGGGCAGGGTCTGTTATGGCAAAAGTAGGAGCAAAAAGAACATAGACCAGCCTGTCCAACATGGTGAAACCCGTCTCTACTAAAAATACAAAAATTAGCTGGGCATGGTGGCAGACGCCTGTAATCCCAGCTACTCTGGAGGCTGAGGCAGGAGAATCGCTTGAACCCAGGAGGCAGAGGTTGCAGTGAGCCGAGATCACACCGCTACACTCCAGCCTGGGCAACAAGAGCAAAACTCCGTCTCAAACAAAAACAAAAACAAAAAAAAAACATATACTATATCTATAATGGGCTTTAATCTAGCTTCGTATTTGAGAGGAAAAATGATACATTTCCAACGTCCAGTATACTTTCTTTGTAGCTCCTCTCTGGGCCAAGAAAAGATGTATAGCTTTACTTTGAAATATCTGCCTGCTTTGCTTCTGATAATTACTCAGACTGTGTCTCCTTCCCAAGATGAGCAGCCTCGATATAAGTATGTAAGACTATATGCCACTAGATGATGTCACATAGCCTTTATTACAATAGCAAAATTCTATGCCAGGTACTGTTCTAAGTGCTTTGCATACATTAACTCATGTAGTCCCCATATTATACCCATTTTACAGATGGGGAAACCGAAGCACAAAGCGGTTACTTGGCTTGCCTAAGGCCATAGGAGGACTGTGTTGGAGCTGGGGGTCCAATCCAGTAAATCTGCCTTCAAGGTCTGCGTTAGTTCCCCAGTCCAACTTGTGGGTGCTGGAGACTGGAAATATCTTGCCCGCCCCCCACCCTGGCCCCCCTCGCCCTTCCTACCAGACCTGGCTCAGGGCAACTGCTAAGGCCCCGCCCCTCTCCTCATTCCAAGTCAATCACTGGCGTGCGTCCAGGAAACCCAGTTTACGACGACGTCTCTGGTGCGTCACAGAGCGCGGGGGAGGGGCGGGATCACATTAAAAAAAAAAAAAAGCTTCGGACACCCCAACAACGAAGGGGGGACACCACGTCCCTAACTACAACGCCACTAGAAGGGTTGCGCATGCGCGCCAGCCTCCTGCGCAGCCGCAGAAACCACTCAGCGCGCGAGTCTCTGAAAGGCCTAACGTCCATTTTCAATCCTGCGGGTCTTGCGAAGGAAAACCTGAGGTAAGAGGCCCCGCCCCACAGCCATCTCCTCAGCAAATTCCCGCCCTCGGCCCCGCCCCACAGCTATCTCCTCAGCAAATTCCCGCCCTCGGCCCCGCCCCACAGCCATCTCCTTAGCAAATTCCCGCCCTCACCCAAGGACTGGGAGAGCACCCGCGGATTGGCCGATCAACGGTGACGCCTGTCAGTGGCCAGACTCCGATTGGTCAGCGGGTAGTCCCGCCCCCCCCCCCCCCCCCCCCCCCCCCAACCGCGAGTGTGGGAATTCGGCGTCGCGGGAGCTCTCTGATCCACTCAGGGGTCAGGGCATCACTGGTCTCGCGTGCGCGTGACCAGGCCCGGTTTCCGGTGCCAGGACCTTTCCGAAGCGTCGAGTGGCCTAACGGTCACAGCTGTCGCCCATCGGAGAGGCAGGACTACTGCGAGCAGTTTTACCGCGACCTCCGGAGGCCGGCGTGACAGGCTCTGTCACTAAAATAGGTCTGTCCAGTCGTACTTTTTCCTCACCTTGAACTTTCCGTCACGGGAATACACGATTTGGCTTAGGGGCCGGGGCTCTCCTGAGGAGAGAGGGTTTGCTTTGCGGGGAAGAGCGAGTCTTGACTTCGCAGCCTCCAATTTCAGCCGCGGTGTGGAGGGGGGTGCTTTGGGTGGTCCCCACAGCCTTTCCGGAGTGCCCGCGCGTGTAAGCTTTTGAGATTTGACAATTTGTGAAGTGCTTGGTGCTGACTTTCGGGGACGACAGGATCCTTTTACAGTCATTCTCCTGTCAGGGGAGGCAGGTGGGGAGCGAGGAAGGATCCAGATTTCGTTAACAGAGCTTTGAGTTTAAAGAATTGACAAACTCCCGAGTTGATTTCCTGTCAGACCTTTTGCGGTTGAGACATAGAGTCTGAGGCTTTGATGGTAACCGCGTTTGATTTAGAGACAGACTGTGCAGCTTCGCTGTTTTATTGTAAATACGTAAATGAGGAGGAAGAGAAAAACGTAGGGTGTTGGGAGCAGAGGCGGGAGGCGGGAGATCCTGCGAAATCGGAGTCCCTTTGGAGTGGGGGAGGCCGTCGAGGCGTGCGAGGGCCCGGCCCCCTTGCCGCGTGGTCGTTAACAGGAAAGGCCCTGATTTGGTTGGTGGCGGATCGCGTCCCTCCCTCCTCTCCCCGGCTCTCCCCGAGTGCGGCAAACTGGCTTCAGGTTGACTAAAAGATAGCGATTTTCCAAGCAGCTTTGCCGCGCGGTGTTTTCTAAAGCGGGGCGTGGGCTGGGTGCCCTTTTGGGCCTCACTTGTCCGGCCTGCGGCAAGTGCTGGGCGATGGGATGCGGTTCTGGCGGCAAAGGAAGGGCTGCCTTTGAGAGTCCCGCAGGAAGGTTTAGAAAGTGATTGTTCTTAAAACAAACAGAGCGTTTTGCTGTGTGTTCCTCAAAGTGGTCCCGGTGGGAGTGGCGCCTCATTGTGAGCTGTGCCTTATCTGATGAATTAATGGCAGGTGAAAGCCTTGCGCCTCCGGAGCGAATATTTACGACTTTTGAAAATGTCTTTAATGTCTAAAAAAAGTCTTTTAGAAAATCAGACGGCCTCTTGTTCTTATGTTATCAAGAGTTTAGATTTCTGTGGTAAATATAAGTGAGTTTCATTTTAAGTAAACTCATTTTACGAGATTTGAGATTTGAAAGTGAAATTAATTAATTTTGCACAATCTAGCCTTGGGCTCTGAGAAAATGTTGTAAAGCTGTAATTAATCTTGTGGGACGAAGTGAAAAGGAACTAAAGTGTATGGTGTAATGAATAGTTTAAATTTCTGTGGTAAATACAAGTGAGTTTCATTTTAAGTAAACTCATTTTTATGGGATTTGAGATTTAAAAGTGAAATTAATTAATTTCGCACAATCTAGTCATGGTTGGGCTCAGAAAATGTTGTAAAGTTGTGATTTATCTTATGGAAAGAAGTGAAAAGGAATTAAGGTATATGGTGTAATTAAGAGTTTAAATTTCTGTGGTAAATGCAAGTGAGTTTCATTTTAAGTAAACTCATTTTTACGGGATTTGAGATTTAAAAGTGAAATTAATTCATTTTGCACAGTGTAGTCATGGTTGGGCTCTGAGAAAATGTTGTAAAGCTGAAATTATTTATCTTGTGGGAAGAAGTGAGAAGAAACTAAAATGTGTGGTATTATCAAGAGTTTAGATTTCCGGGGTAAATATAAATGAGTTTCCTTTAAACTCATTTTTGTGGAATTTGAGGTTTAAAAGTGAAATTAATTTTGTAGAATCTAGTCATGGTTGGGCTCTGAGAAAATGTTGTAAAGCTGTAATTTATCTTGTGGGAAAAAGTGAAAAGGAACTTAAATTTATGGTGTTATCAAGAATTGGCCAGGCGCGGTGGCTCACACCTGTAATCCCAGCACTTTGGGAGGCCGAGGTGGGCAGATCACTTGAGGTCAGAAGTTCGGGACCAGCCTGGCCAACATGGTGAAACCCAGTCTTTACTAAAAGTACAAAAATTAACTGGGCATGGTGGTGCAAGCCTGTTACGCTAACTACTCGGGAGGCTGAGGGAGGAGAATTGCTTTAACCCGGGAGGCAGAGGTTGCAGTAAGCCGAGATCATGCCACTGCACTCCAGCCTGGGTGACAGAGTAAGACTCTGTCTCAAAAAAAAAAAAAAAAAAAAAAGAAATTTAGATTTCTGTGGTAAATATAAATGAGTTTCATTTTAAGTAAACTCATTTTGTGGGATTTGAGATTTAAAAATGAAATTAATTTTGCACATTCTAGTCATGGTTGGGCTCTAAGGCAATGTTGTAAAGCTGTAATTGTTTGCCTTATGGGAAGAAGTGAAAAGGAATTAAAATTTATGGTGTGTCTACTATGAACCAGGCATGATGCTGAGAGTTTAACTGTGTAATTTTTGGCCTAAATAGCCCTGTGAAGTAGATATTATTCCAACTTTACAGGTTAGAAAATTTGAGGCACAGAGAGGTGAAATATTTGCCTAAAGTGAAACGGCAAATTTGGCAATTTGGACTTGGATTCAAGTGTTTATAACTAAAGCCCAGCTCCTTGCATCATACCCTGGTACCTAAAAGACATAAAAACTCACTTCAGGTGCAATGTGAATGAAAATGACGTTATGACCCAGGCTTGTTGTCTATGTGCTCCTTGAGAAATAGTTCTGTTGGATAGATGCGGTCAATACTCAAAAGCCCTTGCTATCTTTGCCATGCATTACTCTAAGCACTTGACATGTATTAATTTAATCCTCACGATTCCGTGAGGTATGTGCTATTATCATTCCCATTTTACAGACAAAAAAAAAAAAGGATTTAAGTAAGTTGTTCAACTTACTTACACAGCTAGTATGTGGGGGAGGTGGGACCCAAACCCAGGTATTCTGACCACAAGCCTAAGGTCTTAATGCTGTTTGATGCTGCCTCTCATGTAACCAGATATGTGTGACAGTTGCCGTAGAAGTATTAAAGTGTGAGTGTTATTGTAGTTCAGGGAAAGCCGTGTCACATCCACATGGGATGATCATTGGCATGGTGCCCTTGCTTTTTGGAGGTGAAACTTGAAGTAAGCCTTGAAGTTGAATAGATTCTCCTAGGCGGAGACACAACAGGGTATTATGGACGGAGGGCATAACAGGAGCGAGAAGCTCAAAGAGTGAAAGATTGGTGTTGATTTGTATATGTACCAGAGATGTAAACATGTTGGGAGTCCAGTGGTGGACTCACTGCACAGTGCTCCTGTGTCTAACTACAGCCAAATTTTGACAACATTGTTATTAATCCAAATAGGGAGTTCTCTGTTCTCTGGATGTAAGAGCTTGTAACCATTGTCTGCAAACTTGCCTGAAACAGGCTACACAGTAAATATTTTAGGCTTAGAACTGCTGTCCCCAGTCTTTTTGGCACCAGGAACCGGTTTTGGTTTTGTGGAAGACAATTTTTCCACAGATGCAGGGACGGGGGAGTGCTAGCGGGGTATAGTTTCCTAATGAAACTGTTTCATAAGGAGAGTGCAACCTAGATCCCTCGCATGTGCAGTTCACAATAGGGTTTGTGCTCCTGTGCGAATCTAATACTGCAGCTCATCTGACAGGAGGCGGAGCTCAGGCGATAATCCTTGCTAGCTCCTGCTGTGCTCCTAACAGGCCAAGGACCAGTACCAGGCGGTTGCCCAGGGGTTGGGGACCCCTGGCTTAGAGTAAAGGGGCAAGTGGTAAGAAGTGACCTCTGCGCAGTGGGCGGGGTCCTGATTATGGAAGGACCTTGCAGGCCATGGTAGGAGTTTGGATTTTACTGTGTTATTGGTAGCAAAGGTATACCAGGTGATTTTAATAATGAAGTAAAGTGCATAGAGTGTGGTGGTAGACTGCACCATTTACTAGCAATGGGACCTGGGCAAATTACTTAAATCAAGCTTGTCCAACCCGCCTTATTTTGTTGTTGTCGTCATTGTTGTTGTTCTGTTTTGTTTTGTTTTAGGCTTTCGGCAGCCTGAAGCTATGCTTTTTAGTTTCTGTCTCTAGGGATAAGTGGAAAAGAGGGATGAGGAAGGGGCTTTCCTGGCCCAACCAGAAACAAACTAAGAACCCATGACTATATTCCCTCCCTTGGACACCCCTAGTAAACGTTCTTTGCTTCAGTTTCCTCATAAGGAAAATGAGGACAGTAATAGAACCTATCCCACAGGGTTGTCAGTAATTTAGCAAGATAGAATACCTAATCAAAGAATCAAAAGAAAGTACAAATTAAATTAGAAATAATAATTTTAAACTGTGGTTTTGCTAAAAATTCTGTAATTATGATGAAATGATTATCCTTCTGGATAAAAATAATTTGTCAAAACAACTCAAGAAAAAGTAGGATAATTTGACTAGATCATCAACCATGGAGGAACTTAGAAAATGTTATAAAAACTGGACCCAGAGAGTTTTTTTTATAAATTCAACCCTTTGAGCACAAAAATTGTCGTGCGATGTAAACTTTTTAGAGTATAGAAAGAGATGAAAGGCTTCCCAGCTAATTTTGCAGAGCAATTTTGATACCAAGTGTTAATAATGTAGCAATACAACACTGATTCATTAATTGTGAGAAATATACCATCTCACCAATGTAAGATCTTAGAAATAGAGATGCAAACAATTTCTAAATAAAACACCAACAAATTGAATGTTGTTGTTTATAATCAGCTGGACCCCTCACCCCAAGAACATTAAGAAATGTATTAATATGTTGCATCAGTAGATCAAAAGAGAAAAGTCACTTAGTCATCTGATGCCAAGAAGCTATTTGGTACTATGTATTATCTGTCCTGGTTTTAAAACTACATGCAGGACCAGCAGGATACTACCTTAGTTTATTTTGGAACATCTGGCTGACCCCAACAGCCCTCCTTAGTGGGAAGAAGTAGAGGAGAATTTTCAAACGTGGAGACCTATCCATTGTTTCTACCTCTAGGAATTTATCCCATAGAACTACTTGCACAGGTGCAAGACTGTTCTGCAGTGTTCTTTATAAGAGCAAAACTTTAGAAGTAACTTGAATATCTATGAATTGGGGGCTGTGTTTAATAAATCATGGCATATTTACAAGATAGAACACTAAGAAGTCGTTACAGTAACTACAGTAGACCTAAAAGTACTGGTTTGGAAAGACTCTTTCCACCACAGGTTAGTTTTGCCTGTTTTTGAGTTTAATATCAATTGAGTCATATACTGTACTCTTTTGTTTCTGGCTGTTTTTAAACCCAAGGTTATGGTTGTGAGATTCGGCCTTGCTGTATACAGCAGTAGTTGGTTTATTCTTATTGCTGCGAAGTTCCTTTATATAAATATACCACAATTTAATTACTGATAGCCTGTATAAGTTTTATGGTCAGAAAACTCAAATAGTTTAAAAAGTGAAATTTGATTGAAGTTACAGCCCCAATTAGAGAGGTATTTTATAACTTGATACTTCTATGCAACATTAGTCTGCGTTTATCTAACTCGAGTTAGTTCTCCCATCTTCTTTATCCCTTTTGATTTCTGTCTTTTGGGTTCATGGTCATTAGTATCTCCACTATAGAATGAAAGGGAAACAGGAAAGAGATGAAACCTGAATCTCTTAATTGTGCCTCTCATTACTGCTCTGGTTCAGAAAGGATAGGGTAGCTCTTTCATTAACGTACCCTTCCCAGTAACTGTGATGCAGACATTCAAAGCAAATTTCTAGTACAAGATATAATCCGATACTCTTGCAGCCAGTTTTCTAGTTCCATAGTAAAGTGACTCAGAGCCATAACCAAACCTTCCTAATTTTAGATTGTTTGGCTTACCTTTCACATCCACTTATTTAGGTTTAATATAAAATTTAATAAGGCAATCCTAACTTGAAAGTTGAAATGGACCTTAGAGATCATCTCAACTGGTGTTCGAAACCTGGTGGATGAGGAGGTGGTGTCTCTTGTGGTCCGCCCAGCCCACATAGTCGGGGGGGACCCAATCCAGAATAGACTCCTGGCTTACATTTTGGAGGCAATGCTTTCTCCTTAGTCAAGAGCCTTTTGGAGCTCCTTTACAAAAGCAGTTAGCCCTTGCGTTCTCTTGTTCATTTGTTTCCAGCATTTACTCTGTAGGCTTTAAGTTACTAAGCAGTCACTTCACAGTTTGTAATTGTGTTTGATTTGATTCTTATTTCTAGTCATGAGCAATATGGCCCTTCAGTTTTGAAAGATTTATTCTAAATTGGCCATGGAAGAATTCTGGTTTTGTCACTCTCTAAAATTCAACCCAAAGTCCAATTCTATTTGAGTTAGCATTCTGAGAGTATATCCATATTATTAAGGTAGTAAGTGTATGAAGTAACTTTTTTATGCGTTGCTTTTCAGGAGTAGAGGTTTACCACTCTTAGGTGACTAAGCAGTATCACAAATAAACCCTCCAGCAAGTTTAAAAATAATTAGGTCCAACTCAGAGGAAGTGGAGTTTCTCCTGTTGCACAAAAATGATGTCTAACAGCTCCAGTGAAATCGATGTGGTTTGTATTCAAATTGAAAATCTGTCTTTGTTCTTTTTACTGTGCTATACTTCTACTCTAAATTTAGTTTAATTTTATACAGTGAAATGCATAGATCATAAGTAAATTTTTGTTATATATTTTAACAGTAATATATAAAGCTCTTGTGACAATTTGTGTACAAGTTTCTTTGTGAACACACACTTAAATTTCTTTTGGGTGAACAGACAGAAGTTGAATTACTAGGTCATGGAGTTCATGTGAATTTAACTCTGTGAGAATCTGCCATACAGTTTTTCAAAGTGGTTGTGCTGTTTTTACATTTCTGTTATATTCTTCTATATTTCTTCATCCTTCAAGTTGAATCAGTATGTAGATTATTAAACTATAAATAATTTGGCTTAACAGAAAACACCTTTTTTTTAGTCACATAAGGACATAGATATTAATGCTACCTAAGTAGTCTAGGCAATTCTCTTAACTACTGTCAGTCCTAATGTTTTTCAAAAATCTTTGGAGATAATGTTAACTGCCTATCAAGAGTCATTTTTCTCTGACATAACTATGTAAAAGCACTTTGAAAAGCATAAGGCACTATACAAGGGTAAGATAGTATATTTTTAAAAGTACTGAACTGTAACCCAATTCCATATGTTTTTGTGATTTCTGTCATGTATTTTGAAACAAAAACATACATAGCTACCAAGTATGTTTATTATAAAATTATTCCCATAGTTCATAATTCATTCTTAGAATGAAGAGTTATTATACTGAAGTGTAATGGCTATTTACTCCTTACTTATTTATACCCTGTCTTATTTTTAAAAGTTTTAAGGTACTTTAGAGATTAATGTATCAAGAAAAATAGGTGCTCAAATGTTTTCTGTCTTGTCCACAGAGGGGCACTGTTGGATTATTTAGAAATCAAAAAACATGTAACATTTATTTCTTTGTTCATGGTTAGAAATATTTGCTTTTAAAGTATTTCTGGTGCTAAAGGACTAGTCTTTCTACCATGAAGCATATAAAGGGTTAAGCTCAGTGAAAACTGTTGTCTTAAGTGTAGTTGGGTTAATGAGAACACAGTTCTGCAAATACATCTTTTCATGTAGTCATAGTATTTACAGTGAGCAAAGGTCCTTTGATATCACAAATAGGCCTTTGTAACAGCCTCTTGAAAGTGAAATTAAACCCTCAACTTTTCTTTTAGTTCTGTCTTTCATCTTCCCTTTTAATTTGTTGGTAAATTTTCCTCAGATAAAAACAAGAATACCTACTTACGATGAAGATGACAACACTATTCTTTATGCGTATGAAACAAAACCTGAATTTGTCAATAAAGTATGTTAATTGCTAATTGCCAAATATATTAACATTTGCTGTTTTAAAGGAAAAGATGTAAATTCCTCGTATACTATGGAGTTCCCGTAAACTCACACTCAAGAAAATATCTCTCCCCTGAATTTGTATGCTTGCTTTCATCAGAGAATGAGCACTTAACCAATTTACTTTCCCCTTTTTCTTATATAGTAGAAAATTAAGAGCAGTTTTGTACTCACTTTCAGTATAAAACTCTAAACCTGGATTCTTCTGATATAATAAATTCTTTTCTTGCCCCCTTCCTCAATTGTCAGTTTTTCATTCTCATATTAATGTGAATTTTAAAAATCTCTGCTTAATTTAAGACTTCTGAAACCCCTTGAAAAGTTGGTGATAAATAAAAACAATTTAAATAAATAAATATAGCTCCCCCCTGCCCCCAGTGTTCAGTTTGGCTGTTACAGAAATAAATCATTAACTACTTTTAAAATATTAGCAGGAACCGAATATTGTATCTGACGCATCCTGTAATACTGAAGAGCAACTGAAGACAGTTGATGATGTCCTTATTCATTGCCAGGTATGGAAGTTCTGTCTCTTCAATGTAGTTTTCTAAAATGTTAAGCAAAAATTCTCTTTATCTCACATAAAGGGAAAGTGTACAATTAATTGAAATTTTGCCTATCAATTTATTTATGATTATCATCCCATTGTGATGATTTTTTAAAACAATTTATAGTTAGAACCACATTTCCTGAATAGCAACATGTAGATTTAATAGCTTTTTAAAAAGCCCATTACCAACCAAATGTAGTTATGTCTCTTTCATCTACATTGCTCAGTATTAAATTAGTTTCCCCTACAAAATCCTTAAAGGAAATTGACTGATTTGGATGAAATTTAGTATGTGCCTAAATGCACATCAAGATATCTCAATGGAAACAAAGTGGCAGCCCATCAAGGTTTAGTAAAGAAACATACCTAAGGTAGTTTTGAGGAGTTGTTTTAAGAATCACCATGTTGGTAGAGATGTGATTACTGGGAATTTTGTGAGTTGCATACCCCAGAGGTAATGAAGGTTTATATATATATAATGTTTCTTACCATATATAAGGTTTCTTGAATGGAATGAGCTAACATACTTTGGAAAGTAAAATTGTTTGGGTGTTTATCATGATCATGGAGGAGAACAGAAGTGGAGTGCTTCCAAGGGACACATACAGTCTTGGGGGGAAGTGGGTGCAGAGGCGAGCTGGGAAGGGAGGGAGCAGGTTCTCCCCAGCCTGCCTCCCCATGCACTGCTAGGTCATGGTCTAGGTCAGCTTATACGCTGAGGTGGGAGGTAGCATCTGTGGGGGGAGGTGTCCAGGGCCATGGTCAGCCTGAAATGGCCCCAAGGGCCCCTCTCCATTGCTGCCAAGGGGCTGGCTCTTTCTTCCCCTACCCGTTCTAGATCACAGAGGTGGCACTCCAGCCTGCCTTGTTCTTTCATCCCAGTTCCCTCTTGAGTCTGTCTCCATCCTGCTTAGTCTGGAAGCAGAGGAAGACCTCGCCATCCCCTGCCTACCTCAGCTCCCTAGTCCTGCCTCTTCACTCGTGGAGATAGTGGAGCACCTGGGGCAGTCCTCTCCTCCGAGTCCTCATAACTGTCCCCACAGCCAACCAACTGCCCTCATCCCTGCCCTTCTTCTGACCCCTTCCCGGCCATTCTAGTGACCAGGGCTGACACCCTTGCTGCTTTCTGCATCTAGTCCCCTCCCTGAACTCAGAGCTGCCCCCCATCGGGCATCCCCCTCTCTCTCCTCTGGCTCCAGTCCCTGTCCCTCCTTCCCCTCTACGAGTTCTCCCACATCTTGGAGAAGCCACTTCTCTTGCTTCCCATCCCTCCTTTCCTGTCATCCTCACTCTCTTCTTCCTGTGACAGCCCCACTCCTGGAATGTCATTCATACTTGCTGTCTCCACACCTGGCTTCCTGTTTTTCTCTCTGGGTATTTATGAACCTGCTGTTCCTTCTATGCTGTAAGCCCTTCCATGCATCCTCACCTGGCGAGGGCCTTCTCATGTTTTAATTCTCACTTCAGACCTCACCTCCTCTGAAAAGGTCTCCGTGACTGCAGCCTGGGTTAGGACTGCTTTTCTGTGCAGGCTTAGCCTCCTGTTCCCACCTGTGTCACGCCACTGGTAATAACAATAGTAACATGAAGAGACCACTGAGCACTGTTGGACCGGGTGTAGTGTAGTGCTGTTACTGTTAGTATTAACCTAATACTATAGCAAGGTTCTCGTCCTCGAGAGAACCCTGAGAGAGCTTTTCATCCTGATTCCCTACATGAGGACACTGAAGCACAGAGAGGTTAAGTAACTTGCCCTGGGTCACACAGCCAATAAGTGG
Source organism: Homo sapiens (assembly GCF_000001405.40). NCBI lineage: Eukaryota > Metazoa > Chordata > Mammalia > Primates > Hominidae > Homo > Homo sapiens. The sequence continues at coordinate 17,747,912 of NC_000023.11, forward strand.
CTGGACTGTAGTATTTGACCCCAACCATGTTCCCCAAGAGCCTGCACTGTTTATCTCAGTGCCGCAGCCCTGTGGTTCTCACTAGGGCCATCAGAATCACCTGGGGGGCTTGTGAAAACATAGACCACTGCCCCCACTCTCAGAGTTCCAGGTTCCATAGGTCTGGGGTACAACCTGGCATTTGGCATTTCTGATGAGCTTACAGGTGATGTTGATGCTACCAGTCCGTGGACCACACTTTGCAAACCACTGTTCCAGGCTGTTTATCACTTTGTCTGCTGGAATCCTCTTTTTACTTGTCTCTCTCCCAGCTGAGATGGTAGTTCCTCTAGGACAGGCTGGAGTGCAGTGGCTCAGTCATGGCTCACTGCAGCCACAACTTCCCAGGCTCAGGTGATTCTCCCACCTCAGCCTTCCTAGTAGCATGGACTACAGGCATGCACCACCACGCTTGGCTGATTTTGTGTATTTTTGGTAGAGACGGGGGTTTCGCCATGTTGCCTAGGCTTGTCTCCAACTCCTGAGCTCAAGCGATTCACCTGCCTTAGCCTCCCAAAGTGCTGGGATTACAGGCATGAGCCACCGCACCCGGCCAGGAGCTTTTTTTTTCGGTCCATGTTCTCAATACCTAGCAAAGTAGTTCTGCCAGGTGGTAGGCCATCAATAAAGGTTTAGTTGAATGAGTGAATGAATGAATGAATGAATGAATGAGGAAATGTTTCTGGCCCTTTGTTTAAGTGTATTTTTCTTTGCCCAAAGTTTCTGTGTATTTCAAGAAGAATTCTCAGATTTTTATCAGCCTCCTATGTGCTTGATTGCAATGTTTCTGGCCCTTTGCTTAAGTGTATTTTTCTTTGCCCAAAGTCTCTGTGTATTTCAAGAAGAATTCTCAGACTTTTATCAGTCTCCTATGTGTTCGATTGGCGCGTAAGAGATGTGTACTTAACGGTTTTGTAAGATTAATTGCTGACTGCGTGATTTAAAAATACTTTGAAGCCAAAAGTCACATCTGTTATATTTGGTTCAGTGTTCTTTCTGGAGTGGAACACTCACTGTCTGTATATAATATAGACTTCATATTTGTACATATATGAACATATATGTTACATATGTATATCATAAAGTGAGTCTTTGTTCTTTTAGCAGATTTCTTTCCTAAAATAGCACCTTCCTTGATGTGCAGTGTCTTCATCATCAATGTGCTAGCATAGAGGCATTGTGGGACATTCATTCACCAGCATTAGAGCTTCCTCAATTCCTACATGGAGTAGAGCAGGGGAGGGGACTACTCTAGCTCAGCCTGTTGGCTCTGTGTCACCTACAGCCAGGCCTTGAATAGGAGCAAGACATTTCTGATGGCTTGAGAACTTTTGTTGTGTCTAGCAGTTAACATTTGACTTAATGGTATTTTCACGTTACTTTTCTTTGAAATAAAAAATTATATTTTACATTGTATACCAATTATATGACTACATTGTATTATAATAGGTTATATATGATGCTCTGCAAAACCTGGATAAGAAGATTGATGTGATTCGTAGAAAGGTTTCAAAAATCCAACGTTTCCATGCGAGATCCCTGTGGACAAATCATGTAAGTGTTATAAAAAACATTTTTACAACTGTGATAAACCTCTGGTTTGTAAAGATGCCAATGAGCTAGAAGTGAGAGAGTACCAGTATCTGTGTGAGATTAGCAAGGCATGTCTATACTTGTAACAGTAGATGGAGACTAAACTCTGTTGGGAGAACGCTGAAGTTTAGGTTTGATAATTTATGATGCTGCCTATTTTTATGTTTGTAATTATAATGTGTAAAATACAATTAAAATGTAGGATTGAAGAATTATATAATCAAAAGGGACCATTTATTTTTAATAATGTAAAGCAATGTTGCATGGAAAATAAGTATTAATGTATTTGCTACTAATTTTATTTACTTTTTTACTCACTGTTGGTTTATGCTGTGTTTGTGTGATTTCAGAAGCGATATGGATATAAAAAGCATTCTTACCGGCTTGTTAAAAAGCTTAAACTCCAGAAAATGAAGAAAAATGAGGTTTACGAGACATTCTCCTACCCTGAAAGTTACAGCCCCACTTTACCAGTGTCAAGGCGTGAGAATAATTCCCCGAGCAACCTTCCAAGGCCATCCTTTTGCATGGAAGAATACCAGCGAGCTGAGCTGGAGGAGGACCCGATCCTCAGCCGCACTCCGAGTCCAGTGCATCCCTCAGATTTCTCTGAGCATAATTGTCAGCCGTATTATGCATCTGATGGTGCAACGTATGGTTCTTCTTCAGGGCTCTGCCTTGGCAACCCTCGGGCTGACAGCATCCACAACACTTACTCAACTGACCATGCTTCTGCAGCACCACCTTCAGGTATGCTGGCCCAGGGAGAGCCCAATTTGGTACATGCCCCTGAGATGATGAGTTACTCAGCTTTGATGGAGAATAGGTATACTGGATCATCTCTCTGCTTCCCTTCTGGTTTGGTGAGTTTGAAATGCCATATTTACAAGTAGCACTATTTGACCTATATTTATCAACATCCTTGATGCAAACTAGTGGAAGCTGTTCGTTTCCTATTTTGAGGGCTGGTTTTAGGTGATATTCAGAATGATGACTAACATTTATTCAATGCATATTATGTGCAAGGCACTGCACCAATCAGCTGACATGCCTCTTCTCCACTTATACTCATAATGACCCCATGGTTTTGGCACATTTATTACGCCATCCCCACGATCACAGAGCTGGTGAGTAGCACTTCTAGAACTCTGCCCCATTGTGCTTTTCCAAATCTTCTATTTTTATTTACCCTTTCCCTAGATAAATAAAAAACACTCCTGATATGGCAAGAGCCCAGATGGTAGGGAAGAAAGGGTATGTTTTTGGCTAATTCACACACACAAAAAGATCAAATTGTGTTGATGGTCCTGGTTGGAGAAACAAATTTTCCTAACTAATTACAAAACCCACTTTAGTCATCACACACTAATTTTAGGGAGTCTAACACTGTGGGTGAGTAAAAGGATACTTGTCAGTACACAAAGAAATTTCAACACAACTTAGTGTAGAGCATAGCTAAAACTTTCTGAAGTATGAGCAGTTAAACTGTCTCATATCTCAGTTATTTTTTAAACATATAAACCTTTGACCAAAATCTCTATTACTATGCAATTAAACATGAAAGAGGAATTAAATAAAATGTTAGTTACTTCTGACCTAGTTCAGCAGAAAATAATCTTGTTTTCTTCACAATGCACATTAGCACTTAAGCCACGAGAGACAGGAATCTAAAAAGTAAAGCGATACTAAAAATAACCTTATTGAATACGTGGGGAAGATTTGATAAAAGTACTAATTTGGTTCTTAAAGATAATGGGGTTGTTATTGAGATTCATTGATTAAAAGGAACAAATTTAAGCAATTATAAAACTGTAAATTTGGAGAATTTCCATTATATTTTGCTAGTAAAATTAACCTAATCTAGATAGATTAAGAGAGAAATTCCTTGAAATACTTGAAGAGAGTCATAGGTTAGGTTAGATTAACCTAATTTTACCCAAGTGACAGATCTTTTGCCATATTTGCCTGTGGCCAAAGAAGACTTGGTTTACTTAGTCTGTTTTGTGATCTTTGAAACTTTAATGTAACTTCTGAACCAGCTTTTGCTATTTAGGGGAGGTCAGATGGGACACTCTTGTGTAGGCATCCCCACATCATCTTTATATAGGCTTTCACTAGATTTTACAGTTGGAGTCTTGACTCCTTGCTAGGAACATCACAGAAGGTTCCAACAAAGAGAGCATTCCTCCTTACCTAACATCTCTTCTTTCAGGATAATGATCAGGTCGAGTGTGATTTGTCTTTTTTTTCTTTTCCCCCTCTCCATTGAAGTTACAAGGTCACCAGTTGAAAATGACGGTTACATAGAGGAAGGAAGCATCACTAAGCACCCTTCAACCTGGTCGGTGGAAGCAGTGGTCCTATTTCTAAAACAAACAGATCCTCTTGCATTATGCCCTCTTGTCGACCTCTTCAGAAGCCATGTAATGTATCTTTTGATCCTGTTTTCCTGCTGTAATGCCTTTGAATGACCTCTGTGCAGGTCTTTCAGTTGGATACTGTGTGAATGGTGGGAGAACCCTATTAGCTGATTTTTCCATATATGAGAAAGCTTATTTTGCCCAAGGTTAGCCTTAAATGGTAGGCTAATGGTCTGTTCTTTAAATGGGTGTAGAAGTGCCTAAAATACAAACTGCCTCAGCTTCTTAAGACATGATGATTCAGCATGGCCACTCAGGTGTACCTCCCCTTTGTAATGACAGATACAAAGATCCTCCCCCTATCTGCTCCCAGCTGGGCACCAGGACCACGAGGAGGAGGGGGTAACCACAAGCTATAACAGGGTGGCCTTCGTTTTATATAACCAGTGATTCAACAACTGATTCCATTTGCCTCGATTATTGATGATTTGTAATGCTAATACCCTCTTGCTATTATCAGACCATTTACAAAGTAATATCCTAGGCCGAAGTTTTGTAAGTTCTAGTTTCTTTAATTTTGAGTTTTACTTAGTAGAAAAAGTATAGAAGGTGCCAAACAAAGGTTGTACTATAAGGGATTTCAGACCTTTTCAGATAGTGTTAAATGAGTAAATAAAATTTTATTTTTTAACTGGAACATATAAAACCAAATCATATGCTTCAGCAGCATAAGTTGATCAATTAAGATAAGGAATTTTAGGAGAATGCTTTGTGACTATGTTTTATTTATTCAGATATTTTCACAGTGTGTCCTAACAAAATTAGTAGCCACATATCTGATTTTTAATATAGTAAGAAAATTGGTGATTAGTTTTAGCATCTAATTAGTTTCAGACAACTAATTGGCATTCATCATAAAGACAACATTGTATAGACATTTACAGTTTGCACTGATGTTGACGTACTCATCTTCCCAGCCCTTCTCAGAAAGTTAATGAACATCTGAAATTCATTTTTACTATTCATAGTCTTTACTATTTTGTCATGGATGTGTAGTATTTTATTCAACATACAGTATATATTTAAAATTAAGTTTGACACAGTTTATTTTTTAAGATATTATGTTAAATTTCCTTTTTCTCAGAACTTGAAATGAGTTTATACATTACCAAACGGTGCTTCACTGTACAAGTTATATTTTTAATAGTTTTCATAAAGTAGACGCATATTCAGAGAATATACATCTGCAATGAGCTGCTCTCTAGTTTGCTTTACATGTTCTCATAAAGAACTAACCATTCTGATGAAAATATGGAAGCATTATTAATTATCGTTAAGTTTCTTCTCTCCATAGGAAATTGACGGGAAGGCTCTGCTCCTACTCACGAGTGACGTGTTGCTGAAGCACTTGGGGGTGAAGCTGGGAACGGCTGTGAAGCTATGCTACTACATTGACCGACTTAAACAAGGAAAATGCTTTGAAAATTGAAAAAATCCTTGTGCAAATTTAGATTGGGCCAACTTCTAGAGGCACCAATGCCTTCTTAGTGTGGAATCATTTTTCTGCCCTTTAGTCGTTTTTGTTTTGTAGAAAGTATCTCTCAAAATATATTATAGCTAGAATTGTAGAACTATGTTATAGTCCAGTCTACTTCTTTAAAAACCATTTAAACTGCTAGATAGTATTAGAATAGTCCAATAGAAAATTCATTCTTTATAGGTCTTTAAAAATTACTTTTATTATATTGTTTACAAATATATTTCATGCAAGAAACAGAAAAAAAAAAAAACCCTTTGATTCTGGTTCATCTCGATACAGAGAACCAAAACAGCTAAGAGAGGTATTATCAGGGTTGACAACTCCTATGATTGAATCTATGGGAATTATTCCTCAGAAGAGAATTTAAAGGTGTACCCATATATATCTCTTTCTGGAGTATTTTATCTGTCTGATGTTGCAGTATTCTACAAGTTTCCAGAAAGAGAATAGCCATATAAATTATTTTCCTTTCTGCTATTATTTCTCTATATGTTTTATTTATTCAGATTTAGAGTAAAAAATAAGCATATAAACTTTTATTATGTGCTCTTAACAGTTTTAAGATAAACTATAGGATAGATAGAATGGTTATTTTATGCAAGAAATATTGTACCGCAAGGGTGGTTTGGATGAAGTCTGACTACTTTTTTTCAAACAAACTATTATATTAAAACTGTCATATTTTGGCTAAGTTTGGACCTATAACTACACTTTCATTGTTTGCATCTCTCTATGAAGATACGTCTGTCCAAACTTTTAAAAGGCATAACTGTATTTTATGTGTTTATTCTTTATATAGATAGTATTTTATATTTTATTCTCACCCGAAGTATTCACACAATCTTTTTAAAAAAAATTTGAAATGGCATTTTGTATTGCCACAGAGGTAGGATGAGCCATATATTAGTGAAATGTTTTATTTTGTAAAATATAAATGGATTATTTGCCATCATTAGTACCTCTCAACTTACTTTTTAGAGGACAAGAAACAATCTGTAGATTGGTTTCCATACAGGGAAGTTCTCCGTCCTATGCAATGTTTCTAATTAATTTGCTTAATTCTGAGCCATTAATCCTGCTACACTTTGAATGATACATTAATTCAGACTAATCTTTGGGGGCTTTATTTTGTAAGTTAGAACTTTCAAGGGAAACATGTTCAACACTATTATTTTGTTATAAATTTATAACTTTGTTATTACATTGTGTAACAAATATAAGGTTTACGAGCTATGAGAATTGGTGCTATCACCATTAGCTATTTGCTGTAATGTCAAGAAAATGTTCACCAGATGCAAGAATGTACCTTTTCTTTTTAGAAAGCCAAATGTACTTTAGACATGAATGCAACTATTTAAAGAATAGCTTCATCAATGTTATTCCTTACATGTCATAAGATTCTTACTTAAACTTGGTCTTCTTTCAAATTGTTTGTATGAAGATGCTGTACCCACTTGAACAGTCCTCAGGTGTTTACATAAATACTATGTTTTACAGTTTTCATATTTTAAAATATTAATAAAGTTAAATCACAATAGTTCATTGAAAGCCTCAGATGTGATTTCATTTATCATCACTGTATTACATTAATGTGTGTATTTGTTGTAATGTGTGAACTGAAACAGAGCCACTCTAGTAAGCTTGTGGCTTTCCATGTCCAAATACTTGAGTTTTAAAACCTGCCCAGATTCTACTGCTAAACAGATGCCTAAGAGCCAAGGGCTGATTTCTTACAGGGGTCTTCAATGAGACCCCAGGGGGGCTGTAAGAAGTTCAGTCGATGAGCTGTATCTGTACTCAGAGCCTTTGTTATTTATGATATCATCAGTGATGCGAGAGTGCTAGAAAATGCCCGTGCCCCGAGATACCTCATCCCATCTGAGCCTGTACGCCTGGCTGGCAACTCCGGCTGCTCTTTTACCACTGGGGGCCAGAGGCCGCCTCCTGGATGCACCTGCTCTTGGCCCTCTGCCTTCAGATGGCCCAGCTGCCCCGGTGGGATGCCCTTGGAGGACTGGGGTTACAGTTGCATAGCCTCACTTATCCAACCCCTACCCCCACACCAGGAGTTGCGGCTCCAGCCGAGGAACCCAGAAACCCTCACTACTCTTGTTCCCCAGCAGCGTGTCCTGTGATTCACTGGAGACAATGGGGCCCTGACCGAGGCTCCAGGGGTGATGCTCAGCGACTGGAACAGAGGTGTCAATTTGAGTGATCTGAGACTTGAGTAATTCGTGGCTCCTTTTTTTCTCCTATCTGGCTTATAAATTTTTAGTCCATAGACTATCATGCCATATTACCCTTCTTGTGAATTTTCCAGACTTGAAATGATCTTCCTCTAGCTTTGCCTCTCATTCCATCCTTTGATGCTTTGTAGCCTGCAGAATTCTGCATCTTGAGCTCTAAGACCTTCCAGGAACACCTAGCATTTGCTTTGGTCTTTCGTCTATGTGATTTCTTATTGGTGAAATGTCTTACAGTAAATGTTCTGGAGTGGGACTTCCTAAACTTTTAAACCAAGGCCTCCCTCTGTAGGCATAGAAACACCATGCCCTTCTGTAATAGTCAAAAGTAAAAAGTAAATACTGTGAGTAGTGGCAGTGTAATTGGGAGGAAAAGCACTGCTTTTTCAAGCTGCAGAAAGGATTGTCCTCGCAGTTGGCTGAGTACATGAAGTAGGTTAAAATTTCTGGGGCTATAGCTGGATGCTGGGGCTTGCTCACAAAGTCTCCTGAGGCTGATCCAGGCAATGTGGGAGAGCTTTAGGTTTGAGAGGATGTGCAAGCAAGAGCCCACCGTTGAAATACGTGGCGGACAGTCCTTCCTCTCTTCTGGCTGTTTGCCCTATTTTGTCAGCAGGTTGATGCCACTAAACCTTAAGAACGACACTCCATAGTTAGCATGTGCTCAAATTGAGCTTGGCCACTCCCCCTGCTCTAACAGAGGCAACTCTAGTGTTATGGGATCACCTTTCTGCCTTTAGGGATACTATCAGCATTGAGGGGAGATCTTTAAGAAAGAAGGGACCTAGCTCCTCCCCTCGAGCTGCCTAGAACATAACAGACAAACCAGCGTTCATGAAAAGGAGAACATCAGGGCACTTATGACAGAGCATATGAGTCAGTGCCAAGTGCCCATAAGTGACGTGTCCTTATGTATCAGTAGTGGTGTGTCCTGTTCTCCTGCCATAGAACTGAAGCACTTAAGCACATGCATTTGTGGAAATAATCCCTCAGGGACAACGGGGCGGCCAGGGCAGGGTTTTGGCCTTGCCAAGCCCTGTTCCTCCTTTGGCCTCACTCTTCCACCTGGCTTTGGCTAGCCTTGGAGGCCCAAGTCCACTGATGTCAGGGGCGAGGTGGGTGCACATATTCCACGGGGGCAGAAATCAGTCCATTGGGAGCAGGACACATATCTTACAACTTCCTTTTATATTCATGTAAGACGAAAAAGATTAAGCTTCTCTGCAGTTAATGTACGGAGTCACTGATGTGTTCTAAAGGGCTGAACATTGTTGGTACTTGCCACCATCCCAGCCCTTCTCGGTTCCTCCCTGTCCTTAGAGGCATAAAGCCTGGACGCGACACTTGCCACACTCCTTTGCCAGTAGACCTGGATTCTTAGATTCTGCCCCAAGAGACCCTGTGCCCTGATTTGGGGAGGAGGGAGGTGAGGAGAAGCCGCTTCCTTCTGGTGGCTGCACAGGACAGGCTTTTGAGCATCAGCAGGAGGCAGATGTGGGGTTTGCCAGCAGCCTCTGGATATCACCTTGAGACTCACCCACTTCAGTCGTGCAGGCAGCTGAGACCACTGGGGGCAGGGGAGCTTCTCTGTGACTCTTGCAGTCCTGGATTTCTAGAAACTTCCTCAGTCCCTGCCTTAGTCCCTGCCTTCCAGGAGCCATATAAGCTTCTGATTCTGTATTAAACCATTTCCATTCTGAAGATTCAGAATGGCTCCTATGTTCCTGACCAGACCTGGACTTGTTTACCTTCTTCGGCATATCTGTCTTGTACAGGCCCACTGTTCAGAAAGAAGAGTAAAACTTCCATAGAAAGGGCCCTTTATATTATCTAGTTTAAGTAAACTAGTATATTTCATCAAATCTAAGACCTCTTTGATTGTAAGATGCACCACTGTTTAATAGTAAAGAAAATGCTACACATTAAACTATCACTCACCATTGATTATAAAATGCAAACTGATTTCATAGATGTTAACACGTGAAAAGATGGGTGGCTTAAGACATATAAAATGTTAGCTCTCAGAAGCTGAACAGGCGGTTTTAAAAGCTTAATGCAAACAAATTGCACTAATTGAATTGAAGACTAATACAAATTAAAACAAAAGCAATCTAATCAGATCTGCCCCAAATTCACAATTACCAAGGAGACTTTGAAATGTGAAATTATATCCATTGTCTTAAGTAAAAAGCCTTACCACAAATGTGTATTTTTTCTTTAGGTATTAACTAGTACTAGGATGAAGCCATCATATTTAGCAAGGCATTTAACGATTTCCTTGCATCCAGCCAAGGAAAAAAGGGGGAACTTGGAATGATTATAGATTAAGAGAGTCTTAAGAGGCATGTCACCCAAATGCAATGCACAGACCTCGTTTAGATGCTGATTAAAAGAAAACAACAGGAAAAACGAATACATGAGACAATCCAGGGAAAGGTGAATACCCAGTAGATATTAGATGATACTGAAGAGTTGCTATTAATTTCTAACAATGGTGCTAATTGGTATTATAATTATATTTTGAAAAGATGGTGCCCCTATCTCTTGGAAGTATCCTATTAAAACTTTGCAGATTAAATGAGATGATATCTGGGATTACTTTGAAATAATCCAACAGGGAAGGAGATGCAGATGAAACAGGGTTGGCCTTATGTTGGTATTTGTTGTGGCCAGTGATACATACATGGGAATCCATTATATAAATCTCTCTACTATCATGTATGTTTGAAATTTTCCATAATAAAAAGTTTAAGTATGCAGAACATGAAGACAAATTTCTCTATACTTTTCAGAGGTGTCTGAAGTCGAGCAACATTCACAACACAGAGGATTTCAGTAAATTAATGATTAATATTTAGACTTCTTGCTTGAGGTTTCTTAGTATTAGCCAAAGACAGCTAAGCCACCTACAACTGAGAAGCACCTGTTCTTCCTGTTGTGGTTGAAAAGGAAACAAGTTTGAAGTAATAGATGAAAAACAATACAGGACAAAGGATCAACTCATTCCTTTGTCAGTAAATAATTGGGAGGCGTGTAGAAAACAGGAAGACTTGAAGACACAAATCCAGATAAATGGCAGGGTGGCAGGTCTGCCATTCTGTTGAATGAAATGGCAGGTATTTCTGAAACTCATCAGTGTCTGGTGGAATCTGATGCTGCTTTCCTGGAGGAATTGATGGTCAGAAAGGGAAGACCCTCATCCCTTCACCCATACTCCTCTACACTCTGCCCTCTCCAAAGGGGCCTCTACCTCTAGGGTATTCTGGGGAATTCCTCCAAGTACAAGGCCTGGTGGTTTCAAAGTTGTTAGCACTCTCTCAGTTGGTTATTCCAGTTATTACCTCTCTAATTGTGTTTGCTTTTCAGACAAAGGGATTCAGTTCCTTTTTCATTCTTTTTCCCCATATACCGTCCTCTTCCATACACCTGAAGAAGCCCCTCATGACTCATATTTGCCAATATACACCGTTCTCCATGTTGGGAAGTCTCTCTCTCCCAGGAGAGTCCACCTAGGTCAACATCACCATGAACATCACTATGAAGTCACTACCTGTGGGTTTCCGAAGTCCATAAAATCCCTGTTTTTGGCCAGGCGCGGTGGCTCATTCCTGTGATCCCAGCACTTTGGGAGGCCGAGATGGACAGATCACTTGAGGTCAGGAGTTCGAGACCAGCCTGGACAACATAGTGAAACTTCGTCTACTAAAAATACAAAAATTAGCCAGGAGTGGTGGAGCACGCCTCTAGTCCCAACTACTTGGGAGGCTGAGGCAGGAGAATCACTTGAACCCGGGAGGCGGAGGTTGTAGTGAGCCGAGATCACGCCATTGCACTCCAGCTTACTCGCTCATGATCCGAAGTAGATGTCCTTCTGCCGGATGGTAATTTGGGGACCCAGGCTCCTTCTGTCTGTGGCTCCACCATCCCTAGGGCCTTGGGGTCCTTGGACTCCTGGTGGCAGGGCACACATCACTTCTGTTCCCATTCCATGGGCTGGACCTCAGTCACATGGCCACACCTCACTGTAACAGTGGCCAGGAAAAGTCTGTGTACCCAGGAAGACGAGGAAATGGGTCTTTGGTAACTAGCCAGCAGTCTCCACTATACATCACGTTCCTAACATCAGAACATCACCTGTTCATCCCTCTTGTAAGTTTGTCAGTTTCTCTGTGGCACCCCTCTAACCCCAGGACACTCACACACCTGGCTCCCCTTAGCCTCCTTCCCTGATATATTCTCTTTATGTCACTTAAACTTATGGCTGCTTAGATTATTGTTCCCAGCAATCAACTCTTCCCTGCAAAGAATATTTCTTCCCATCCATTGCCATGGAATTTGCAGTTTCTCCCTGAAGGCAAACTCTGTTGCCCAGCCCATTGTTGCACTTGGCCCTGAACCCTGCTTTGGCATTCAGGAGGTACACAAGTGAACTGAAGAGCACCACATCAAGCAGAAGCCTTCCCATGGGAGAGATCATCTGTCACATGCTTCTCCCTTGGCTGTGAGCACAGCATTGGCCAGACAGGGCTGCCCCTTCAGACTGGGTTCTGGAGCAAGCAAGAAGGCCTGCTGGGGCTGGGCCAAGGTCATCCTGTGGCCTCCTTCATATTATGTGAGCAAGAAGTAGTGTCTACAGTTGTAACTTACCGGGATTTGGGGATTCATTACCACAGCTCAAAAATGTGGTGAGATGTAACTGATACATTTCCTGCCACGGTTCATTCATTCATTCACTTGTTTATTTATTTGCATATTGGATGTCTTTCCCCACTAGAATGAACTCTTCATGAGGGCAGTGAGTTTCACCAGCTTTGATTCTGGCCATCAGGAATCAATTACTTGTTGATAGAATCGTAATCCTGGGAATCAGATTGAGGCTATTTTTAAGTAGCAAACACATACAGAGCCATTCCACAAGTGTCAGTGAATGACTGACATAAGGTGCCATTTGGCCTTTGGATTATTTTCTGGTTGGTTTCACTTCTGTGTTTTACATACAGCCAGTCAAGCACTGAAACTATAGGAAGAAAGAGGGAATTATTGGAAGACAGTGTGGCTCTGAAGAGAATTAAAAACTGGTTTAACATGACATCTTACTAGCAGCCATTGAGTCACTGACTCTCGACTTCTCACTAAATACCTTTCAGAAAATGAAAATGACCAGAACACAGGGTACCCCTGAAAATTAGAAGGGCAGCCAAGCTTTTGCCCATCTGGGAAATATTTCTACAACTCTCAGACCCTTGAAGCTGGATTGAGAAAATACATACATCATCAATTCTAAGATGTTCTTTTTTTCTCAGGCATGAACATGTCTGACATCTGGATGGGTTTTACAATCCACAGCGTCTTCAGATGCCATGTAGTATGGTCATTTGGGGCATGGCCATGCTGCACCCCTTGCGTTGTTCCTTCAGGTTATGTCAATTACCAAAACACCCAGCAAACCCTAGCCAAGGAGGTGGCTGCAACTCCTGGAGCTGGGGCGTGGGTAGCACATGTGGACCCCACAGGCACAGCACTGCAGGTGGAAGCTGAAACAGAAGAGCCCTGATGGGAGCACACACTGCCAAGTGGAGTTTTCAAACCCCGTGTCAAAGAACCAGGAAGTCAGGGAGGAAAATGCCCCATAAAGCACTGCAGACTGGCAGGCAGCTGGGCATGAGAGAGTGCACAGCACAGGCACCATCCCCAGCCTCAGGATGCTCACAGTCTATCTGGGAAGACAGCATGAAACATACAAACACCTACGTAACTCATGAGTGTGCAAAATGCGGCAGGTGGCGTAGCCATGAGAGATCCACCAGGCAGCCTCTACCTGGCTGAGAAGATTGTACAGGGCTTGTGGAGAAAGCATCGTTTCCACCAAGACCTGAAGGATGATGGGCAGGGGTCAAGGGAGGTGTGTGTTGAAGGCCAAAGACCCTGAGCAGGAGTGAGCTTCTGTCAAGACACACCTGTCCCTCTTCCAGTAGGTCTGTGGCTTTCTTTTCAAGACGTCCTCAGTACATCTGGTGATCATTTGATTGAAAACCTTTATCTTTTCCCCAGGATAAACCAATTGTTCCTACACTTTTCCCAATGGTTAAATTCATCACCTTTATCACACATTAAATCCTTATAAAATGTTTTAAAAACATAATGTATTATTTGTATGGAACAAAATTACCCCCAAACTTAGCAGCTTAAAACAACAAACACTTATGATCTCTCTCTCTCTCTCTCTCTTTTTGAGATGGAGTCTTGCTCTGTCACCCAGGCTGGATTGCAGTGGCGTGATCTCGGCTCACTGCAACCTCCGTCTCCTGGGTTCAAGCAATTCTCCTACCTCAGCCTCCCGAGTAGCTGGGATTACAGGCACCTGCCACCATGCCCATGTGCAGCTAATTTTTGCATTTTTAGTAGAGATGGGGTTTCACCACATTGGCCAGGCTGGTCTCAAACTCCTAACCTCAAGTGATCTGCCGGCCTTGGCCTCCCAAAGTGCTGGGATTACAGGCGTGAGCCACTGCACCTGGCCAAACACTCATGATCTCATGCAGTCTGATGATCAGAAATCTGGGCGCTGCTCAGCCGCGTGGTCCTGCCCCCGGGTCTTACAGGTCATACACACGCTGTCGGCTGGAACTGCAGTCATCTCAAGGCTTGACTAGGACGGGGCTCTGCTTCCCAGATGGCTCACTCACATGTAGGATGATTACACCTCGTCCCCGGAGTTAGCGCTGAGAGGCTTGTGCCCTGGCTCACCCCGCAGTCCCGGGATGGTTGGTCACCCACACACGTTGACTGGAGCCCTTGACTCCACTGTGGCTTTTGGCAGAAGGCCTCCATTCTCATGGGGCTGCCACCTCAGCCACCTATTCCCTCCGGTACAAGGCTCCCAAGACTGTGGCGGATGGGAGGCAGAAGCGATTCAGGAGAGAGGCAGAGGCACCCGAAGACCTTTCGCAAAATTGAGCACAGGTTCAGCAACAAGGAACATGTGAATTACAGGAAACAAATACTGTCTTTTGTAGCCTAGGGTCAGAAGTGACGACTTCTGCGGTGTTCTATTGGCCCGCAGACCATCCCTGATTCACTGTGGGGTGGATTACACAGGAGCGGGACTACCAGGGGATGGGGATCACTGCAGGTCAACTTGTGGGCTGATACCACACATGAAAAATGTTGAGCTTTGCCAGTGATTAAAGAAACACGAAGTAAAACGGGGTGTGTGTGATTCTTCACCTTTTATAAATTTAGCAAAGTCATGGAGGCCATAATCCTAAGAGAATTAGTGCAGGAACAGAAAACCAAATACTGCATGTTCTCACTTGTAAGTGGGAGCTAAACACTGGGTACTGATGGACATAAAGATGGCAGCAATAAAAAAGTGGGGACTACTAGATGGGGGAGGGAGGGAAGAGAGCAAAGGCTGAAACACTCACTGTTGGGTGCTATGCTCACCACCTGGGTGACGGGATCATTTGTACCCCAAGCCTCAGCGTCACACAATATACCCAGGTAACAAACCTGCGCATGCACTCCCTGAATCTAAAAGAAAAGTTGAAACAAAATTTAGCAAAGGTCAAAGCAATGTCAAATACTCATGCTAACGGTACGTGAATTTGGTGTAACATGTCCAGAAGGCAGTTAGGCGTCACAGAAAAAGCCTGAAAAAGGCACACACCTATTGATTTAGTAATTTCTCTACTTCCAATGTATCCTGCAGAAGTAACCACGTGCTCAAAGAGTAAGGTATTAGCAAGCCTGTTCATCACAATATTGTTAGCAATGACAAAGGGCTCATAAACAAGTCCACAATAGGGGAACTGTTGAAATTATGTTATACTCATTCAATGGGACACATTTGCAGTCATGAAAAATTATACAGGGGAAAGTCATTTATTCACATGGAAAAATACACGATATGTTGATCAAAGCAGGTCACAGGCAAATTTGTACCATTCCTTCTCCAGGGGATTCCATTGTGTGTTTATGCCCAGATATCTTTATGCGTCTAGAAGACATTTGGAAGATACACATAAACCCGTTTATAGTGGGTGTGGAGGGACAGGTGGGATTCTGGCCATGTTCTCTTTGTTTTGCTTATCTTCACTCTCTGATTTCTCTGCAGTGCATTGCTGTTATAATAATTGTTCAATTTCGAGAACACAGGCTATATCATGTCCAAATCACTGTGGAACACAAAAGGCAATAAAACATTGCCATTTAGCAGGCAGTAGAAACAGTCAAAACATAAGGAAAAAACATAATGTATGTCAGAAGACCAACTTAATGTAATGACATCATATAGAAATAGATTAAAAGTCCACGTTAAAAAGATTCCAGGATTGAAACAATCATATGCTTTTGCCTAACTTGTCATTTACCTTAAACATTAGAATAAAGGGTCGAGCTGGGCTTGGTAGTGCTTGCTGTTGTCCCAATTACCTGGCAGGCTGAGGCGGGAGGGTTGCTTAAGCCCAAGAGTTCAAGACCAGCCTGGGCAACATAGAGAGACCTATACATAAAGGACTGGATAGACCTATACATAAAGGACTGGACAGAAACTGATCAGCAAGCAAACAGAAAGTGTCACCGTAATAATACTGATCCAGGTGAGGGAGAATTAGAGGCAAAAACAGTCAATGCATCAGGACTGGCTATCTGGTAAGAGGTTCAAGTACAGATCATGAATGTGTGTATGATCAATTACACGTAATCAAAAGTAGAAAGCAGAACCAGATGGACCTCATGGATAATTTAATAGGAAGGCAACAGGAATGAAAGACTTTGTTCTCAGCCTTTGACAGATGTACACAAAATTAAATGGCAGATATTGATATCATTGTAAAGGCATTATTAATAAACATCAAATTCAAAACGGGAGCACAGCCTTTTCAGGATTCCATAGAATGTTCAAAAAATTGAGTACCTACTACGCTACCAAGAACCCTCTGAATGTCAGAAAGCGCAGTACAGGCTATGGTCTGCGGCAGAAAGTTGGAAGTTAATGAGACCCTCTGAGGCACTAACAACAAAATCAACAATCACCACCACCACCTTTCTAGGCAAAGCTTCTTTCCTGAACTTTCTTCTTGTGTTCCTGGCCCGTGTATCCAACCGTCAGCTAATGTCTCCACCTCCAAGCCACAGCCATCTCCTGTTCATCATCCCTGAGTCTTTTTCCATCCTCTTTTTTACCACTCTACCCCTCTCCAGTCCCGCCTGTGTCAACAGTACCCTCAGGGAGGAGTCATGAGTGTGGGTTTGGCATCTGCTACTGCCTGTGCACCCCCAAATCATTCCTAGGGACACCTGCCTGAGCCCCAGCCATCTGTATTTGCCCTCCCACTTCCTCAATGTCCTTGGGCACTAAAACTCCCCTGGAGGAGCAGGGGTGGGGAGGAATAGAAAGCAAGGAGTGGTGAAATGGCCACCTCCTGCGTCCTTTAGTTCTTATTGCAGTAGTTAGGATGGCATTTGGGTACTTCAATAGAGACAGCCTGAGCCCCCAGAGCTTCCCAATGGTAGAAACTGATTTCTCTTTTCTCTTCACATTGGCGGTCTGAAGGTGCTCCCACATCAGGGATCCATGCCCCTACCATCTTGTTGTTTTCTTTTCCTCAGCATGTGGCTTCCATCTCGTGGGCTGACATGGTTGCCATAACTCCTGCTGTCACATCCACATCCCCACTTGGCCACTCCTGGCCTCTGGAAAGTCTTGTGCCAACATGGCCACATGCCCAGCCCAGTCCTTATGCCTTCCTGTGCCCATGCCTCACACGATATCATACTTTCCCATCTCTTTCTGTCTAAGAGTGATCCATACACACCCATGATCTGATCTATCCCTGCCGATTCCTTTCTTTCTTATTGTGTTCCACACCCACACATGATCTGGCCTACACTCCTCCTTCTGCCTTGCTGTGTTCCATATCCACACATGGTCTCGATCTGCTCATCTCTTTCCGTCTTTCTGTGATCCACACCTACATATGGCATAATCCCAGCCCATCTTACTGTCTTACACTAATATATGCCCACCCATGTACTGCTCCCTGCCTGGCACTTCCTGTTTTTCTATCTATCATCCCACATGTGACCTGGGCCTTGCCCCACACATTTCTTTCCTGCTGCGATCCATCCACACACACAGTCTGGTCTATCCCTGCCCATTTCTTTCTTTTTCTAGCGAACCATACCCACACATAATCTGGCCCTGCCCATCTATTTCTGTCTAACCATGATTCCTACTCACATATGATCTGGCTCTGCCCATCTCTTTCTGTTTTCCTGTGATACAAATCTATATATTATCTCTGACCGCGATTTTTGTCTTAGTGCAATCCACACCCAATCGTGAATTTATCCCTACCCATCTCTTTTGGTCTAAATGTGATCTATCCATGCATATGATTTGGTCTCAGCTTACACATGCATTTCGGTCTTCCTGTGGTCCACACCAACACATGGTGTAATCCTTGCCCATCTCTTTTTTTCTTAATATGATCCATACCCAGGCACTACTGTGTCTCTGCTCTTCTATTTCCATCTTTCCCACACATGATTTGATCTCTGCTACTTTCTCTCTTGCTTCCTGTTTTCTGTACCCACATAAGGTCTGTTCCTACTGTTCCCCTTCTAAATGTGATCCACATCAACACATAGCCCTGCTCAGCTCTGTTTCTGGCTTCCTGTGATCCATGCCTGCACGTGATCTGGACATGCAGATCTTTCTTTCTTCCTGTGTTGCATACCCACACAGGATCTGTCATTGCCCTTCACTTTCTGTCTTCCTGTTCCCCGTACCCATACAGGATCTGGCTCTGTCCATCTCCTACTGTCTTCCTGAGATTCACAGCAAGACACGATCTGGCTCTGCCCATCTCTTTCTTTCTGTCTTTCTGTATTCCATATCTACACAAGATCTGTCATTTCCTCTCCGTTACTGTGATCCTGTGCTCCAAAACCACACATGATCTGGCTGTGCCCATCTCTTTCTGTGCTCCTGAGAACTATACCCACATATAATCTGGCTCCATCCTTCCCTTCTGTCTTCCTGAGACCAACACCCACACATGGTTTTGTGCTGCCCATGTCTTACTGTATTCCTGAGGATCACACCCACATAGGATCTGGCTCTGGCCACCTCTTTGTCTTTCTAAGATTCACACCCACAAATGATGTGGCTCTGGCCATCTCTTGCTGTCTCCCTGAGATCCACATGCACACATGATCTGGCTCTGCCCATCCCCTTTTGTCTTCCTGTGATTCAGACAAACCCACTATGTGTCTCTGCCCGTCTTTTCCTGTGTTCCTGGATACATACCCAGAAATGATCTGGTTCTTCCCAACTCTTTCTTTCTGTGTTCCATACACGTGCATGATCTGTCATTGCTTGTCATGTACTGTTTTCCCGTGATACATGATCTGTCATTGCCCTTCACTCACTGTCCCCCGATCCATACACACATGATCTGGCACTGCCCATCTCTTTCTGTCTTTGTGATATTCATGCAAAAACATGATTTGGCTCTGTTCATCTCTTTCTTTTTTTTTTTTTGCTGAGATCCATACCCACATGTGGTCTGTCCATTCCAACTATTGCTGTCTTCCTTAGATCCATACCGGCACATGATATGGCTCTGTCCATCCCTTTTTGTTTTCCTGTGATTCATGCCACACATGATCTCACTCTGCTCATCTCCTACTGTATTCCTGAGATTCATAGCTACATATGATCTGGCTCTGTTCATCTCTTACTGTCTTCCTGTGATCTATACCCACACATGATCTGCCTCTGCACATCTCTTACTATCTTTCTGTGTGGGATACTCACATATGATCTGTCATTTCCTACCAGTTACTGTTTTCCTGTCCTCTATACCCACATATGATCTATCTCTGCCTATCTCTTTGTCTTCCTAATATTCATATCCACACATGATCTGCCTGTGCTCATCAGTTTTTGTCTTCCTGTGATCCATACCCACACATTGTTTTATCTGCCCATTTCTTTTTTGTGGGGAAGGGGAGAAATTAAACCTTATTTATTTTAAAAACCAAACAACTAGGAAAATATATCACTGCCTGGAAACAGTGAACAGACAGGCTATATTATCATTTCAAGAAATAACCTGGTAAAACTGCAATGAAGTTGCTATCAAAACAATCAGGTGCCATGCTAGGGCATGAACACTGTGTGTTGCAAAGGCCCCAGGCAAAAATGGTCTTTGGTAATCGGGGACTGCCCCTCCTTTGCTACAGCTTATCTTAGCCCAAGTTGCTTACTTTCTCTTCCTTGAACTTCCTGTGGTCAGGGGTTTGTCTCAATTGGGCTCTGTTCATTCAGGGGCTATGTAAGCAATGCTGGATTTAGGCTTTCATTGCATTCTGTTCTATGAAAACCAGGTTTTTCCAAATCCACTACTTCACAACTCTCTTATAATCAACCAAGTAGCCAGCAACTCCTTCTTTCCTGCTCATTCCTGGATACTGGTATACATCACAACCAAAACCTCCTTTTCTTCCAGGGGAAAATGTGAGGGGAAGATCGTCCTGTCATTCTTCAGCAGACAGCCTCAGGGCCCATCGGCCAATAAGAGGGAAGCTCTGTTTCCCATAATTAGTGTGATGTCACTGCTCATGTTTTTGTGTGGTCCCCAGGCTGAAAGATGCAGTGTGTAAGAATTTTAAGAAGTGCACATCCACACCTTGATGGCCAGAAGAGGGTATCCACAAGGAACCTTTCAAACTTCTTATCTAAACTACTCTCCCTCCCAATTGCACATCTTAAAATCAACTTTATGCCCTTGAGTAAATAATTTTAAAAACCAAGGAAACAAAGACCCTGAAAACTCTTTTCCTCTTCCAAGTTAGTGTCCTCATGGATTTTGTTGCCCAGCTTCTGGAAAATGGTGTGGTGATGCCTCTGGGAAACAGGAGGTTGGCAACGAACAGAAACAGCTCTCCTCAAACTCCACCGAATCTGCCCTACCAGCCTGGTGGGCCCTGTGGAGGAAGAAGAATTTGGTCCTGCAGAGGGGTCTGGCTTGTGACAAGGGAGATCCCTACTGCCAGGACGAGCCCTGGCCACAGAAAATATCGACTTGAAAATATTTTCCTGTAATATCTCTGACCCAAATTTTAGCACCGTTTTTTTCCATTTCACTTTTTAGGATTGAACCAGTTTCCAGAGGCAAGTGGCATATGCCTTACACTTGGTGCCATCCTTAATTTCTTCATTCATGAACTTGGCTTAAAAGATTAAACTTCCCATTCCTTTTAAAAATATATTTTTGCACTCAGCCCCCATGGCCACTGGCAAAGACTTTTATTTCCCAGTGGATAAGAGAGACACCTTCCTTGCCTTGCTCATGGTCTGGATGAGGTGCGTGTGGCCATCCACACCCTTGGTCACACAATCTTCCAGTGGCTGCTTCACCTGCAGCTCCTTCCTCCCTGCATCTGTTGAATCTTTGGCTTTGTCATTGCAATGCATGGTACACCCGGTCAGGCAGTCCTGGAACTTCTCCAGCTAGCTGGTCCCCAAGGCTTGGGCTTGAGCCAGAGGCGCATGCCAGCACTCAATGCACCGGTGCACCTGCTGCATGTGCACAACAGCTGGTGCTGCACCAGAACATGAGGCCCTGCAGCTTCCGGATGGTCTATCTCTCCAGACTCTTCACCATGGAGTCCACCTCCTGCACCTGCAGCTGCTGCACCTCCACTACGACGAGTCTGCACTGCCCCCCTATTTCTTACTATCTTCCTGTGTTCCATGCCCACACATGATCTGCCTCTGCCCATCTCCTTCTGTCTTCCTGAGGTCTCTGCTGACACATGACCTGGGTATGCTCATCTCTTTCTTTATTTCTGTGTTCCAAATCCCATATGTTCTGTAATTGTCCTTCAGTTAGTCACTTTCAGTGATCCATACCCACACATGATCTACTCTACCCATCTCTTACTGCCTTCCTCACATTCATAGCACACATGATCTAGGTCTGCTAATCTCTTTCTGTCTGTCTGTGTACCATATCCACACATATTCTGCCATTTCCTATCATCAGTTACTGGATTCCTGTGCTCCATACCCACACATGATCTGACTCTGCCCGTCTCCTTCTGTCTTTCTGAGCCTCATACCCACATATGACCTGGTTCTGCCCATTTGCCTGGGCCTTCCTGAGCCTCACACCCACTGATGATCTGTATCTTGTCACCTCTTCCTGTCTTCCTGAGCCTCACACCCACACATGATCTGCCTCTGATCACCTCTGTCTGTTTTCTATGCCTCCCCCACACACGTGATCTGTGATTTCCTATCAGTTAATACTTTCCTGTGTTCCATACCCACACATGATCTGGCTCTGCTCATCACATTCATTCTTCCTGAGGTCCATACTCATACATGAAGGGACACTTTTACTGTCTTTCTGACATTCATACCCACACACGACCTGCCTCTTTCCATTGCTTACTGACTCCCTCATAGTCATACTCACACATTATATGATTCTGCCCATCTCCCACTATCTCCCTGGAATTCACACCCAAACATGATCTGCCTCTGCCCATCTCTTACCTTCTTTCTGACATTCATATGCACACATGATGTTTTGCCCATCTGCCCATCTCTTACTGTCTTCGTGTCACTCATACCCACACATGATCTGCCTCTGCCCATCTCTTGCTGGCATCCTGACATTGATACCCAACATACCTGTCTCTGCCCATCTCTTTCTTCCTGACATTCATACACACACATGATCTGCCTCTGCCCATCTCTTACTGTGTTCATGACATTCGTACTTGCACATGATCAATTTTGCCCATCTCTTCCAGTCTTCCTGACATATATCCTCGCATATGATCTGCCTTTCCCCATCTTTTACTGTCTGCTTGACATTCCTCCCCGCACATGATTTGCCTCTATCTTTGCTGTCTTTCTGAAGTTCATACTCACACATGATCTGACTCTGCTCATCTCTTACTGTCTTCCTGGAATTCATACCCACAGATGCTCTGCCTCTGTTTATTTCTGACTGTCTTTCTGACATTCATATTTACAAATAATCTGCATTTTCCAGTCTCTTACTATATTCCTAAACATTCATACCCACACATGATCTGCCCCTGCCCATGTTTTACTGTCTTCCTGACAGTCATACCCATACATGATCTTCCTCTGCCCATATCTTGTTGTCTTTTTGACATTTATACACACACATGATATGACTCTGTGCATTTTTTGTCTTCCTGAGACTCATTTCCACACAGGATCTGGCTATGTTCATAAGTGTCAGTCATACTGTGTCATATGCACACATAATCTCTCCCTACCCATGTTTTTCAGTTTTCCTGTCATCCATACCCATCTATTACTTGGCTATCTCCATCTTTTTCATACTTTCTCTGTTCCATTCTCTGATACGATTTTTCACTTGTCTTCACTTTGTCTTCCTGTGACCCATTCCCACAAAAGATCTGGTTCTTCGCTACAAATTCTGTCTTCCTGAAACGCACACCCACTTATTGCCTGGCACTGCTGATTTCCTACTGTCTTCCTAAGATTCCTACCTACACAAGAAGGGGCTATGCCCATTCCATTCTTGTTTGTTTCTTTCATACTCACACGTGATCTGCCTTTGCCCATCTCTTATGTCTTCCTGACATTCATAATACACATTATCTGCCTCTGACCATCTCTGTCTTCCTGACATTCATACTCACACTTTATCTGCCTCTGCTCATCTTTTACTGTTATCATTCATATCACACATAATGTGCCAGGCATATCTTTTACTGTCTTCCTGAGGCTCTTGCCACACCTGATCTACCTCTGCTTATCTCTTACTGTCCTGATGTTCATAGCCACACATTATCTGCCTCTGCCCATCTACACCTGATCTACGTCTGCTTATCTCTTACTGTCCTGACGTTCATAGCCACACATTATCTGCCTCTACCCATCTCTTACTGCCCTTCTGATATTCATTCCTACATGTGACCCGCCTCTGCCCATCTCTGTTTTCCTGACATTCACAGCCACACATGATATGTCTTGTCCTACTCTTACTGTCATCCTGACCTTCATACCAAAGGTGATCTGCCTCTCCACTTCTTACTATCTTCCTGACATTCACACCACACGTGACGTGCTAGGCTTATCTTTTACTGTCGTCCTGACATTCATACCACACCTGATCTGCCTCTGCCCATATCTTACTGTCTTTTTGACATTCACACCAACACATGATCTACCTCTGCCAATGCCTTTCTGCATAATTGACATTCATAACCACACATGATCTGCTCTACCCACCACTTACTTGCTCCCTGACATTGATACCACATTGATCTGCCTCTGCCCATCTGTTACTGTCATCCTGACATTCATACCACACATGACCTGCCTCTGCCCATCTCTAACCGGTTTTGTGAGACTCATACTCACACATGATCTGTCTCTGTCCATGCCTTACTGTCTTCCTGACATTCACATCCAAAGATGATTTGCCACTCTCCATGTCTTACTGTTTTCCTGAGATTCATACCCACTCATTATCTGCTCTGCCCATCGCTTCCTGTCTTCCTGACATTCATACCACACATGATCTTCCTGTGCCCACCTCTTATTGTCTTCCCGACTTTCATACCCACACATGATCTGCCTCTGCCCATTTCTTACTGTCTTCCTGACACTCATGCCACACATGATCTGCCTGTACCCATCTGTCACTGTCTTTTTGACACTAATACTCACACACGATCTGCCTCTGCCCATGTTTTATTGTCTTCCTGACATTCATAACCACACAAGATCTGCCCCTGCCCATCGCTTACTGTCTTCCTGAAATTCATATCACACATGGTCTGCCTGTGGCGGTGTCTTACTTTCTTTCTGACATTCATGCTACACATGACATGCCCCTGCCCATCTCTTCCTGTCTTTTTTTACATTCATACACACACACGATCTGCTCTGCCCATCTCTTAGTCTCTTTCTGACTTTCATACCACACATGATCTGCCTCTGCCCATGTCTTATTGTCTTCCTGACATTCATATTCACACAGGATGTGCCTCTGCCCATCTCTTACCTTCTTTCTGACATTCATATGCCCACATGATGTTTTGCCCATCTCTTCCTGTCTTCCTGACATCCATACCACACATGATCTGCCTCTGCCTATCTCTCTCTGGTTTTCTGACATTCATACCACACATGACCTGTATCTTGCCATCCCTTGCTGTCCTCCTGACACTCATACACACACATAATCTGCTTCTGCCCAGCTCTTATGGTCTTTCTGACATTCATAAATATACATGACCTGCCTTTGCAAATTCTTTACTGTCTTCCTGACATTCATAACTACGCATGATCTGTCTCTGTCCATTTATTACCATCTTTCTGACACTCATACCCACGCATGATCTGCTGTGCCCATCTCTTCCTGTCTTCCTGTCATTGATACCACACATTATCTGCCTCTATCTCTTACTTTCTTCCTGACATTCATACCCACACATGATCTGTCTCTGGCCATCTCTTACTGTTTTTGTGTCATTCATACCCACACGTGATCTGTCTCTGCCCATCTCTATTTTCATGACATTCAGACCACACGTGATATGCCACTGCCCATCTCTTACTGTCTTTGTGACATTCAGACCACACATAATCTGCATTTACCGGTCTCTTACTGTCTTCCTGACACATATACTCACATATGATCTTCTCTGCCCACCACTTCCTTCCTTCCTAACATTGACACCACACACGATCTGCCTCTGCCCATCTCTTACAGTCTTCCTGACATTCATACCCATGCATGATCTGTCTCTGCCCATCTATTACCATATTTTTGACATTCATACCCACACATGATCTGCTCTACCCATCTCTTCCTGTCTTCCTGACATTGATATCACACATGATCTGCCTCTACCCATCTCTTACTGTCTTCCTGACATATATACTCACATATGATCTGCTCTGCCCATCACTTCCTTTCTCACATTGATACCACACATGATCTGCCTCTACCCATCGCTTACTGCTTCCTGACTTGCATACCACACATGATCTGCCTCCACCCATTTCTTACTGTCTTCTTGACATATATACTCACATATGATCTGCTCTTCCCATCGCTTACTGTCTTTCTGACATTCACGCACACACGTCTGCCCCTGCCCTTCACTTACTGTCTTATTTTCCTTCATACCCACCCGTAATCTGCATCTGTCCATATCTTACTCTCTTCCTGATACTCATAACAACACATTATCTGCTCTGCCCACCTATTACTGCCTTCCTTACATGCATCCCCACACATGCTCTGCCTCTACACATCTATTACTGCTTTTCTGACATTCATAGCAACACATGCTTTGAGGCTGTTCTGCTCTTACTGCCTTCCTGATATTCATGCTCACACATGATCTGCATCTGTCCATCTTATACTGTCTTCTTGACATTCATATGCACACATGGTGTGCCTCTATCCATCTTTTGCTGTCTTCCTGCCATTCATACTTACACATGATCATCCTCTGCCCATCTCTTCCTGTCTTCTTGACATATATCCCCGCAGATGATTTGCCTTTACCCATCTTTTACTGTCTTCCTGACATTCATCCTTATACATGATATCCCTCTGTTCATTCTTTGCTGTCTGCCTGACATTCATACCCACACATGATCTGCCTCAGTTCATCTCTTACTGACTTCCTGACATTCATAGCCAGACATGTTTTGACTCTGTCCATTTCTTACTGTATTCTTGACATTCATACCCACACATGAGCTGCCTTCTCCCATCTCTTACTGCCCACCTGACATTCATACTCACTTGATCTGCCTCTTCCCATCTCTTTCTGTCTTCCTGACATTCATACTCACATATGATCTCCATCTCCTCATCTCTTACTGTGTTCCTAACATTTATGCCCACACATGATCTTTGTCTGTCCATGTCTTACTGTCTTCCTGAAATTCCTACCCACACATATTTTTACTGTCCATCTCTTACTGTCTTCCTGACATTCATACCACACATAATCTGTTTCTGCCTATCTCTTACTGTCTTCCTGACCTTCATACCCACACATGATTTGCTTCTTCCAATCCTATTGTCTTCCTGACATTCATACCCACACATGATCTGCCTCTGCCCATGTCTTACTGTCTTTCTGACATTCGTACCCACACATGATGTGGCTCTGACCATCTCTTCCTGTCTTCCTTTCATTGGTACTCACACAGGATCTGCCCCCCCACCCCCCTTCTCTTCTGTCTTTCTGTGCTCCATCCTCACACCTCTTCTGCTCCTGTCCGTGTCTTTCTGTTTTAGTAGGGTCCATATCTACCCGTGATGTGTTTCCTTCCCTTCTCTCGTTGTCTTACTTGATTCTGACCCTTACTGAATATTCGACCCATCCTTCTCCTCTCGGCCACTCTTGTGAAGCTGCCCTGGCCATTTCTCCAAGGCTTCCGCATGTCCAGCTTCCTCCTGAATTCAGGCCTCGCCTTGCAGTGGCTCTTCCTGGGTTTCTCTGTTCCCAGGTGTTGGGGCTTCTTCCTCTTTGAACAATTCATGTCTCAGTTCCAATGTGGCCTCTCAGAGAAGTCTTCTGTGACTGTCCTTCTTGGCACGTCCTCCCTTCCTTGTCATCCCCTTTCACACGCCTTCGGAAAGAATTTTGTTCATTTCTGTTTTCCCTCCCCTTGCTGACCAGAAGGTCAAGGTCAAGGCCTGGTGTGTGCGGCTGCCTGGTGTGTGCGGCTGCCCGCTCTGTCCCCGCCTCTCTCTGTCCCCGCCTCACGATTGTGCATGGCGCCCTGGAGGTGCTCAGTGAGGATGTGTTCAATGAAGAAGTGAATTCTAGGAGTCAAGACACAGCTCAGCAGGAGTGGCCATGCACGCTGAAATTCACGGGACCCCAAGGCAGAGGAAAGCTGGGAGGAGCCAGTGGATTTGGACTGCAGAAAGCCGGTGGTCGGCTGTGGCTAACTGCGCTTGCAGGACCCACGAGGCGGAAGGTGGTGGAAGGAGGGACTGGGGGGTGGGTTCAGGGAGGAAAAGAAACGTGAGAATTTGAGTGGCTGGAGAAGAAAACATGCGGCCGCAAGCGTGTGAGGCAAGCCTCGGGCCAGGGGCTTGGCTGTCCTTCGTGGTGGGCTGGTCCTGCTGTCGTGTTGCCATCGGGGGTGGGAGCTGGGGCTCCTGGCCTGTAGACAGGGCTTGGCTTCAGGCACCAGGAGCCGCTGTCTACACGTAAGAGAGGCGCGAAGAGCTCAGGTTGGAAGGGGGTTGTTTAGAGGACACCGTGCCCCGAGGCAGGTTGAGAGGCAGGAGGACTGCTCAGGTGGGATTCGCGGGTGATGGCCGGGGGCTCAGTGAGAGGGCTGGGGAGCTTGATCTCCTGGTGCAGCGGCGGGGCTGGAGAGGGCAGTGAAAATGGAGACCATCAGAGATAGCCCTTGGGCCACGGGGCCGGGGTCCAACAGCAGTTGGCGTCATTTTGCAGGGGGAGGAGTCGTGGAGCCTGGAGGGGAGGTGCAGAGGCTTCTCAAGCTGTCCACGGGGGGTGCCAGGGTCAGGGGGCCACAGAGAGCAGAGGCCCAGCACTGGAAGCCAGGGAGGCGGGAGTCCAGGACAGGGTGCCCCTTGGGTGAAGGCAACACACAGACTCCCGTACCAACACGTGCGCGGGTCACCAAACCCACACCAAGTCAGAAATTCCAGTGCACGCAGACGGTCTACCAGTTCCTGCTGGGGGCCTGCGGAGGGCCCATGGGCGCCGCCTGTTCTCAGGACTGGCTCCCGCTGGCTTGGCCCTGTCCACGGAGGCCCCTCCATGGCGCTTTCCATGCCTCTCCTTTCGGGGACCCTCCTCTGTCCAAGAGCCTCAGAGCCTTTCGGAAAAGGGTTGGAGAGGGAAAGACCTGCCCAAAGCACTCAGGGCTGGGCCCCCCTCCTCTACCACCTCTGCCTGTGTGGCTTTGTCACAGGGCTCAGGCAATCCGAGTCTGTTTTCTGCTTGGTCCAACGAGGATCACCCCTCCCCCAAGGGTTGTGACAGTTCAGAGAGATCAAGATGGGAAAGCATCTTGTCCCAAAGGGTGCCCACCCTGTCCCTGCTTGCCTTCTTGCCTTTCCCACACCCAGGCCCCACTGCTTCCTTTTCTACAGCCTGGCCACAGCTCACCCCACCACACGCAGTGAAACTGCAGCCCCAGGAAGCCTTACTATTAAGGAAGACTTTCAATTCCTTCTTCAAATTCTTTTGAGCTTGGGTGTTGGAGTCACTAGCTATGGGTTCTGGGTGTCTGTTTCTCTATCTATAAAGTGAGGCTGGGAGGATCTCATACATTGGTATGGACTATGTTCACATAGTGTCCTGGGTTAGAGTATCACTTTTTACTGACTGTGAAAACAGCTGAATTATTGGACTCTTTCTCCATTTTGCTCACTCCATTCCTGGGGAAATGGATGGGATTTTTTTCTGATCAGTAAATTTGGGAACAGTAGATTAGGCAATAATCTGTCCAGGTCCATCTTCTGCTTCTGGGGTTTCTGGGTGGGTGAGCCTGGCTAATACCGGAATCCTCTTGCAGACCTCTTGCACTCTCATGTTCAACTGCATCCTCTAGTGGGAGAAAGATGATATTTTAGCCTCCATCTTTACTCTTTTATTTCTCAACTTTTTAGGACCTGGGGGGCAAAGAAAAGAGGGATGATATTTATTGCAGCCCCCTTGGAAAGTAGGTGTCTAATCTCTCTCTCGCTCTTTCTCTCTCTCTCTCTCATACACACACACACACTCACACATAGAGTCAGTCATCAGATTCTGTTGCCTCCTTCTCCAAAACACAGCTGATTCTGTCCATCCCTTTTGTCTTCATCTCTTGCTGCATCATTTTACAGACATTAGCTACCCACATTTAGGGTCAATAATGGCTATCTTCTCCAGGTTGTTATGCGCCATGAATCTAAAATAACTTTTATGTAACCTGAATACATAATCATAATAGTGTCCCTCAGATCTCTAATATGACTCTTTCCTACCTGGCTAAACTCATTTCCTACTTATTCTGACCCACACACTTTGTGCCAGCCAACTTATCTTTATACTGTTTCGATTTTCTGAACACAGACCTTCCTCTCACCTCAAAACCATTTGAAATAGATAAAGCAGCTCTTTTCTCTTGTATACTAAAGATACCTCCAATGATCCCTGCTCCCTGGTTTCTGTACCCTTGTGCAATCCTCTCCCATTCAGTGTAACTTGGACTTACTGAATCCCCTTAAGGACAGACGTGATGAGATGTCAATTCTGCAATTAGATTTTAAATGCTATGGGCTCTGTCTTAGACATTTTTTCAAATAGCTTGCTCTAGAGGAAGTCAGCTGCCATGTCATGTGGCATCCCAAGAGTTGCACATGCAAGGTCCAAGGTTGGCCTGCAACTTTGCAGGTGAGCTTGGAAGTGGATTCCTACCCCATCACCCACTGAACTTTCAGATGAGATCTCAACCAGCTTGACTGATACCTCAGGAGAGATCCTGAGCCAGAACCACCTGTCTAAGTTGGGGTTGGGCTCCTGACCCATAGAAACTGGGAGATAATCAATGTTGTTCTGCAGCAATACATAACTAAAACAATGACTTCCTGCTTTTTCTGTCTTTTTTTTTTCAGGGTTTTGCTCTGTCACACAGGCTGTAGTACCACATGGGTGTCATCATTGAGAAGTATTTATTGAGTGATGATTACTGTTTTTTAATGTTGCATCTTCTTTTATTAATTTATGTCTCAACATATTTCATAAGTGAGCCTGGCTGCTTGTGAAATCAATAGCAATGCTTCCGTTAGAAAAAGTGCAGGTACACAAGAAATGACTGGTCAGAAATGTGATCTGCAGTGGCACGATCACAGCTCACTGCAGCCTCCTCCTCCCTGGGCTCAGGTGATCCTCCCCCCTCAGCCTCCCAAGTTGCTGAGACTACAAGTGTGTGCCACCATGCCTGGCTAATTTTTGTACTTTTTGTAGAGATAGGGTCTAGCCTGGGTTCCCCAGGCTGGTCTTGAACTCTTAGGCTCAAGTGACCCTCCTGCCTTGGCCTCCCAAAGTGCTGGGATTACGGGAAAGAGCCACTACACCTGGCCTCCTGCCTTGTTTCTAAAGACAAAAAATGTGTTGGATTACTAATCTCTTTTCCCCAAATCTCACTGCCAAGTTGTCCTCCCTTTGATTTCCTCTCTCCACTGGTAATAACCATAGAATCTGATGGAAAGCTGTCTGTTGCTTATAAGTGCACAGGAAATTCTTGATGGCTGGTTTTTGATTAAAGTCCTAATCTGTTAAATCTGAACTCTGGAAATCTTTGCAGAAAGTCCCAGTGAGATTTTGAAGGAGTGAATACACTTTCCTCAAAGTGAAAATATGCAAAGTTCCTTCTTGGTGTGTGAAACGTTTGATATGCGCAACCTGCTCTGGTAGTTATTTTTAGATCTTCTCTGTTGTGGAGTGCCTGGGTCTTGTTTTCACTTGTCTTTTGGTGTTTGTGTGTGACTGAATGAGGTCAATTCCAAGGAAGAATAAGGAGTTGCTGAATATGCTTTAGGGGGCAGTTATGGATATTTAGATTTATTTCTTTTCCCCCCTTTTGTTCTTAAAAAATTGGTTTTTGCTGTTTACTTTCTCTATACATGAGTGTACATCTTATTCCTGTATGTGAAGTTTAGCTATAATATATAGTCAGCATTAGTGTCACCATTGAGAAATATTGAGTGAAGAGTACTGTTTTCTAATGTTGCATCTTGCTTTATTAATTTATGTATCAACGTATTTCAGAAGACAGCATGGCTGCTTGTTAAATCAATAGCAGTGCTTCTGGTAGAAAAAGTGCAGGTACACAGGAAATGACTCTGGTGAGAAAGGAGTGCCCTGTTATACCCTTTCCTGAGCTACCTAGGGCAGTCAGTGACACATGAGCATCCCTCTATCAGGAGACTGTCGAGAGGCCCTGGCCAGAGTAAGGAACGGTGGCCATCAGCATTGAGTTCCACTCCAGATATTGTCAAATGTGTGTATTACCTGCTAAATGGATATACTTATGACGATAGTGCAAAGGATTTTCAGCCTTATTATTATGTCATCATAAGTGAACTGCCTGATTCAGATGTGGTTTGAATCAATATGCTCATATTGGTCAGGATAAATCATGCTATGCTGCAGTAACAAACAAAGCCTGAAATCCCAGTAGCTTTGCTTGTTCTCTCAGGCAAAGTCTAGTTCTCTGTAGGTGCTGCTTCTTTGTGTGGCTCTGTTCTATTTTTTTTTTCGGGGGGAGCGGGAGCTGTGCTATTTTAACACATGGCCTCTAGGACCATCACATCAAGGGAAGAGAAAAGGTGGAAGGTAGTTCAGGGTCTTTTTGTTGCTTCAGTCCAGAGGTGACATGTCGTGGCACTGCTACTCAGATCCCACTGGGAGAACTAGTCATATGACCTTGCTTAAGTACAAGAGAGCTGGGAAGAGTAGTTTTCCCAAAAAGAGGAAGAGGGAAATGAATGATTTGGTGATACAAATAGCATTGTTTCTACCACAAAGCTTTAAACGTTTTTCACACTAAAGTAATTGCAAACATGCTTTTGAGATGGGCCAGTTTGGTGTTTTGAGTGACACTTGTGGGGTGTAGTGCATAGGTGTGCAAAGGTGACTGGAGGGAGTGGTGTCTGGCTGGAGCCCACCTGTTGCTCCTAAGGAGGGTAGTAATCCTTCCAGTTCTTGTGTGCAAGGTTTTATGCCTTATGTTACAGATTTTCCAATGTTTAAAAGGAAAATGGAAATGCAGATCTTCATGTAAAATCCCCCAATCTTAAAATGTAGTCTTAAATATAGGGAAAAAAAAGCCAAACAAAATGTGCTTACAGGACTAATTTGTCCTATGTGCTGCCAACGTAAGATTGTAGCTCTTTGTCCTAGGAACTTGGGATCTTGAATGGCCCTCTATTTATCTGTGGGGTAGAGCAAACCTTGAATTCCTCAGAAGTATCTTGGCTCTGCCTGTGAGCATTCTCTCAGTTCAGGTTCAAGTTGTTCATCCTCACATTATTCCATACTCAACTGACTGCTGGAGCACTTGGGGCCATACTTAAAGTTCAACACATATTCCCTGCATTCCAGGTCATTGCCAGGCTATGCAATCTAGAAACGTTTGGTAAACCACAGATATTGGACATGATTGGAACACAGAATGGATATTGGGGAATTGTTATGAACTTGGAGAGCTAAGCACGGCCTGGAGCAGGAAGGAACTTGGGTAGGTTTTGAAGGGGATCCTAAGAGCCATAAGGATAAATTGAAGGTGGTGATCAATGTGGGGAGGCAACATGATCAGATCCGCATTCTAGACAGGTCATTCTGGGAGCTCTTGGGGTGGAGATGGGAGCTTTCAGCCAACAGGAGCTGACCATCTGTTCTGTGCCCTACCTGAGATGCACATCCCATCCACGTATGTTCCTTGGGGTCCACTCAAGGGATTTCTTCCTGCCTTTTTCTGGGCTGTGCTCAGAAGAGCAAGTGTCCTTCTGAGAGTAGCCCAAGTTGTTGGGTTAATGACCTCGAGTGAAGCATGACTCTCTCTTTAAAATGGTAGAGGAAAGTACTTTCTTTTTTTTTTTAATTATTTATTATTATTATTATACTTTAAGTTTTAGGGTACATGTGCACAATGTGCAGGTTAGTTACATATGTATACATGTGACGTGCTGGTGCGCTGCACCCACTAACTCGTCATCTAGCATTAGGTATATCTCCCAATGCTATCACTCCCCCTTCCCCCCACCCCACAACAGTCCCCAGAGTGTGATGTTCCCCTTCCTGTGTCCATGTGTTCTCATTGTTCAGTTCCCACCTATGAGTGAGAATATGTGGTGTTTGGTTTTTTGTTCTTGCGATAGTTTACTGAGAATGATGATTTCCAATTTCATCCATGTCCCTACAAAGGACATGAACTCATCATTTTTTATGGCTGCATAGTATTCCATGGTGTATATATGCCACATTTTCTTAATCCAGTCTATCATTGTTGGACATTTGGGTTGGTTCCAAGTCTTTGCTATTGTGAATAATGCCGCAGTAAACATATGTGTGCATGTGTCTTTATAGCAGCATGATTTATAGTCCTTTGGGTATATACCCAGTAATGGGATGGCTGGGTCAACTGGTATTTCTAGTTCTAGATCCCTGAGGAATCACCACACTGACTTCCACAATGATTGAACTAGTTTACAGTCCCACCAACAGTGTAAAAGTGTTCCTATTTCTCCACATCCTCTCCAGCACCTGTTGTTTCCTGACTTTTTAATGATTGCCATTCTAACTGGTGTGAGATGGCATCTCATTGTGGTTTTGATTTGCATTTCTCTGATGGCCAGTGATGGTGAGCATTTTTTCATGTGTTTTTTGGCTGCATAAATGTCTTCTTTTGAGAAGTGTCTGTTCATGTCCTTTGCCCACTTTTTGATGGGGTTGTTTGTTTTTTTCTTGTAAATTTGTTGGAGTTCATTGTAGATTCTGGATATTAGCCCTTTGTCAGATGAGTAGGTTGCAAACATTTTCTCCCATTTTGTAGGTGGCCTGTTCACTCTGATGGTAGTTTCTTTTGCTATGCAGAAGCTCTTTAGTTTAATTAGATCCCATTTGTCAATTTTGGCTTTTGTTGCCATTGCTTTTGGTGTTTTAGACATGAAGTCCTTCCCCTTGCCTATGTCCTGAATGGTAATGCCTAGGTTTTCTTCTAGGGTTTTTATGGT
Organism: Homo sapiens; assembly: GCF_000001405.40. NCBI lineage: Eukaryota > Metazoa > Chordata > Mammalia > Primates > Hominidae > Homo > Homo sapiens. Next base: position 17,782,506 of record NC_000023.11, read on the forward strand.
TTTAGGTCTAACGTTTAAGTCTTTAATCCATATTGAATTGATTTTTGTATAAGGTGTAAGGAAGGGATCCAGTTTCAGCTTTCTACCTATGGCTAGCCAGTTTTCCCAGCACCATTTATTAAATAGGGAATCCTTTCCCCATTGCTTGTTTTTCTCAGGTTTGTCAAAGACCAGATAGTTGTAGATATGCGGCGTTATTTCTGAGGGCTCTGTTCTGTTCCATTGATCTATATCTCTGTTTTGGTACCAGTACCATGCTGTTTTGGTTACTGTAGCCTTGTAGTATAGTTTGAAGTCAGGTAGCGTGATGCCTCCAGCTTTGTTCTTTTGGCTTAGGATTGACTTGGCGATGCGGGCTCTTTTTTGGTTCCATATGAACTTTAAAGTAGTTTTTTTCCAATTCTGTGAAGAAAGTCATTGGTAGCTTGATGGGGATGGCATTGAATCTATAAATTACCTTGGGCCGTATGGCCATTTTCACGATATTGATTCTTCCTACCCATGAGCATGGAATGTTCTTCCATTTGTTTGTATCCTCTTTTATTTCATTGAGCAGTGGTTTATAGTTCTCCTTGAAGAGGTCCTTCACATCCCTTGTAAGTTGGATTCCTAGGTATTTTATTCTCTTTGAAGCAATTGTGAATGGGAGTTCACTCATGATTTGGCTCTCTGTTATTGGTGTATAAGAATGCTTGTGATTTTTGTACATTGATTTTGTATCCTGAGACTTTGCTGAAGTTGCTTATCAGCTTAAGGAGATTTTGGGCTGAGACAATGGGGTTTTCTAGATATACAATCATGTCATCTGCAAACAGAGACAATTTGACTTCCTCTTTTCCTAATTGAATACCCTTTATTTCCTTCTCCTGCCTAATTGCCCTGGCCAGAACTTCCAACACTATGTTGAATAGGAGTGGTGAGAGAGGGCATCCCTGTCTTGTGCCCATTTTCAAAGGGAATGCTTCCAGTTTTTGCCCATTCAGTATGATATTGGCTATGGGTTTGTCATAGATAGCTCTTATTATTTTGAGATATGCCCCATCAATACCTAATTTATTGAGAGTTTTTAGCATGAAGCATTGTTGAATTTTGTCAAAGGCCTTTTCTGCATCTATTGAGATAATCATGTGGTTTTTGTCTTTGGTTCTGTTTATATGCTGGATTACATTTATTGATTTGCGTATATTGAACCAGCCTTGCATCCCAGGGATGAAGCCCACTTGATCATGGTGGATAAGCTTTTTTATGTGCTGCTGGATTTGGTTTGCCAGTATTTTATTGAGGATTTTTGCATCAATGTTCATTAAGGATATTGGTCTAAAATTCTCTTTTTTGGTTGTGTCTCTGCCCGGCTTTGGTATCAGAATGATGCTGGCCTCATAAAATGAGTTAGGGAGGATTCCCTCTTTTTCTATTGATTCGAATAGTTTCAGAAGGAATGGTACCAATTCCTCCTTGTACCTCTGGTAGAATTCGGCTGTGAATCCATCTGGTCCTGGACTCTTTTTGGTTGGTAAGCTATTGATTATTGCCACAATTTCGGATCCTGTTATTGGTCTATTCAGAGATTCAACTTCTTCCTGGTTTAGTCTTGGGAGAGTGTATGTGTCGAGGAATTTATCCATTTCTTCTAGATTTTCTAGTTTATTTGCGTAGAGGTGTTTGTGGTATTCTCTGATGGTAGTTTGTATTTCTGTGGGATCGGTGGTGATATCCCCTTTATCATTTTTTATTGCGTCTATTTGATTCTTCTCTCTTTTTTTCTTTATTAGTCTTGCTAGCGGTCTATCAATTTTGTTGATCCTTTCAAAAAACCAGCTCCTGGATTCATTAATTTTTTGAAGGGTTTTTTGTGTCTCTATTTCCTTCAGTTCTGCTCTGATTTTAGTTATTTCTTGCCTTCTGCTAGCTTTTGAATGTGTTTGCTCTTGCTTTTCTAGTTCTTTTAATTGTGATGTTAGGATGTCATTTTGGATGTTTCCTGCTTTCTCTTGTGGGCATTTAGTGCTATAAATTTCCCTCTACACACTGCTTTAAATGTGTCCCAGAGATTCTGGTATGTTGTGTCTTTGTTCTCATTGGTTTCAAAGAACATCTTTATTTCTGCCTTCATTTTGTTATGTACCCAGTAGTCATTCAGGAGCAGGTTGTTCAGTTTCCACGTAGTTGAGTGGTTTTGAGTGAGATTCTTAATCCTGAGTACTAGTTTGATTGCACTGTGGTCTGAGAGATAGTTTGTTATAATTTCTGTTCTTTTACATTTGCTGAGGAGTGCTTTACTTCCAACTCTGTGGTCAATTTTGGAATAGGTGTGGTGTGGTGCTGAAAAAAAAATGTAAATTCTGTTGATTTGGGGTGGAGAGTTCTGTAGATGTCTATTAGGTCTGCTTGGTGCAGAGCTGAGTTTAATTCCTGGGTATCCTTGTTGACTTTCTGTCTCATTGATCTGTCTAATGTTGACAGTGGGGTGTTAAAGTCTCCCAATATTAATGTGTGGGTGTCTAAGTCTCTTTGTAGGTCACTCAGGACTTGCTTTATGAATCTGGGTGCTCCTGTATTGGGTGCATATATATTTAGGATAGTTAGCTCTTCTTGTTGAATTGATCCCTTTACCATTATGTAATGGCCTTCTTTGTCTCTTTTGATCTTTGTTGGTTTAAAGTCTGTTTTATCAGAGACTAGGATTGCAACCCCTGCCTTTTTTTGTTTTCCATTTGCTTGGTAGATCTTCCTCCATCCTTTTATTTTGAGCCTATATGTGTCTCTGCACGTGAGGTGGGTTTCCTGAATACAGCACACTGATGGGTCTTGACTCTATCCAATTTGCCAGTCTGTGTCTTTTAATTGGAGCATTTAGTCCATTTACATTTAAAGTTAATATTGTTATGTGTGAATTTGATCCTGTCATTATGATGTTAGCTGGTTATTTTGCTCGTTAGTTGATGCAGTTTCTTCCTAGTCTCAATGGTCTTTACATTTTGGCATGATTTTGCAGTGGCTGGTACCGGTTGTTCCTTTCCATGTTTAGCGCTTCCTTCAGGAGCTCTTTTAGGGCAGGCCTGGTGGTGACAAAATCTCTCAGCATTTGCTTGTCTGTAAAGTATTTTATTTCTCCTTCACTTATGAAGCTTAGTTTGGCTGGATGTGAAATTCTGGGTTGAAAATTCTTTTCTTTAAGAATGTTGAATATTGGCCCCCACTCTCTTCTGGCTTGTAGAGTTTCTGCTGAGAGATCCGCTGTTAGTCTGACGGGTTTCCCTTTGAGGGTAACCCAACCTTTCTATCTGGCTGCCCTTAACATTTTTTCCTTCATTTCCACTTTGGTGAATCTGACAATTATGTGTCTTGGAGTTGCTCTTCTCGAGGAGTATCTTTGTGGCGTTCTCTGTATTTCCTGAATCTGAACGTTGGCCTGCCTTGCTAGATTGGGGAAGTTCTCCTGGATAATATCCTGCAGAGTGTTTTCCAACTTGGTTCCATTCTCTCTGTCACTTTCAGGTACACCAATCAGACGTAGATTTGGTCTTTTCACATAGTCCCATATTTCTTGGAGGCTTTGTTCGTTTCTTTTTATTCTTTTTTCTCTAAACTTCCTTTCTCGCTTCATTTCATTCATTTCATCTTCCATTGCTGATACCCTTTCTTCCAGTTGATTGCATCGGCTCCTGAGGCTTCTGCATTCTTCACGTAGTTCTCTAGCCTTGGCTTTCAGCTCCATCAGGTCCTTTAAGCACTTCTCTCTATTGGTTATTCTAGCTATACATTCTTCTAAATTTTTTTCAAAGTTTTCAACTTCTTTGCCTTTGGTTTGAATTTCTTCCTGTAGCTCGGAGTAGTTTGATCGTCTGAAGTCTTCTCTCAGCTCGTCAAAGTCATTCTCCATCCAGCTTTGTTCCGTTGCTGGTGAGGAACTGCGTTCCTTTGGAGGAGGAGAGGCTCTCTGCTTTTTAGAGTTTCCAGTTTTTCTGCTCTGTTTTTTCCCCATCTTTGTGGTTTTATCTACTTTTGGTCTTTGATGATGGTGATGTACAGATAGGTTTTTGGTGTGGATGTCCTTTCTGTTTGTTAGTTTTCCTTCTAACAGACAGGACCCTCAGCTGCAGGTCTGTTGGAGTAACCTGCCGTGTGAGGTGTCAGTGTGCCCCTGCTGGGGGGTGCCTCCCAGTTAGGCTGCTCGGGGGTCAGGGACCCACTTGAGGAGGCAGTCTGCCCGTTCTCAGATCTCCAGCTGCGTGCTGGGAGAACCACTGCTCTCTTCAAACTGTCAGACAGGGACACTTAAGTCTGCAGAGGTTACTGCTGTCTTTTTGTTTGTCTGTGCCCTGCCCCCAGAGGTGGAGCCTACAGAGGCAGGCAGGCCTCCTTGAGCTGTGGTGGGCTCCACCCAGTTGGAGCTTCCCGGCTGCTTTGTTTACCTAAGCAAGCCTGGGCAATGGCGGGCGCCCCTCCCCCAGCCTCGCTGCCGCCTTGCAGTTTGATCTCAGACTGCTGTGCTAGCAATCAGCGAGACTCCGTGGGCGTAGGACCCTCCGAGCCAGGTGTGGGATATAGTCTCGTGGTGGGCCGTTTTTTAAGGCCGTCGGAAAAGCGCAGTATTCAGGTGGGAGTGACCCGATTTTCCAGGTGCCGTCTGTTACTCCTTTCTTTGACTAGGAAAGGGAACTCCCTGACCCCTTGCGCTTCCCGAGTGAGGCAATGCCTCGCCCTGCTTTGGCTCGCGCACAGTGCGCGTGCACCCACTGACCTGTGTCCACTGTCTGGCACTCCCTAGTGAGATGAACCCGGTACCTCAGATGGAAATGCAGAAATCACCCGTCTTCTGCATCGCTCACGCTGGGAGCTGTAGACTGGAGCTGTTCCTATTCGGCCATCTTGGCTCCTCCCAGAGGAAAGTACTTTCAAGCTTGCCTGAGGTCTGAGAAGCTGAGCTTTCTGCAGTGGTCTCAGTGGAACCTTTGACCAGAGCATTCGAAGGGTGCCTTTCCTGTTTCCTTTCTCGGCATTGAAACATCAAGATACGGAATCCAGAAGGGTCACCAGAACCTGGCCCTCTGCAATCTGGACTCGAGGCTGCAGACTTGCTGTTGAACTGGGCTGGGCAGGAGGGCAGAGTGGGCACCAGGGCCCACCTTCCTGGGGCCCTGAAAGGGTGGGATGGTGTGTACTGGTCCCCTCACCCAAATGCAGGTGTGGGAGGAGGACATCCATCATGATGCTACATGGCATTTGCTTCACCACCAGGAGAGAGGTGAGTGAGAGCTGGGCCCGGAGTCGTGCGCCTCGCAGAGATCAGAGTGGGCCGACGGTGTCGGAGGAGACTACAGCCCAGGTCGTGCCTCACTAGGAGGCTTCCTCCAGGTGGAGGTGCTGCTGCCTTCTACCACTCCTGGGGCACACTTGAGGCCCCACTTCCCGGACCTCCTCCCGGGGTCTCAGTGCTAGACTCAGCCTGGGAGACAGGCTGAAGTTCTCAGGCAAATTTTACTCTACCAAGGCCACCCTTTTGTAGGTAACCACCAGGAGCATGGACATCTCTGGGCTCAGGCTGGGCATCAGGCGTCCTGACAGTTCCTTTGGTGATCCTGGGGTGCAGCCGGGGTAGGGAACCCAGTGTCTGGCAGAGTGACCAATACTGGCTGTGTCGTGGGAGCGCCCCTGGCCCACCCTCCCTGCTTGCTCAAGGGTAGTGGCTGCCAGGCTAGGCCTGTGCTCCCACCACCGCTTCCGTCCCCCAGCTCCCCTGAGTCGCATTCCAAGATCCCCAACATTCCCCTGCTCTGTTCCTATCGTCCCCAGAAATGTCGAGGTCACTGCTTCAGCTCTGCACCCTGCAGTGTGCTGTGTCCCCAGCTTTCATTTTAGCTTGTCCCCAAGGCTACCAAGTCCCAGGCCAGCGATCTTCTCTCTCCCTGGCTTTGCTGGGACACGGTTTCCCATTAATGAAGGGTGAGGTGGTTCTTTTCTGAAAATCTGGACCCTTCAGGATTTTCAGTCTGGGCCCTCCCCAGGGGTGTCTCAAGAGGCTCACAGAGGAGGGGTGTATGCTAGGTAGGTGCCCGTGCCAGGACCACTCTGGAAGATTCCTGAGGTTGTTGCTGTGATCTGCCAGCAGAGGGCGCTGTATCCCAGCGCAGATGAAGTGGGTAAGAGGGTGGTTTCTTCCCAGTAGGTGGGTGGAGAAGCAGGGCTGTTCTGACTTTTTGAATTCCTTTGCTGCAAAAAAAATCCTCTTCCCGTGGTGGAGAGGTCAGCAGCTCATAAATGGCATGAGCAAGAGATTCCTTTTCTATGCTCACCTCACAAACCCTTTTCTGTAGTTATTTCAAATACACTTGCCCCCAATTTATATAGCAGATGTGTTCTTCGGAAGTTGCCCACATGCTAGATCGTGTCTCAAGTGCACTCAAGAAACCTCCCTCATTCAAAACAGAAACTGATGTTATCTCTTGTAAAGCAAACTTTAGATTTCTAATTCAAATAACAATTCATCCACTCTAAGGCATCACATTCTTGTAAGAAGAGTTTGATAAAGGGGGTTCAGCTGTATAATTTACTTTTGAGGAAGCCTCAACCCCCCTGCTCACCAGGTTGCAGACTTCTAAGGCTGCATAGCCTCTTGGTGTCACTACAGAGCTGCCCCCAGGGCATGGCTTTCCATGGGCCCTGTGATTGGACGGTGGCCTCTGGATAAGGGACTGTCCCTGGGTGGGGACACCTGAAAGTCCCATCCTCATCTAGCGTCTATTTGCTGCAAGCAAGGAAGGGAACCCTGGCCCGTGTGCACCTCCTACTCATGGGCCCTGGGCGCTTGCGTTAGCTCATCAATCCCCATGAGAAAGGCAGCTGAGTTGTGCGGTTTTACTGATGAGGAATCCAAAGCAGGGTGAGGTCTAAGAACACATGCCACTTTGATTCCAGGCCCAATTTTGCCTTCAGGCTTCTTTCTCCCAGCCTGTGTCACTTTTTCTCCTATTCTAACGAGTTCATTTTCTTGCTGATAGCCAAGCGATCAACCCTTTTCTCAGGCCAATGGGAAGGAAATCAAAATGACATTTACATTAGTTCAAATATTGGTCAGTAGTCTGGAAGCAGGCATGAAAGTGCCTGGCTGGAAACCCACTTTCATGGAACAAAGTGAAATCTAAAACTCTGCTTACTGGAATTAAAGTCTTTTTAAAATCTAGAATTGTGGTGACCTTGCTCCCTATTATTATCTGTAAACAAGATATAATACAAATACATTTATTTATCATTATTTATATCATTTATATCCCTTGCTCATGCTTACTGTGTGCTCATTTATTGAGTACCCTGTCCTTGGTACCCCAGTGCACAAACCCAGATACTTGAAGATATTTTATTATTTCCATTTCACAGTTGAGAAAATGGAAGCAGAGAAGTTAAGTGACCTGCCCAAAGTCATACAGCTAGAAAGGAGCAAAGCTGGGAATTCAATCCAGACTTTGTGGCTCTAACACTGGCACTCTTAACTTTTACTCAGGGTCTCCAGCCATCCCCCTGCTTAGGTGTAGTGACAGGCACTCATTCTACTTCTGATGCAGAAACCTCTTGTGCTTGGTTATTTCTCATATTTCAAGAAAGAAGAATGCATGGATCTCTAAGAGAATTTAAAGGTTGTGTTCAGCCAGTTGAAAGATGTATAATAGTCTCATTTCATTATGACCCGGTGGGATACATAAGATAATGAATTGGGGCGTAGAAAGAAAATATTGAACCTATTTATGTTTGTTTCATTTTTGTCCAACATTTCTATTTTTGCACTTATTTTATAATGTACATATTTGTTTGGTAGTCCATGCATGTCATTTATAAAGAAATCCACAAACTCTGGGGAGGTGAATGCTCAAGCATTTTCTTTGTATGCCAGTGATGAGATGTTGACTATTGCTTGCTTTATGTTTTATGTATATTTTTATAAGAGTGTAGAAACCACTTTTGAAGAATCCATCTTGTTTTGAAAACATAGTAAGCCATACGGTTTAAAGGAATCAAGTAGTTCATCTTCTTTTGCAAAGTCAATTATAGATTCCAGATATTTGTTTCGTATGTTTGGGTTTCCATATATTGTACTGGTTTGGCTAAGAAGGGCACACTTGCACTTTCCACATAGGTTCAGTGCAGTCCACACACATTTATTGAGGGTCCCCTACATGTCAAGCACTGTGTTAGGTGTATGAGATACAATGACAATGACCTTGGCCCTAGAGGAGTGTGTGACACAGTGGGATAGACAGAGTCATACTTTCAATTGAATGAGATGGATGAGTTGATATACAGATGTGTGCATATGTTGCTATGGGAGGGCAAGAGGGGCTCTTAGCTTATGCCAGAGCAGTCATGGAAAGCTTTCTGGAGGAGGTGTTGTTTTGAGCTGAATCCTGAAGGATTAGTCAGAGTAAGAAGATGGCGAAGGTCAAGTGCAGTGGTTGGTGCCTATAATCCCAGCTCTTTGGGAGCGTGAGGTGGGAGGATCACTTGGGGCCAGAAGTTCGAGACCAGTCTGGGCAACAAAGAGAGACCCCGTCTCCAAACAAAAAACAAACAAAAAAAACCCAAGAAGGTGGGGAAGGAGTGTCAAGAGGAGGGCACTCAGGGGTGGAACCTCACAGGCAGGGCTGGGAACTGCTAACCTTCCTGTATCCCTGGAGCTTACACATAGGGTGAAGCAGGGAGTTCTAGCCACAGTGCTGGGCTGGCCGTGACCTCAGGAGGCCTGCTGACATGTGAGGCCACAGGGTGCGGGGAGGTATCCAACACCACAGGCTTTTATGCAGCAGAACGACATGGTGAAGCTTGCCTATTACCAAAACAATCCCGGTGGCAGTATAGAGGAGAGAATCAGGCAAGCTAAAGATGGGTGCATGGTGCCCATCCCGTTCTGACACCACTGTAAGAATCTAGGCAGAGGATGATGTGGGCAGGCTCAAGAACAGTAGTATGGAGGAAAGGAATGATGGATTTGAGGAAGACTGGGGAGTCAAAGTCAGGAAGACAGGTATCTGGGAGGTGAAAGTGAGGGAGAAGTCATGAAGAACAGCTCCACATTTCTTGCTTGGAGAACCAGGAAGCAGGCAGCAGCAGATGCAGAGGGTGTACATTGGATCTGAGGAGGGGTTGAGGATGGGCGATGCTGTCTAGTTCTAGGATGATGAATATGAGACACCAGCCTATTAATATGGCGGGTTGGTGAGGGGGAGAGAAAGAGAAAGAGGCAGAGAGAAAGAGAGAGAGGAAGGGAGGGAGAGAAGGAAAGAAGGAGAGAGAGAGGGGGAAAGAGAAGTCAGAGCTGAAGATAGAGATAAATAAACAAAATAAAAATGTTGGAGACAACTATGAGAATGTCATCCTAGGAAAGCACAGGGAATGAGAACTTAGGCCTGAAAGAGAGGGAAGAAGTGGAGCATCAGCATCGTTATCTGCAGAGGTCAAAATGAAGAGACAATCAGAGAGACCAGAGCATGGGGAGAGAGGTTTGCCAGGAAAGCTAAGGAGGAGGAGGGGGATGAAAGTGCCTCATACCTCCATGCCTTCACACCTGTACCTCCCAGAGGTCAGGGAGATGAGGCCTGGGAAACAACCAGGGCTCCCTGGGGAGTTCTTGCCATTTATAAAATTAAGCAGAAGCAGCACTTTGGGGAGTTTTTTAAAAAAGAAAAGAGAAAAAGGGAAGAAAGAGGGAAGAAAGGAGGGTAGGAGGGAGAGAGGAAGAAAGGGAAACCAGTAAAACATAAATTAAAATTTTAATTATTTGAAAATTTGTGGTTGCTCAAATGGGCTCTGCTGGATTTTAACCTTGATGGTCAAAACAAAGGAAGGGTCTAAAGAGTAAATAAATAGGACACAGGACCATACCCCAAATGTCTAAATCATGGTGTTCCATTCATCTGGTGCTTGTACAAGTCACCTTTGACTAGGATCCAAAATAGGGCCAAACCAGAAAGGCCTGACAGTGGCCAAGCTTGGGATGGAGCCAATATGGCCAAGAAATGATATATATGAAAGCAGAGAAGGTGCTCCAGGTTTCAATTCAATAAGCAACTATTGAGGCTTTGCCAGATACTATGCGCTATGGACCAAAAGCTGTGCCTGCTCTCAGGGAGCTTCCCACCCAAGGGACAAAGACTGGCTCAATAAAATGGGAGAGGCTTTCCTAGCCTGTTCCTCCCCTGCAGGGAGTCTCAGGGAAGCATGGGGAGGAGAGGAGCTGGGGATGGTCTCCCTACCGGAGACACTGGGGTTGGGCCTTGCAGAGTGGGGAAGGAAGAGGCACTTGCCAGGGACCAGGGGACAATTTCATGGGTCAGTTTCTGGATGAGAGCCAGTGGGCCAGTGATGGTGATCAAATCATGCCTTGTTGTCATGGAAGCTGAGAAGGGACAGGATTGGAAGAGATTTTAAAAACAAACCAATAAAAAGGCAAAGAAGGAAGGCACTCATGTGGAGTTGGCACTGGGGACAGGAGAGTCAATACCAGCTAGAGACAAACAGCCCCTTCCCTGGACAGCCTGGAGGGCATCGTGTCATCTCAGCCCTGGCCAGTTGCCCCTGCTCATAACAATGACCCAGTCAAGGAAAGGTTTCCTTTGCCAAGATGCTTAATGCATTTTGAAAAGTTTCCCATTGAAAACACTTCCAATAAAAGGATTCAGAGCTTGAAGAATTGGCCTTCCATTATCTGGCTCTCACACTGCCTGTTGAGTGGTATTCCCCAGACACACAAAGAAAACAGGCTATTCTCCTCCACGCTCAAGTACCTTAGGAGCACCCATTCACTCACAATAGTTGAGATCCTCTTTACCAATAATGTTATCAGTGTGTTAACACGATTTCCCCAAGGACTTCTACCAGGCAAGACCTTGTTAGCTGCTTTCCATCTGTGCCTGAAATCACAAAGCCTCATTAAAAAACCATCAGTTGTTAACAAAAAATGATTAACTCTGTATGCTGGTCCTGCCACCCTGAAGACTGAATTCCTGAGCGCACTTGTCATTCCAATGGTCTCCATTGCTATGATGGCCACCTTGGGGACTGACACCTGCTGACATCCTGTAACCAGAGACCAAGTCTTTGTTTTGTGGGGACAGTGCTTGAATGCTTGACTGTTACTCTGGGCCTCGATCTCCCTTCAGTGGAAGGGAAGGATGGTCAGGAGTCTGGTCTCCTCATTCTGAGCCTACAGGTCATTAGATCACATGTTCCCTAAGTGTCCTCTTTGTTCCTGGATAAGATGTAAAGCAAAATAGTGGAAGGCACATTGCCCTGCTGTCCAGAGCCCTGACAGGGAGGTGCTGGGGGAGGGAGGGGGAGATGGCATAAAGCTGCAGTGCTTCAAGGCCCTACAGGGTGAGGCACCAGACAGGTGGGACTCCAGACCAGAGTGGCTGTTGTTTTGTGATTTTTCTTTTTACACCCTAGTCTGCTTCAAGAGAGTTTGTTTAAGTTAAGAAGCCTATGGCCTAACAGAGTTTGAACCCTGACAGAGAAATAGCAAGGACCAAACTGAGGGCCTGGGAAGGTCTGTTCAGGGGAAACCACTTAGGGGAGGGGATTCCAGATTCCAAGAAATGAGCCATGGAGGATTACATTCCAAGCAAAGTTGTGACAGCCAAGAAAACCTGGGAAATGAGGAGGTATTAATGGGCATATAATCAATCAAAGATGGGGGGGGCAATGGAAAATGGGGACATAGTAACAGAGATATAACTATCAAAGATGGGCAGTAACTATTCAGTTTTAGGAGGATTTGCTGGAACCCATAGTCAGTTCCCAATTTCTATCTGGGATTCTTTTGTTATTTCTTAAAAGGTAACTTTATTGAGATATAATTCACATAACAATTTACCCATTTTAAAGTGTACAGTTCAAACTTTTAAAAGTATATTCACAGAGTTGTACAACCATTGCCACAATCAATTTTAGAACCTTTTCATCACCTACCTGGAGTTCTTGATTCTACAAAGTAGATGAAGAAATTGGGGAAAGAGCAACCAAGATGACAAAAGTTTATAAGATAGGAAATGGGAGAAAGTGAGAAGAGACAGGATCCTTGAGTCTTGAGGATAGGAGGCTGCAAAAAGGTCTAGTGCTTAAATTGGGAACTACTAAAAGAAGGAGGTTTGACTTTTGTTTCCATTAAAGACAAACAAAACACTGGGCTCACTTACAGCAAAAAGGGTTTAGGTAAAACATGAGAGGAAAAAAAAAAACTTCCTGGCAATGTTTGTAAATTTCTTGGTGGGGGGGACGGTTATGCTGTCCTTGAAAATAAGACCAATTTTTGGAGTGAGATTTGAATAATGAATAAGTCCTTCCAGTTTTGTGTTTGTAAAATAATGAGGAACCTGTCAGGACTGGCAGAGTGCCTACCTTTTCTGTGAGATGGGGGTAGTCTTGCTGATCCCTGTTTACTGGAGAGAAGCTTCTAAAGTGCCCATAGCATGTCGAATGAATGACAGTCCTATGGATGGGTGAACAATGGTACCAAGTAAGTTTCCTGATCAGATCAGCCTCATGGTAGTAAATCAGAAAATGTGAGTGAGGCATCAGAAACCACAGCTACAGCTACAGATTCCTCTTCCTGATTGTTTCTTGATTGCATTCATTCATCAAGGAATTTTTGAGCCCCTGCTGTGGGCCAGGTGTCAGGCCCTAGAGATAAAGCAGTGGTTCTGGATCAAAGATGATGCTACCACTCAGGGAACACTTGGCAATGGCTGCAGACATTTTTGTTATCTTGCAGGAAGAGGTCAAGGATGTTGCTGAATATCCTACGATGCATAGGACAGTCCTCGCCCCCCACAAAGAGAATCAATCATCTAGCCTCAAATGTCAATAGTGCCAAGATTGACAAACCTTGAGATAAAGAAATAAGATTCAGTCCCTGCTGTCAAAGAATTCAGCCCCTGTTCATTGCGGTGTTTCTAAATGTGATTTGAAATGAGTCCTAATAACAATTTCTGCATTGAAAAAAATAATCTTCAAGTTCCTTACTTGAAGAGACCATAAATTGGGAAAAACCACCTTCCCAATACCATTCTGGACTGATCACATGGAGCTATGATGCAATAAGTGTTTATTACATCCTAATTGCCTGGCTTACCAAACTTTAGATTTAAAACATTATTAAGCAGGGGGAGGACTGTTTCCTAGTGGCCTTTATCATCTTTTTTAGCAGAGTGAACCTACAGGTGTTTTTCATTTTTTTTTTTTTTTGGCAGGGCCATCTTGCTCTGTTGCCCAGGCTGGAGTGCAGTGGTGCCATCTTACTCCAGCCTGGACTTCCCAGCTCAAGTGATCCTCCTACCTCAGTCTCCTGAGTAGCTGGGACTATAGGTGCCACCATGCCTGGCTAATTTTGTGTGTGTGTGTGTGTGTGTGTGTGTGTGTGTGTGTGTGTGTGTATATTTCTTTGTAGGGACGAGGTTTTGCAATGTTGCCCAGGCTGGTCTGGAACTCCTGGGCTCAAGTGATCCTCTCACCTTGGCCTCCCAAAGTGCTGGGATTACAGATATGAGCCACTGTGCCCAGCGGGTGCCTACAGTTTTATCTGAGTGTATACAGAGAATACATTTGGATGGAAAATAACCTACAAGTGGAATTAATAATAGTAAACCTCAACAGTTCATCACGTTCAACTTGGACTTGTTTCTAACCTCAGCAGGGCATAACTAAAATGTCACTTTACTTAGAAATCCCTTGGTCTAATAACAGTTGCAGGTGGATTATTTGCAATATTTTGGAACTACTTCTTTCAAGCACTTATATATACTACTTACGATAGTGTCACCCAATATGGGTTAATTAAATTAAATGATCAGTTTGTTAAAATAGCACCCTAAGGACCTCAACTATATCCTATTTTGTCTTGCTGATGTGGGAGGTGAGTTATTTGACCTGGTGGTAGTGAGTTGTGGAAAACTGCCTTTTTTATTTAATGAGGAGTAAAGTCTGCTAAAATGACCTCTTACACTTTTTTCCCTGCTGTTAAAGTTGTCAGCTTAGCAGCTTTTGAGTGTGGCTTTTAGAGGCCTTGGCTTCCCCACCCTTCAGCTTGAAATCACCTCCTCACCATTGTGCCAAGTGCTCTGGGCATTCCAGCTAACTGGAATGGTCTTGAAAATAATTGAAGAAAAATCCGTAATTCAGACTCTCTGCTAATTCATCCTGGCTTTTGCCCCTAAAGAGTCTAAATTCCTGTGGGTTCATTGGGCTTCAGACCCAATATTTAAGACTATGACAAAGTACATATTTTTGAGTTGTTGATGCTTAAAACCTGAAAGCAGAAAGCTCTTCTGAGCCTCAATTTCCTCACTTGTAAAATGAATCTAAATCCTTTCCTGTCCTGTTGTATTAATTATGCTCCTTATGAAGATAATGAGTATATTGACATATTCTCTCAGTGATTGGCTTCTCCCTCTCTCCCTGTCTCTCTCCTTCCTTCCTTCTCTCTTTTTGTTTGGAGTTTTTACCGTTGTAGGCCTATTTTTTCATGCTAAAAGTGTGAGACTTTTGCCTTTCAATCTAAACAAACCTTTGACCTCACTTCAGAATATTCTACTCACTGTCAAGGACTTCCGTGGTTAGGACAGTACCTGTTCCTTCTTTAAATCTTTCTTTTTTTTCCCCCTCTTTAGAGCTATTCGTTTTTCCTCTGCCAGGATGCTCACTACCCACAAACACAGATCTTCACAACTTGCTCCAATTTCTTATAATTTCTGAACTGAAGCCAGCTGAAGCCATCTTGACAAGTCTGAGCAAATTTGAACATTCCTGGTGACTAATCCTATTTCCTAAAAGGCTGATCTTTATGCTGGTTGGCCCAAAGCGTTTTTGAAAGAGATGACAAATCAAGTCTTGAGGAAAACTCTGCTGGAAATCCTGTATGGCTGAGACCTGAGAGTAGGTGAACTGGACATAGTTGTGAGGGGTGGGAGATAAGAGTGATCACAGCTGGCCGAATCAAGCAGAAAAACCACAGGGCCTGAGAGTGTGCTGGTGGCCCTCTTTGTGAGCCCTGTGGGGATCACACATCTCTGTCCAGGAACCATGATTCTGGGCTAATGGCTCTTACTCAAAGGTTTGTGTGAAAGGCTGCATACTCCCGACGGGAGAAGGGGCATGGAGTTGAACCACCAGGGAACCCTAGGCTCACTGGGGCCACAACAATGGGTGCTTTCCCTTCTCTTAATTCCTGGCCGGCTTATAGCCAAGCTGACTGGATCCCAGTTTCCATCAAACGCCTGGATGAGGGGCAGGCAGAGGGTGTTGCTGCCCCAGTGGCACAACCGTGATCCCAACACAACACTCGGTGTGCAGCCTCCACAGAGCTCAATGGGCAAGCCTCCCAATGCCACAGCCAGTCCCCATAACAATAGCCTCATCCCCAAAGGCTCCCAGTGTTGAATGGGAAGGATCATAAATGGGTTTGGCTGGGGCGGGTGGGGAGGCCTGCCCCAGGAATTTATCCCAGGGATGGGAGTTGTTCCACACTGGCTCAACACCCAGGGTCAGCTGTGTAGCCAGCCTTTCTCACCCAGCCAGTGCTGCCGTCTCAAGTTGGGTGGGCAGCCTTCCTGCACCAGCTGATGGGGCCCGTGTCTTTATAATATGCTGGAAAGAGCTGCTGAGTCTCTGGCTTTGAGGGGACAAAGTTTGCCATTTGTAGAAGCTGAAAGGATGGCGTCTGGCTGATGCTATAGACTGGGACTAGTCAGCCTGACAAGAAACAGCTATTTGGTCACATTTTGAAAGAGAAATTTTAACAACACAGGAAAAGAACAGGAAAAGGGCTTCCCAGATACAACAAAGAGAAACATGTGGCTTGAGGTTTATAAGGTAATTACAGGCTACCATTGCCTTCCTTTTCTCTTGTATGTCACTCGGCTTTAAGCACTTGCTTCTAAAGGGCAAATGGTGAATTTTGTGCCCTGAAAGCCAGAGACTCAGCAGCTCTTCCCAGCATATTGCAAAGACACAGGCCCCATCAGCTGGTGTAGGAAGGCCACCCAGCACTGCAGTGGCAGGAGGAAATAACCGTAAGCATGGGGAGAAACGACAGCTGACGAATGGGAACCGCTGGTGCCCAGGCCCCTTTGTGTTCCATTTGAAACCAGAAGACTTGTGCTATGCTCAGGAAACATGGCCAGAAACCCACACTAGGAATAAAAATGGAAAAAAGGACTGTGCCATGTAGACACTGAAAGGATGGCGTGTAGCTGATGCTATAGACTGGGACTAGTCAGCCTGACGAGAAACAGCTATTCGGTCACATTTTGAAAAAAAAAAAAATTAACACAGGAAAAGAGCAGGAGAAAGAAAATTCACTCTGGGTGTATGATACAGGGCCAGCTAAAGCTGTAACCCTGTACACGGAGGGCCTGGTAATAAAAGAACAGTCTCACAACTGCTTTTCCTCCTGTTCATATTCCCTGTAACAGCTGGATACATACTAATTGCAAGAAGTGAAAAAAAAAAAAAAAAAAAAAGCTTTAAGTTTAAAAGCAGGCATCAATCATCAGTCTCTTGCCAGCACAGTTTCAGACACAAGTGTGCTGTGCCACCTAGCAGGTCTATTCTAAATGCACATTCACAGTTCCTCCAGTTCCTCATTTGTGTGGGTGGCCTTTGCTGTCAGGGTAGAGCTGCAGTCTCCTTCCACGCGCATCGTTTCTGTCCGTCAAGAAATGGCTTAACCAGGGATTCTCAGCCTCAGCACAACTGACATCTCAGGTCAGATCATTCTTTGTTGGGGTCTAGGGGCTGTCCTGTGTGTTATAGAATGTCTAGCAACATCCCTAACCTCTACCCACTAGATGCCAGTAGTAATCTCTCCCCCCAGCTGCGACAACCAAAAGTGTCTCCAGGCTTTGCCAGATATCCCCCGGGGGTTACAATCACCCCATTTGATAATCACCAGGCTAAACTAGAAAAGAATGACTTTGTCTTCTCTCCCTGGCTCCACCCTCAAAGATCTCTATCCAAGGCTGGGAAAAAGTATGAGCCATCTCTTGATCCACTAGCCTGCGCCACTACTTCTGACTTGCAAGATTTTCAATCATTGAGAACAATGCTCTTACTGCCCTTGAAAAGAAGGGCATTTCCAACTAAACTTTTGGTTGGTGGGAAGGAAGCAGGTTACTTTTTTGTTGTGAGACATTTGTCTTGTCTTACACTATGGAAGGTCCAGGCACAGAATTCTACACACCCAAGAACTATATGAACTGGAAGGAGCCTCAGGCACTTGAAACTCACCTCGCTGTCCCTTTTCTTTGCCACTTATTTATTTATTTATTTTACAAATGAAATTTAAAAAACCCAAGGCCAAAGTGGGAAATGACTTGCTCAAGGTCATCCATATTCCTAACCCTCCTTTTACTGGGGCATAGGGCAATATTTTCCAATATGCCTGAAAAGCTTAGGTCTCTAATCACAGATAACTTACAGCTTTTCACAAGCAAGAGTTTTGGCCAAATTATGCCAGTTAAGGAATGTAAATTTTATAAATGATGAAATACTGCAACCAATTAGTGCAAACAAACATTTATTGTGAAATATTCATCCTACCCTTTATTAGGTATTACATCATCAAAGCACTTTGTGGCAATGAAAATAGCTTTTTTTACCCCTCTAATTCACCCAATATTCCATTAAAGCTGCAAAAAATGTGCAATCTGCTTGAAAAATAGGTTGCTCTTATTTACTCATTTGTGAAAAGTCAAAAATTAAAAAAGAAAATGATACTAGCATACAGGGCCTCTAGAGCCAATTCACCTTTCCATTTCCCAACTACTCCCCAAAATAATTAACAAAGATAATTTGTTTTAAATGCCTTTTTATAAAACCAATGCACCTTTCCCCATATTATAATCATACAAATTTTAAAAAGCCGTTATTTACTTTCTTGGAAAAAAGGTGGCCAGCCGTTGTTTTTTGATTGGGAGCATGTGTATTTCCTGGGAGTTCACTTTCTTTAACTTTATGCTCCGGTTTTTGATGGGTTTCCTAAGGGGCTCTGCATTTCCCATGGACTCTTCCCCTTGGCTGTTGATGTCATAGCCCTGAAGCACGGAGTCTTCTCTTTTGAAGGAGAAGTTTTTGGTGGACACCCCTGAGAGGCCTTTGATCTTGCCACAGAATATGGTAGGCACAGCATCTTCGACAGAGACAATGACCTTGGCCGCCTGGGACTCGCCCACCATCTCAATGTTATTTTCAGCCTTGACTTCGCCGCTGGGGTGGTTGGGCTGGCTGAGCATCTCGGTAGCAGCATCACTGCTGCTGATGTGACTATCCATCATGGCTGGGGCCTCATGGGACGTGGCAGGGGCAAAAGAAATTTCCATGCCACTGGGAAGTTTCTCCATCACTGTGTGACCTGAGCTGTCCACTGATGCACCACTGTCATACAGTGTCTCAGGGGGAGGCTCGGATTTCCGGTGGGCTGCCACTGACAGGTCTAGGGCTGCATCTTCCTGGAAGATTGGGGGACTGACTTCACCAGCCTTGAGCCAGGGCACTGACTTCATGGAGAGATCCAGGGCCTCGTTCTCACTTCCCATCTTAATGACCGTGTGGCGGCTGAGCTGGAAGTACTCCTTAGGCTGGAGGATGTCAAAGGGCTTCAGTTCATCTTTTTCCAGAGGGGTCTGGGTGCCTTTAAAGGGGTGCAGGCCGAAGGAAGATGGTGGCTTGGGGAAACTGGAGCTGAACTTGGATTCAGAACTCTGAGGCATCGGGATGGGGATGGGAATAGGGACTGGCACAGGCAAGGGGACGATTACAGGATACGGCACCAAGAGGGTGGCTGGTGGGACCAGGGGGGACAAGGGGGAGCTAAAAGGCTGTGGGGGCACAGGGGCATAGCCAGGAGGAGGCTGACAGGGTGGGGGCCCGAGAGTGCCCTGGGAGGGAAACAAATTCTGGAGCACAGCTTCAAATGGCAAAGTGGGCTCCTGCGGCTGGCTGGGGATCCTCAGGTCCAGGAGCTGGGGCTGGGCCTCGGGGTCCTCCGCTCCCTGGAAGAGGTTGTTGTGGATGGTACTGGAGGAGCATGGGGCCTCCTGCGGCAGGACCAGAGGGGAGTTGAGGTGCTGAAAGACGTGCTGCTCCAGCACCACGGGCAGTTGCACGGGGCCCTGGGTGGTCATGACGTAGGTGGCATTGCCATTCGGATTGAGCTCTGGTGCGGAGCTTCCCTCCACCTGCATGTGAATGGGCATCACCACTGGGCTCTCCCCGAGGCACAGGGGCTGCAACACAGTGGCCGCCACCTTCAGAGCCATGCCACTCTGAGACTCGGCAGGGGGGTTCAGAATGGATGGGGCTGGCACGGTCACCAGGGCCTTCTTTACCAGGTCAGTGGAGTTGATGTTCCAGGCCTCGGTGGTGATCAGCTGAGCCATGCCATTCTCCAGTCTGTTATTAGCCAAGGCAGGAGGGGAGTCAGTCATGTCCATGGAGAGGTTCTGGGACTGCAGGTCGTCCATCACTCAGCTCTGATGCCACTTGGCCTGCAACACAGAACATACAATATGAATCTTCCTTAAAAGACTATTTATAATTGCCTTAAGAGCTCTCTCACATCTTTAGAAAGTTTCCACGTTTTAGTTAACCAGGGAGCATAACCCATCTCTCTATGTATATGTTCAGGTTATAGATATCTCCTAATATATACAAACACAACCACATGATCCTGTGTGCGTGGAGAACCCCAATTTAACAGATGATTAAGCTATAAATGCAGATGATGTAATCAGTAAATAGCCAAGTGAGGTTAAACCAGGCATTTTTTAAGCCTAATTCTCAGCTTATATGTTTGGCCTTCAACAAAAACGAAGTTTCAGTCCAAGTTGCTATGTCAGACAGTTAAGATATGTAGAAATTTGACTTGTTCAAATTCAAATAAGCAGTGAAGACTTACTTTCCTTTAAGGAAAAAAATAATGCCTTGTCACATGTGAATATGCTATGACTATGGAAAATGGCATTTTAAATACTCTGTAGCAATCATTCTTCCAAAAGAGGTTTGATAAGCACAAGGGTCATTACAGTTGTCTCTCTGTCTCCCTCTGACCAATGACATTCCCATTTCTCCCAGTAACAGCAAAATCCGTTCCCCAGGGCAAGGTGAAGATCGATGATGACTTGCATGAATGGTCATTGGGTCCACTGTCACTTCCCCAATCAGCTCATCTATCTGATCTGTGGCCTCTCCTAATATCTAGCTGCCAAGAGGAAGAGGGCATTGGTGAGCCTAGGGCTGGGGAGATGGAACACTTGTTGGAAACGAAAATCCTCATAGGTCAGGCACACTTTCTCAATGTCCTCGGCACCTCCCACAGACCTCTGGCCACCTCCTGAGAGGCCAAAGGCACCTAGCGCGTGTGCTTCCTGGTGGAAGCAGGGCTGCAGATGCGATAGGGCTCTCCATGGAAACCTGTCCATATTTGGCCTCGTTACCATGGAGAAGGCAGGCACCATGTCTAACTCAGGGATCTGAGCAGCCTTGGAGTCTGGTTGGGCTCAATAATAATTCAATAATCCTCAGTTTCACTGGGCAGGCCTTGGGCAACTGAGATTTTTTACCTCATCTATCCCAACTGCCTAGACTTTAGTCCTGTGGTCAGCTCGTCCTCCTCTCCTCACCCCGAAATTACCAACACAACCTCCAAAGAAAGAGAGGCGGCCCAGCACACCATGGGGCTAGAAATAAACAAACGAGGCTGGGTGCAGTGGCTCATGCCTGTAATCTCAGCACTTTGGGAGGCTGAGGTGGGCAGATCATTTGAGGTCAGGAGTTCGAGACCAGCCTGGCCAACATGATGAAATCCCATCTCTACTAAAAATACAAAAATTAGCTGGGCATGATGTCGCACGCCTGTAGTCCCAGCTACTCTACTCGGGAGGCTGAGGCAGGAGAATGGCTTGAACTCAGGAGGCGGAGGTTGCAGTGAGCCGAGATCGCATCACTGCACTCCAGCCTGGGTGACAGAGTGAGACTCCTTTAAAAAAAAAAGAAAAGAAAAGAAAAGAAATAAGCAAATGATGTCTCACTACAGTAAGGCAGCTTTAACAAATGAACAACTCTGTGGTATTTCCAGGCAATCAGAATGTGTCACATGCACAGAACAAGGAGTTTCTCTGAGGCAGGAGGAGAAGGGGGGAGGGAAAGGATGCTGTGCAAACAACTTTGTGGAGAATGACTGGTGGGCCACACCTTTGGCAGGATCCAGAGCGTGTCTCCCTCTGGAAGCCATGAGGTGACCCAGCATGCTGGCCAGTAACCCCCTTGGGACAGAGTTGGGAGGCAGCCTGGCCCCAGGGAGGCTGAGGGGGCTTGCCCTAGCTGAAGGGTCTGGTTCTTTAGGAGTGAATCCTGATTCAGCCCAGAAGATGCCATGCCTCCAACATGCCTTTTTTTTTTTTTCTTTTTTCTTCTTTCTTTTTTTTTTTGTGAGAGGGAGTCCTGCTCTGCAGCCCAGGCTGGAGCGCAGTGGCGCAATCTTGGCTCACTGCAACCTCTGCCTCCTGGATTCAAGTGATTCTTCTGCCTCAGCCTCCCGAGTAGCTGGGACTACAGGTGCACACCACCATGCCCAGCTAATTTTTGTATTTTTAGTAGAGATGGGGTTTCACCATGTTGTCCGGGATCATCTTGAACTCCTGGCCTCAAGTGATCCTCCCACTTCGGCTTCCCAAGTGCTGGGATTACAAGTGTGAGCCACTGCACCTGGCCTCTAATACACCATTCATTCATGCATGCATGTATGAATTCATTCATTCACTCATCCTGAGTGAAACAGACGAGGTTCTTGTTTTCATGGACATTATACTCTAGTGGAGGCAACACGTCTTTGATCAGAGATCTGCTAGCATGCAAACGCATCAACGTTATGCCAGGAGAGGCATCCACATCAGCAGGACAAATATTTGTTGGCCACTTGCACAAAGCCCCATGAAGGCCCTGAGAACCTAAGGCCAGATCCTTGTCCCTCACAGTGGCCAGAACCCTTGGGGAAGGGTAAGAAAAGGCTGAAGGGAAGCTGCAGTAGGACTGGTGAGGACAAGGGCAGCTACAGAAGTCAAGACATGTTCTGTGCCACATTTGGTCTTCCTGTGGGGTTAGGATTATCCAGCTGTGAGACAGCTTTCTCATAACAGCTGCATCTCTCCACCCTCGCAGAAATGGCAGCTTCTCTCCCTCCCTGTCTGCTTCTCTCAATCCCCTCCCAAAGGAAAGAAGACAAACTTCTGGATGCCTCCTCCACCTGCTCCTTGCACACACCTTCAGCTTAGGTACCAGTTCTCATCATTTCCTGTGAAACCTCAGTCCCTTCCCTGCCTGGCTTTGGTCTAGGCCTGCTAACATTCCCAGAACAGTCCTGCTCAGAAAGTGAAAAGAGGACTTTGCCAGGGCAGGCGGCCTCCCTCAGGCCCCTGTTCCTCCCATGGATGGCAAGAGCTACAACTCATTGAGCATCTACCATTTGCCAGGCCCTCTGTTGAGAACAACCCAGCCAGAGGGGTCTTACAATTATGCCCATTTTGTTGGTGGAAAAACTGATTCCACAGGGAGATTAAATAACTAGCCTAAAGGTACATAAAGGCTGGGCTTCCCAGGCTTCCCTTCGACTGGGAGAGCTGTGAAGGCCACGCCCCTCCATGCATTTTGTTTCCTGGGAAAAGCAGTCCCCACAGCCTCTCCTTCAACACCGAGTGCATGTGCCTGCAGAGGCATGCAGGAAACAGTATGAGAGCATCACATTTCTTCAAAGTGGAGGCCAGGTCCTTCCCAGTAAAGTCATTGAACTGTTGTTCTTTTTTCCCCCACAAGGGGCCTCGTCTGTCCCTCTGGTCACCGGAGTTCCTCCTGTCCTTGGGGACTGCAGCCCGAAGTGGCTATGGTTCTGTTACTGGAGGGCTTGAGGGGCCTCCATCCTCTCAGCCTACTTCTGGTTACTCACCTGTCCCCAGCCTGCCTTCCAGAGACAGATGTCACATGGGTTGGAGGGCATCTCAGCACCAATGAGCTACAGAGAGGCCCTTGCATCCCCTGCTGTGACTCAAGTCTCTGGGAAAAACGCTGAGGCCCAGTGGGATGAAGGACAGAGGACAGGCCA
Source organism: Homo sapiens (assembly GCF_000001405.40). Classification (NCBI taxonomy): domain Eukaryota; kingdom Metazoa; phylum Chordata; class Mammalia; order Primates; family Hominidae; genus Homo; species Homo sapiens. The sequence goes on from NC_000023.11 coordinate 17,805,643, forward strand.
AGGTGTGGGTAGAGGGGAGCAGTATGCAGGATCTCAGGGCAAAGGGGAAAAACCCCTGGCCCAAACCTCACTTCCACCTCCTTCAACAGGACAGCTCCAGATCTGCCTGACTACTCAGCCAAAGCAGGCCTGAGAGTAGCCCTGGGCTTTTCTCTAGAGAGCTGCTGGCCCTGAGACAGGCTTGCCTGCCTCCACCTAGTCCCCACCAAGTATGGCGCTGGCCTTGGGACACCCAGGCAAAGGAACATGAACTTGGCCTTCATCATGCACCCTCCCACCTCCCAGAAAGCCTCGTTCGGTCTTTCTCACTACATCTCCTCCTCTTGCTGTTCAACCTGCCAGCAAGCACCCCACTCTGACTCTGAGTCAGCAGCTGAGGTGGTCTGGGTGCATCCAGTGGGAGCATAGTGGGTGTTGCTGCTGCAGGGGCTAATACTGGAAGCCTCGGCGATGCCCTAAGAATACAAAACTATCTCATGAATTGTGGGTTCAAAGGGTGAGTCTGTGTCCCTGAGGACAAGCCAAGTAGCCAGATAGTGACTGGAGAGAAGGTGGAGGCCCATCTCCCCACTCAGACAAGCTGCTGATTAGCTTGGGCCTAGGGTGGGTGGGGGACCTCTTCAAATCAAGGAGCATCAAAGGAGCCGGTTGATGCTCAAGCCCAGGGGGCATGAATTTCTTCAGAGGTGACAGGGAACATTTCGTTTGCGTTTTGCAAAACATTTTCAAATGGGTTTAAATGAGGGCACCCATCCATTCCACCTGTCCCCATTATCCCCAGGGGTGTGGGAGTGGAGGTCAGTAAACAGTGGCAGTGTGGCTGGGTAGGAAGCAGGCAACCTGGATCTGCAAGTTGCTGGAGACCCTGGAGACCTCACCATCTTGGTTTGCAGCCAGTTGCTAGGGCCTCACCCCCATGTAGCCCATGTGCCCCCTGTATGGAGACAGTGGGGAAAAGACTCAGGGCCCAGGACAGATGAGGAGGTAGGGAGGGACTGGGAGACTAGCTCTGCTTGCAGACTTTTGGGGTGTATTAATCTGTTCTCACACTCCTATAAAGACATACCTGAGACTGGGTAATTTATTATTAAGAAAAGAGGTTTAATTGGCTCACGGTTCTGTGGGCCATACAGGCTTCTGCTTCTGGGGATCAGGAAACTTACAATCATGGCAGAAGGTGAAGGGGAAGGAAGCACATCTTCACGTGGCCGGCAAGAGGTGGGGGGAGGTGCCACACACTTTTAAACAAGCAGATTTTGTTGAGAACTCTATCGTAAGAACAGCAAGGGGGAAGTCCTATGGTCCAATCACCTCCCACTAGGCCCCTACCTCTAACACTGGAGATTACAATTTGCCGTGAGATTTGGGTGGGGATACAAAGCCAAACCATATCATGGGGTCACAGAACTGTTATCTGAACCCCTCATCTAATTATTGCAAAGATCTAATTATACCAGAGGCCGGTCTCCCTAGGGTCTGACCATTAGCCTGGAGCTCTCTCCCACCTCAGCCTTCACCCAGCCAACTCCTGCTCATCTGTCTGACTTAAGGGGTTCAGCTCTAAAGTTGCTTCTTCTGAGATCATCCCCCACCCTCACTGGGCTCCCAAAGGACCCCAACTTGACTTTGTCTAGTCCTGACTCTGCCCAGCCCATACTGGGATTTCTTATTTACTTCTTTCTCCAGGAGCAGGGGATAGTCTCCCACCTCATATCTGGCACTAGTAGGTGCTGAGGAAATATCTTCTGGATGAATTGGTGCACAAATGAACGCCTAAGCCTTCCTGAGCCTGGTGTTCTCATCCTCACCCTCTTGTCGCAGGCACACCATTTATACACTCATGGAGTGTCAAGGTGGGCAGGGACATTAAAGCTGACATCTCAAGTCTCTTGCCGACTCTTTTTATTGATGAGTAAGCTGCAACTCAAAAAGGCTGACTAAAACTTACACAAGGCCACTTCTTACAGAGGTCACCAGGCTCTTGTTTCGGGAAGAGCAGAGGGTCAGACCCGCAGGTGCCATGGTGGGAGAACATGGCAGCCACTCACCTTCACCAGCCACGGGAGGCTCTGATGGGTCAGTGTTAGATGCCCGCAACCAACAAATAGGTGGATTTTAGGACTTGGAGAATAGCCTAAATTAGAGGTCAAGTATTTTGCTTTTTAAATTAAGCCATCTATCAAGGTAAGTTTCTTCCCCTACAACAATCACATCTTAAAACATATGCTGAAAATTTTCTCAAGATATGGGTTTTCCAATTGTAAAATATCAACAGCTTTGGTTTCTATGGAGCATGGAGACGGCTATCAATTATTTCTAGTCAAAGTAGGACTGTCTACCCAAGCTTGTCCAACTGGCGGCCCAAGGGTCGCATGCGGCCCAGACGGCTTTGAATGCGGCCCACACAAATTTGTAAACTTTCTTAAAACATTATGAGATTTTTTTTGCAATTCTTTTTTTTATCTCATCAGCTATCATTAGTGTATTTTATGTGTGGTCCAAGACAATTCTTCTTCCAATGTGGCCCAGGGAAGCCAAAAGATTGAATACCCCTGGATGCCCTTGTTGCTCAAAGTGGGGTCCTTGGAGCAGCAGCAGCAGCAGCACCCAGGATCTTGCTAGAAATACAAATCTCAGGCCACAGCCCAGACCCACTGAATCAGAATCTGCCTTCCAAACAGGGCCCCAGGAGATGTGTATGCACATTAAAGTCTGAGAAGTGCTGGTCTACCACTGGTTCTCAGATTTTGCTATTCATTGGAGTAATCTGGAACTTAAAAAAAAAACCATGCCTAGGTCCTACCCCTAAGACTCTGATTTAATTATTCTAGGATGCAGCAGGTGATTCTAATGTACAGTGAGGTTGCGGACCCTTAATCTAAAGGCCAGAGCACACGACTGCTGGTCTGCTGACCTTCTCAATCGCCCATCTTCCTTCTTACTTCCCAGAAAAGACTGAGGCTATCAACACACCAAACTCCCTCCTCTTCCCCCCCGGCCCCCGCAGTGTCTCCCCATGTGCCCTCACCCCCAGGAAGACGTGAGATGGCTCTCCCTCTTGCAAGGCTGACTTCCCAGAGACCTCTGCTAAGAATCTTGCCCCTTCCATCAATGCCCTATTCTGAGTCTATTTTGTGCTTTCCATTCAGTACTTAAACCAAACCTTCAATGACTAACCTAATTCTGCATAAAAATCACCAGCCACTCTCTATGAGCCAAGTAAGAAAAGCATAATTTTCATCATTTAATTCTACATGTACATGGTTTTACCATTCGGGACTTGAGATGCACTAAATATCTAAGAAGTAATTCCAACTGGGTAACAACTGGTTTTCCTCTCCCCATAGGGTATAATAATTGTCAATTACTTGCCCCAGTGGTTAAATTTTCTAAGCTTTAAACATCAGTACAGGTCCTTTTTACCAAAGCTGTGAACATAATTACCACATGAATGTAGTCTCAAATTGGTTAAAATATGAGGAATACACAAAATAGTCACCTGCCTTATGGTCGACTGCCTTTTACATCCAGAGGTCTACACAGCCCTCTGAAGGGAATATGAATGCCCAGATTAGCTTTACAGATGAGTTCCCTGACACGCTAATTCATTTATGAAAACAGTAGTGACCACAAACATTGCAACTGGGACTAAACTTCATGAGGACGGACAGTGGCTACGGGGAAGATCTGTTAGGGAGGACAGAGTACAAATATTATCTCTGATCTGATATTTGTGAAAAATAGGAGAAGTGGAGCCAAGCGTCAGAAACTGGCCATAAACAGCAGGAGGGCCCAAGGTCTTCCCAGTGAGAGGAGGTAAGGTCATGCCCTGAGGTATCATAAAACTTATTTATGTTTGTTTTATCATCTAATCTTTTTAATTCCTGTTTTTTATTTTATAGTGTATGTAATAAATATAGGAAGGCATATAAATCTAATTATATATGTGTGTGCATGTGTGTGTGTGTTAAGGGGAGTGCTCAAAATTTTTTTTTTCTAATAGGAGTGTGAGAATGAAAACGTTACAACTCAGCAGGAGAAATGAAGCTCTCAGGGCCCAGGGAGACTTCCAGGGTGCCCCTGCCTTAACAAGTCTTAGTGTTACTGGCCCAACCTACCCCTTCTGGGTTTTTTTGTGTTTTTGGGGGGAGAGTCTCACTCTGTTGCCCAGGCTGGAGTACAGTGTGCAATCATTACTTACTGCACCCTCAACCTCCAAGACTCAAGCAACCCTCCTGCCTCAGCCTCCTAAGTAGCTGGGACTACAGGTGTGTGCCACAATGCCCACCTGATTTTTACTTTTATTTTTGTTGAGACTGGAATCTCACTATGGTACCCAGGCTGGTCTTGAACTCCTGGCCTCAAGTAATCCTCCCACCTCGACTTCCCAAAGTGCTGGGATTACAGGCATGAGCCACCGTGCCCGGCCCCACCCCTCTTGTTTTGAAGAACAGGAACCTGAGGCTCAGAGGAGAAGTGACTTGCTCAAGTTCACACAGCATAGAGTACACTGACTCCCAGACCCGTTCTCCTTCCTTAAAGGCACATTACCCCACCTGTTGCCTCTGTTTCACATTTCAAAGGATGTTGAGGAGCACTTGAGTTTAACACACGAGCTATAGAGTCAGCACAGTCAGTCACCCAAGATTAGAACATCTCTATTGGAACCAGCATCTAACGCCAAAGTATGTGGGATGGCTTTATTCAACCAACAAAATGTCAAAAAGTTTGACAGGTGAGGAGCTTGCTCAAAAAAAGAACACCCCCATGCCTTGACTCAGTGATATCCAAAAGATAAGTCATTGAAATGAAGAGATTCAGGACACACATGAACTTTTCATGACTGTTGGAATGTTGTTTTATACATCTGGGACTCAGTTTCCTCTTTTGTAACATGGGGGACTGCCCTACTCTCACTCAGGCCTCCTTGGAGCCAGTGGTGCCTGCTGGGGAGGAGTCAAACCTAGCCTCCCAGGAGCTGCCGGAGGAGGAATTGCTGTGGGCCCCAAAGGATGGGCAAGTGGGAGCACCAAGGAGGAATTGGAGGGAGGACGCCACCAGCTCCCAGGCCTGGTTTTCCAAGCCCCTACTACCTTCAGCCTGCCCGCAAAGGATCTATGATGGGTTTGGGGGCCCACACGGGCCTGACTGCAGGGCTACAGTATGGAACTAGATTTGTGGCCATTCATTTTTATTCATTCTTTCAAAAATGATGTGGGCACCTACTGTGTGCCAGGCATGCATCTCTTATTCCTCCAACCTGATACCACTTTCTTTGTAGGCAGGTTGCCATCTCTCTTGGCTCCATTCTGAAGATATTAACCAAATCCATATTATCCCAGGATTATCTGCTTTTAACAGGGCTCCTTTAAGGCTCACATTTCCTGCAGAGGTAAAGGAGTAAGTCTCTAAGGTAAGAATGCCAGTCCCTAGACAGCTGGAAGGGGTGATATTCATGCAAGGATCTCTCTAAGGAAAGGAACAAATGTATATTTTCTAGAGATGGCTGCTCCTGATACTAACAGGAATGAACTGCCTTCCTCAGGTCTTGGCAAACCTCAGCATCACAGAAGAAAATCATAAAGAGCTGCTGGTGGTGGTAGGGAACACTCACCTGGACAGGGGACTGTGAGAGTCAGCAAGTGCCCATCCCTGCATTGGGCCAATGCCCTACAGTTCGGTTGGACACCCAGAACCCCAAGCACCCTCAGGTGCTGCTGCTGGAACAGCCATCTCATGCAGGAGCTCAGGTCACGTTTAAGGTCTTGGGCCAAGGTCTATCATCTTAAAGAGCTACGGTTTTTGGACATTTTTCTGGCAACAAAGAAACCTCTTAAATTTGGAACAAAGAGGAGGAAAAAACCTGCCTCTGGAAGAGAAAATACTTCTAATTAGATTGAGATACAAAGGTTAAATTTTTGTTCTGGGAAAAAGACTGTTTATAATCCTGTGTCATTAGCAGGACATTTTCCAGAGACCAGTGTGCCAGAAATAGACCCTCTGAGGGGTCACTGGAAGGAAGGGGTGCAGATTTCTGAAGTACAAAGAACTGGAGTTCAGATTTTCCCCTTCTTCTAATGCATGTGAATCCCTTGCCACCCTTTGGCATGGAGACAGTGTCAGCCTCACCCTGGGCCCTGGGCCCCCTATGAGAGTGGTTAGGAGTATAAGCTTTGAACTTAGACAGGCCTAGGTTCAAACTTCAGCTCTGCCTAATTTTGCTAGCTGTGTGACCTGGGGCAAGTAAGTTCTCAGCCTCAGTTTCTCTCTGTGTAAAATGATTAAAAAAAAAAACCTGTCACATTGGGTGGTTGTAATGATTAAAGGAGATAAGCTAAGTGAAGTACTTGGCACAGTGCCTGACACACAGAAAGTGCTCAGTAAATCATGGCAATTATTGTATTGTCATCATCATCACTGGTACCATCATCAATGTCATTAGCATTATTGTTGTCAGCACTGTCGATACAGTCTTCATCTTCACCATCATTCTCATTGTCAGTGCCATCATCATCATTGTGCCATTGGCATCATTGGCATCATCAGATCCACCGGCCATATTTCTTGTGAGCATCTTGAGTAGTATCACCCATGCTCCCTTTGCACCTGAATGGCTTTATTCATTCGCAACCCTGTTTGTTCAAAGATTCATGTAAAAATCAGCTACTAGGAACTAAGAAGGCACTTACCATAAGCTTGGTGTTACACCTGACGGGAAGGTTTCCAGGCCAGCCCACAAAAACCCACCTAACACCCAACATAGCTGAAATGAGCATTTGAAGTGAAAACAGAAAACAATGCTCTCCCAATGTTAGAAATTAAATATAGTGGGAAGACAAATAAATACACAAATCTGTTTCTCATTCAGACTGAAAGCCTGGGGGAGAAAGAAAAGGTGGCCAGAACCTTTTGTATCTTGAATATGGACTCATGAGCACTTTCAAGGGTTCGGAAGTTACTGCTGATTGACCGCACATAATTTCACTTCATATCCTTCAGTTTTCCTTCTCCTTTGCACGAGAGCTTAAGTAGCTCTCCTCTCCTACTTTTCAGTGGCGATGAAGCTCATTTTCTCACTCACAAAAACATGGAAGAAGTGGAAGCGGAGAGGATGAGGGTAAGGATAAGAGGGAGAGAGAAAGCAAAGAGCCTTTTTGAGGTAACTAGGCAAGAGTCGAAGGAGAGAAGATTCAAAAGTTCATGTAGGTCCAAAGGAAAGATTGGTTAGCTATAACAGAAGAGTGAAAGAACACAGAGAAACTGAGGAAAGCTGTGAGGAAAACACTGAATGAGAGTTACTTAGCTGGCCACAAGGGGATGCTGTAACCTACAATAGCTTGGTTGCAGGACAGCAGGGTGGAGGGAGAGACAGGACTGGAACTTCTTAGCACAGTGAGGACATGGTAAAAAAAATAAAATATAGCATTGTTTACAAGTCTGAGTACTGCAAGTACTTAGGGAAGGTGCTCCAAATTTGGGCAGAACTTCTCCTATGCCTCTAAAATCATCAAGCACATCCCCTTGTGGCTTGGCTGAGTTATCAGTCCCAGGAAAAAAATCTAAATGTACCTTCTTTCTGTGTCTAATATTTATTTTTGCCTACCCGCCAGCTCCTCCAATCTCTCCTTGGATAGTCAGAATTATTAGATTTCTCCCATCAAAATTGGGTTTTCCAGAAAGAAGCTGATAAACTCATTCTCAATGAGGTGCATGACTGATAAGGCTGAAGTATTATGTTCCTTTATTGGTATAATAAAGATAATCCAGCCAGTAATAAAGCTATGGACAAAGAAATGAAACTATAATTGAGTCATTTCAGATACTGGTCATGGGGAGGAACCTTCCTAGCTGTCTTGAAATCTCTCCATAGAGATAAGAACCGACAACTATGATTAAGTTTGCGGGGCCCATTGGAAGGCACCTGAGATCAAATAAAGGGGGCAGGGGCGTGACCTTGACCCTTAAGCACTCAGAACTAAGGAAGGACATGAATGTGAGTCAATTATTCATTCCTTTACAGACACAATCAGCAAACACTTATTGCTCACCCAACATGAACCTCCTGAGTACGTGCCTCCCTGGTGCAGAGATTTTAGCAGCATCCAAAGTTGTCCAGGGCCCTGTTACTGAACTGGCTACCTCCTGAAACGCTGGTTTCTGTCTTACCAGGTTTCCATGCAGAAGTTAGGGCTCTCAAAGGACTGCACTCCCATGCACAACACCCTACTGCAGCGCTACAGCCACAATGGCAACTTCATGACCATCACCTATTATGTGCTTTGAATCATTACTAACGATGGTGATGAACAGGGCAAGGGGAGTGAAGAGAGGAGGCTGTTGGGTTTTGGTGAACTCAACTAGCTAGTTGTCTTAGCTTGGGCTCCCCCACAAACAGACCCTGAGGCAAGGATTAACTGAAAGTAATTTATTTGGGAGAAGATCCCAGACAACACCAGTAGAGGAGTGAAGTGGTGAGACAGGGAAAGCAAGGAAGCCAATTTATCAAACAAGTTACCACTGTGGGCAACTGAAGCTCAATTCCACTGGGGAGACCTCAGAGTCATCTCAACCGAGAGGCTAGGAAGTTGGGCTGTTTATTCACCCGCCCCCATCCATCACTGGCCAAGGGCTGCTCCTGGAGGATGTAGTCATTCCTTGGCACTTCCAGCTAGCCCAGCATGCAGATCTAGTGTGCTCCTGAGACAAAAACCAAAAACCAAAAACTCACACCTTTAGGGAGCATCATGGATGTTTGCAGTAAGTAGCATTTGGTGTATAAGAGGCCAGTCTGGGCAGGAAATGGCAGGACACCGACAAATGTCTGCTACACCAGCCATGGCCTGGAAAGTCTCAATGCTTATGTGAATATCGAAATGTCATTAATTTAGGCCACCATGACCAAATGTTTCCCCAGTTGGTGGTACCTTCTGTAACCCCTGTGAAGAAGACACTCCTTTATAATAACAATGCTCACACTACAGGGGAATCAGCTCAAAAGGGGTGTGACTCAAGATCTTATAAAAAAAACAAGACACACGAGGGGGCCAGAGATGACTATCTTTCCAAAAGCAAAACGTTCAAGAGATGGTCAGCATAGCTAATGTGTTCCTTTGCTAAAATATAACTGGGGCCCTCCAGAAAGTTCTTTGAATCATATTTGTGCTGGCTGGAATGCAAGATGTTCCTGGGATGAGTCACAGAGGGAGTTTCTTTTCTGGTGATCTTGTGTTCCAACTCGGGGACCAAAAATCAATAAATAAACACTACTTCACTTCATCAGCTGCATGCTGCCTAATAATAATAATAATAATAATAATAATAACCTCGACCCGAGAAGTACAGACAATGCAGGAAAGAGAGGGTGAAGAGTACTCATCTTTTAGACAGGGAAGCTTCTTTCTGGAATTCTGTTTTGTCAAAAGCAGAACAACATCCTCCGCAGAATCTTAGGGTTGGTGAGGCTTTTGAAGTCCCTAAAAACTCACTGTATGTGTCCTAAAGCAAGTATCATGGTTGGAGCTAATATAGCATAAACAATACGAAGTTGGGGTGGGGGAAGGAAAAAGATCGGCTGTATAACATCTGGCTAGTTAGCAATAACGATTATAGGTATTATTTCCTATTTTATTGGGGGAAGAGTTCCAGAATGCATGTGTTTGCACACATACATGTGCACACGTGCACACACACACACACACACACACACACACACACACACACAGAGTGGCCAAGTAGGAGTGAAGCCACCTGTTGTCCCTCTAATAGTCAAGGGGGATCCTTAAATCAGGATTCTCCCTCCTCACCTGTTCCACCTCAGGTATTTTTTTCCCTCTGAATTCCAGTCATCAAATCTTTATTGTTGCAGCTGACCTGTGAACTGGACCTTGCCACATGAGTAGGATTTTGGCGCAGGAGATGGTGGAATGGAGGAGGGTTTTCCAAAAGTGCAGGACAGAAGGAAAGGCAGAAGAGGACAGGTGTGTCTGGGGCAGGCTAGTAGGTTAGGTGCCTGAAGCCCAGGGCTGGTGAGGCTTAGCGGAGAGTCAAGAGTGCTTCAAACATTAGAGGGGTTATCTATTAGGTTCATGCAAAAGTAATTGCGGTTTTTGCCATTCCTTTCAATGGTAAAAACTGCAATTAATTTTGCACCAACCTAGTAGCTCTTTTAAAGGGTGTTCAGAATCACCCATCAATTAACCTTGTGCCCTAAAGGACTGACAACTCAACCGACACAATCTTGATGTTCTCTCAGGCCCTGACGAGCAGGAAGCCATCAATTCACTAGTGAGCCATTAGGTTGGGAGGAAAAGATAAAACCGTTTAATTTGCAGGGCTTTGCTAGCTCCTCCTCCTCCTCCTCCTCCTCTTTCTTGTTCTTTCTTTCTTTCTTTCATTCTTTTTCTTTCTCTCTCTCTCTCTCTCTTCCCCCCACCCCCACTTACTCCCTCTCACACGCACACTGACAAGTTGATAATAAACCATTTACTAAGCATTTACCATGCTCCCCACTAGGTATTTCACATTTATTTTCTCATCTCAGTTTCTAAGCATCCCCAGCAGACTGGTACCACCTTGGTGTGACTGGGTTTGTTGGATTGTTGCTTCCCATCCCGCCAACTCCCCACCCCCAGGAACTGAGCTGTGAATCCCCGGGAATGGTTGTTTTGATGGGAGGGAGGGTCAGAGCTTTCCAGAACATGCACAACGTTCACTGCAGGGAAGGCACTTCTGGAGGAGATGGAAGAGAGACAGCAAAGGAGCAAAGGTTCCTGGTTGCGTGCAGAGAGCAGGTGGGAGTAGAGAAAGGCAGGAAGGAAGAAGTAGAGATGTCTTCGGTCTCTGACCAGAACCTAGGATTTCTCAGCCTGCATCTGCACCTCAGGCAGGTCTGCCTAGCTTTGCTGTCTTGGCCCAGCCCTGCTTGGACTTCCCTCTCCACCATTACCACTGCAGCTAGCGAATATTGGCCCATGAAGGACACAGCTTGAAATAGGTGCTCCCTTTTCTTTTTGGAGCTCAATTCTCACTTCCCATGCCTCTGGTCCAGCTTGCATCCCAGGCAGGGGTTCATTCCCGTGCTTCCCAGAAATATTTCATCTGTGGCTGACTGGCCAGCTGTTCACCAAACCCATCTCATCTTCTTCCTGGACTACATTTTCCAGCCTCCCTTGCAGTTGGGTGTGGCCATGTGCCTGAGTTCTAGCAAAGGGAACGTGAGTTGAAAGTGAGGGGCACCACTTCCAGGCCTGGATCCTACAAAGCTTCCTTCCACATGTGATGCTCCAACCCTTTTCCCCTTCCCCTCAGCTTGATGCAAAAGGACCTTTTAGAAGCTCCCTGTTGAAGATAGTGGAGCCACAGGATGGAAGGGCCTGCATGCCTGAATCACGGCTTGCAGGGGGAAGGGCCGCCTGCCATCAGGAAAAACCATTTGGGGCTTTAAGTGAGTGAGAAATCAACTTCTATTGTGTTTGAGCCACGGTACTCTTGCAATGTGTCAGTAAGCAAAGCTAGCATTACCTTAAGTAATGCAGAGCTTCCTGGGACCCACCCTGTGCACAGTGCTGGGGGCAGGCAGGCTTCTCTCTGCTTGTTGGGAGCTCCCACTCTTTTACTTCCACCAAGCTCAGAGCACCCCAGAACCCACTGGCTTTCATACCAGTGGCTTTCAAACCAGAACCTTAGAAGCAGCCCAAGTACTCACAGCCCAATTCCAAGCTTCCACGTGCTAGCTTTTCTGCAGTAAATTCACTGAACACCCTTGGCTGCTCTTCCTGACTTGAATCAGTGTATTTACATGGGGTCAGGACCATTCTTTGCTCTGTAACTGCATAAATATCCACTGAAAGAGTCTGTTTCATTGGCATTCACAGAGCTGGCAGGGATAAGGGAGCTGCCTCCAGGGAGCAGGAAAAGGCAGGGTTTTCAGCAGCTTCACTCCCTGGAGCCCCACAGCTGCTCAGGTGGCCCTCACCCATGTGAGAAGGTGGGGGTTGTGGGAGGGAGAAGCAGCAGGTCCCTGGCACAACACAGGCAAACATACCTGGGAAGTTGGCACACCTGGCTTCTCGCCAGAGGAATCTGCTAGGACTGCAACCCCCTTATCTCCTTGTACCCTTTGATGGTTTGCTGGTTTGCAGAGCAGGGAGGCCTGGATTTCTACCTTCTCCCCACACTGGATTTTCTATAGGAAAGGTCCCTGTAGATAGTCCTTTAGGAGAGTTAGCATCTATGGCTCAAGAACCTAGGGCCAGCTTTCTCCCTTGGTGCCCTATATAATTGATTTTCTAGGCAAAGACTGCCCATTCAAAAGCATCCTCCTCCTGCACTGGGTTCTTCTCCCAAATGCTGGTTCTAAACACACTGGGTCCTTGCCATCTTGGAGTGACCAAACTGACACCATGGGGGCTCTTGTGTGCAAAGGGCCCATCCAAGTATCTTCTGTAACCTTCACAACCACCTGAGGAGGTAAGCAGAGATTGCCCCTATTTTATAGATCAAGAACCCCAGACCCACCTCAAGCCCTGCAATAAACGTCAGAGCTGACTTGAACCCAGCCTCCCACCCCCTAAACCAAGGTTGATAAAATTCTCCCTAGGCCTAAGCTCTCTGGCTCCAGAGGTACATGACTCAGGGCTATGGTGTCTGTAACTTAAAATACACTGGCACCTACAGTGGGACATTTTCTGTCTGACTTAGGTGAACCCCTAACCCAGTTAGCCACCATTCTGCTAGCAAGTGCACACCCCATGGAGGGGAAGCTCAAGTTCTAATCTGGAAGCTCCCATCCTGAGGCTGCTACTGGAGTTCCAGTTATCTCTTCATCTCCATCAATACTCAAGAGCACCAGGAATGCTAGAAATGTGTGTTTTTTTTTTAAGTGGTGAAATTGATGGCTTGCTCTTTAGCATGATGGCTATTTTTAAAAAGGGTAAAATTCATAATACTCAATTTCAAGATATACGGATTGGCTGAAATATTTTAGAGGCAGGCTTCACGCTTGTGAGGACATGGTTGGAGAATCCAGGAAAGCCCATAGCTGGCACTTCCAGGGATGGCTCCCAATGGTTCTGATGCTTGCCACCTAACTGGTTCCATGCCTGGCAACTGGATTTTGGAGGATTTCCAGTTGCCTATGCCAAATAGACGGTAACAAAATTCTGCCTCGGAAATGTTGTCATATCTGCCTTGAATGGTCAGAGCAGCTGAGAGGACAAGCCGGCTGGGACTCCCTGAGCAGGCTCACGGGCTGTTCTGTGCCTGCCGGCTGCTTACACGTTAGACGATCAGTGTCTGTGTGGCGTGCCACACCATTTGCCCTGAGACTTGTCCTGTGGCTATCACAGTGTGATTCAGAGTGTTCCCTGCGCAGGGGCCCTCCTCTTCTCCACTCTGACTCTCTTGCTGGCCTCCTTCCCCTTCCCTAGTTCCCCGCTCTAGGGCTTCGGCCTTGAGCTTGCCCTGAGGCAGCCCACAGACAGCCCTCAGGGCTGGAAAGACTCTGCTTTAGGGACAGGGATGATTAGTAGAAACCTCCTGTCCCTAAACATTTAACACCTGGTTTCCCTCCTATGGGACCTTTTCAGTGTCTGAGCTGGCATTGACTGACATGCTGGAAAATTCTTTAAAATGTCCTTAAAAAACAACTAAGCAACCATATCTCATCCATTACAACAGCTAAACATTTAAAAGACTAGAAACACCAAAAGTTGGTGAGGCTATGGTGCAAGTGAAACGATTGTCCACCACTGGTCAATGGCACCACCACTTTGGAGAACTGTCTCACACCTTCTAGAAAAGTTCAGTAACTACCTGCCCTGTTGTCAGCCATTCCACTCCTGGGTATTCTCCCAAAAGAAATGAAAACCTATATTCATAAAAGACTTGTACTCAGATGTTCATTGCAGTCCTATTCATGAGAACCACAAAATGGAAGCAACCTAAATGTTGGTCAACAGGTAAATGCCACACCCAAACTGTGGAATACTACTCAGCAATAAAAAGCAATGCACTGCTGCTACAGGTAATGGCACAATTGCATCTCAAAACCACCATGTTGAAGGAAGGAAGCCAGATACAAAAGTGCACATGCTGTAAGATTTCATTGACGCAAAGTCGAAAAACAGGCAAAAATACTTACAATGCTAGAAATCAGAAAGTGGTTGCTCCAGGGAGGGAGGAGAGGGAATGAATTGGAAAGGAGCCTGAAGGGCCTTTTCTGGGGTGACAAGACTGTTTTATAGCCTCTTTCAGGTGGTTACAAAGGTGTGTACAAAATGTATCCATCTGACCACTTATGAATTTAGGTTAATTATCCCTTGATTCAAGAAAAGAGATATTAAAAATACTATTGAATAACCACAGAAAGGAGAAAAACCCTCAGTGGTTCTGCATGTGTGCATTGTGGGTTTTCACCACTACTGAGCCCAGTGTGGAGAGGGGAGCTGCAGTGAAGACTGTTGGTTAGCTGGTGAGGACACTTCTCTGGGCACCTGCCAGGAGGCCCCTTACAAAGGAGGCAGCAACATCAGCCCCCAAACACAAACACTCAATGAAATAAAGCAACAGGGGCCCTGAGGAAGCTGGCTTGAGAGTGTGGGATAGATAGCAGGCTTTGAGCCAAAACCACTTTCCAAGAAATGCCAATGTTTTTGTATTTGGGAACGGAGAGGGAGTATTAAGGCAAGCAAGAGCCAAAATGTGTTGGTCTTTGGACAACAATTGTGCTCAACTGAGGGGGCCCTGTGGGAGAGACTTCAAAGTGCTGCTACTGAGACCTCCTCTGTGGGTCTCTGGGATGCGGCACCCATAAAAGCTCCGACTGAAGTGGAAAGTCAGAAGTTCCTTAAAGGCAAAGGCCTCCTATTTTGCATGCTGGAGAGGAATATTCTATTTCCCTAGTAAGAGGCTGGCCAAAGTCACACCCATACACCTTCAAATAGCCAGCAGAAGCTTGTGCTCTATGGCACAGGAATGAGCTTGTGAGTCAAGCCTGCACACATATCCTGGTTCTGACCTCTTAAGAACTGTGTGGCCTTGGGAAAGTGACTCGGCCTCTCTGAGCTGCAGTTTCCTTGCCTGCAAAATGGGGAAAATGACACCTACTACTGGCAAAGTAGAAACTGCCTGAAGCCTAGTGAATGCTGAACACAGAATCATATTTGGGCTCCAAGGGTCTTTGCAGATTGTCTATGCCAACCTCTCAGCTGAAGAAGGAATCCTCTCCAGCCAAATCAGCATTCTTTTGTAAAAAAAAAAAAAAATAGAGACATTTAGAGACAGGGTCTGACTCTGTCACCCAGGCTGGAGGGCAGTGGGGCAATCATAGCTCACTGTAGCCTCCAACTCCTAGGCTCAAGAAATCCTCCCACCTTAGCCTCCCAAGTAGCTGGGACTATAGGCGTGAGCCACTGTGCCCAACCTTAAATTAGCATTCTTTTTTTCTTTTTAATTTTTGGATCCGAAGTGTACCGAATTTGCATAATCATTATCCTTGGATCATGACAATGTTCTATACATGGTCCACTTTTTTGGTTTTATTCTAAAAATTGTTTCTTTTTAATATTATCCAATTTAAAATAATAAAATAAACGTGTGAACTGTCCCCCGACTCAACAACATGTAGGTCTGTCGCTGGACTTTCCAGTCTATTTCATCAGTCCCTCTGTCCACCCCTGTGCCAGCACCATGTTGTCTTCTTATACTTTCTGATGGTGCTAGGCACTAAGAAGAAAGTCAATCAGAGTAAGTGGACTGAGAGTGACAGGGAGCAGGGTGTGGGGAAGGGCCTGCTTTGAAGAGGGTGATCAGGGAAGGCCTCTTGTTGAGCAAAGATCTGAAAAAGGAAAGGAGACACCATGGCATCATGGCAAAATGACATTCCAGCACTCTAAGGAGGTGTGTGTGTGTGTTTGTGTGTGTGTGTAAGAGAGAGAGAGAGAGACCGCGAGAGAGAGAGGTTGGAGAAGGGGAGGAGAGGAGCTAACAAATTTCAGAGTGGTAGGAAAGAAAGGCAGGGGATAGATGACATATGGCTTTCTAATTTCCATTTTTACAAAGACTAGTACAACTCATTTTGTAGCTGGGGAAACAAAGGCTCAGAAAAGGTGACTTGGCCTAGGCCACGCATCTAGGTAGGGGCAGGGTTACGGTTAGAATTCAAGGCTCTGTGCACCTTTGTGTTGACCCTCTGGGCCCTCAAATGATTTTCATTCCACAAAATGCCTCCAAGCAGCTTTCAGGTAATGAAGTGACAAACAGTATATTGAAATAGTGTTCTTCCAAGCAGAAGATCTTTACCATGCAAAAGATTATTTGAAGACTAATTAGGATTCTGAAATTCTTTAATGGCTAATTCCTTAGGGCCATGTCAAAAATCCATGTGAATATTTCCAAATTATTTTCTTATCATAGGCAATATTAATTCTCTAGAGAAAAACCAAACACATGCTAGTGACATTCTTAGAAATCTGAGTTGGGTGTTATGATCATACAAGCACAAGCAAGAGTTTGTCTTAATAACTGAGAAATATACGATTAATAATTTTACATTTATTTTAATACCATTCCTTCAGTTCAATAGATGACAAGAATTCTTATTCCTAATATTGTGGATGTAAATATTAACGTCGGGGTTTAAAGGTTCACTTACCCCCTCTCTTTTGAAACTCTGAGCTGGGTACAAGATAAAAACAGGAGAGAGACCCGTGACTAAAGACATTTGAGTAAGTCTGACCTGCATTCCCTATTAAACCTTCAGGGTAAATGGATTTCTCAAATCTGTTTTCTTCTTTGGGCAGCTAATCCCTTCCTTCCAGGAGATTTCAGCCCCTCCACTCTCTGCCTCGTCTATGGCAACAGCCCCATGTGCTGTTTCCATCTTGCATCCCCACATTAGGCTCTGATACAACTGCAGAAATTATGACTCAAGAGATCACAATTACTGACTTCCGAGAGCCTCTGATTTCTCCCAGAAGAATGAGCAGAGGAGAAGTTCTAGGTACTTTCAAAGACAGATGAATTCAGGCTGTTTCTGAATCATGGCTAGGCTTTTCTCAGTCTCTCCTTTTTCTTATGAGGACAATTCTAAAAGTATGCAGATGTGAGAGTGCTAACTGCAGAGGGTCCTGCCTGCCCTTGGCACAGGTAAGAACCGTCTACTTTTAGTTACTTATGTCTCCACAAGATCAAGACAACTTGGTCCAATGGATGCAACGAAAGTGACTCAAGCTGTTGAATGATTCTCTTCCTAAGCTCTCTGTCCTAAGCCACTCTGCCACTGTGAGAGCATAGGGATGCTGATAGATCTCATAGGTGTACACTCACTCGTCCCCTGAAGTTCTGTTTTGAGAAAGAAAATACAATGCAAAGGCATAATAAATCCAAGAGAAGTCCTTCCGACTTGTAAAGAAGAGGCCTCACTTAAATGAAATGAGATGTAGATGCCCAACTCAGCCACTGACTGGCTGTGTGAACACTGACAAACTCCTTTAGCCTCTCTATGCCTCAGTTTCCTCATCTGTAAAATGGGAGTGATGACAGTGTATATGCCGCAGGGTTGTTAAGAAGGGTAGGTGAGTTCACATGTGCAAGATGCTTGAAACAGTTCCTGGCACATGGTAAATACTCAGTAGGGGTTAGCTATTGTTATTATAACAAAAGATAGGGAGCCAAATGAGCTTCACTGTGGAATCCTAAATAAATAAGGCGAGGATTATATTTGAAACTATAAATAAACAATACATAAGATGAAAAGAGGGATGGTTTTTCTTCTCAGCAGCTTTTCCATGGCAATGGTCAGTCTATTCAAACATAAGCCTGGCATGGTGCTGGCCTCCCATGGCCCACAGTAGGCAAGATGTGCGGTGGAACAGTAACTATCATCAAGTCTAAAGTGACAAGTGTAAGGTCAAGAGCAGAGGTGGTGGGGACCTGATGCAGGATTTTCATCAGGCTAGACTCTCTAGGATAAAGGGTGGAGAGGGACAATCAACTCTAGCTGCACAAGAGACTTTGATCAGGTAGCTTTGAAAGACCCAGATAAGTCTACAGCCATACCACCCTGAACCCACCAAATCTCGTTTGAACGACCCAGATTCCCAGGCCACACCCAAGGCCAGTGAAATCAAAATCATCCATGGTTGGGCCTGGGCATCAGGATTTGTTTAGAGCTCCCCAGGTGGTTCTGATGTGCAGCCAGGGGTGAGCAACCCTCCTCCCAAGTCTGGATCCCCGTTCACCACTACGTAAATGGATAGCTTATCCTGGCCAGTCTTCAGGAGGCCCAGACACAATCTCAATTCTCTTCAAAGAGACAAAGAGAAAACCCACCAAGCCCCACCCAGGGCAGGAATCAATTAATATTTGTTTACAGGTCCACAGTGCCTGGTATACAGTCTTGGTGCTGAATCAATAAGTGAATGAATAGATGAATAAATAGATAAACGAATGAATGAACGAACGAAGAAACAAACGAATACAGCTGCATAGCAAATGTCTGCAAATAAGGAAGTAAATTGGTTAAAAACTTTCTAGAGGGCAATTTAAAATCATTCATATCCACTGACCTAGAAAATCTACTTTTTGGAATCACCTCAAGGAAATGCAGGCCCTAGCTGGATTTTCTCCCAAGTGCCTGCAGCGCTGATTAAAGGGAGATCCAAGGGCTATAGAAGTGAAGAGTAGACACTCTAGGGCAATGGTGCTCTTGCAATCCCATTTCCACGGGGAGGCGAGAGAGGGGCACCCTCAGACAAGGACCATACCTTTTTCTTTCATTAGGATTTGGGATTTGCACAGACTTTCAGTTAAGAACTCAGTGCAGACTCCAGAATTCAGTGGCCTAAGCATGAAAGAGACTCTTCTAGGTAGGAGAAAGCTGACAGGAAAGTCCTGCCAGCCAGTCAGTTAGGCCTTTAAAAAAAATCACAGTAAGGCAGAGTCCAATGTCTGATTTTGAGCAGAGCAGCCCCCCTAGGATGAGTTAACTGCAAAATGTGCCCCTGTGTGGTTAATTATGTGACCCAATCTTGCCAGCTGGTATGAACAAAGGTGTCAGCAATTTGAAGCCTTGTCCAACACTGCAGATGGTTATTAACTTGGGGAAGTTAGGAACCTTCCCTTTCTGCAAATGGGATGGATTTACCTTTGAGTCCATCTTGAAGGCATTACACATTAGAGGGAATCCATTCATCAAGACTCAGGGCTTGCTCCTCAAGAGAGGAAGAACAGCCTGCATCTACCGTGCAGGTGATGAAGGGCTTTCTCCACTGTGTCTGCAACAGCATTATAATGGTGGGGCTTTGAATCAGGGGCTGGAATCAACAGGAACAGAATTTTGCAAATATGCCTTTGACAGTCAAACCATCCCATCTGAAGCTATTAAATGTGCTTGTATGTGTATGTACTTCTTGGTACTTAAGAGAAAATAGAATCATCATTCCCTGGGCAAGACCACTTATAAGAAATTTGGTCCAGAAAAAATATTATTCTTGTGTTACAAAATCAAAGCAGTGGGGGGAAAAAAATCAAAGGAAACGATCACTCAGGAAAAATGGCCCGGTTCCAAAATGCTGCGGGAGACCGCATAAAAAGCACAGTAATATTTAAGCTTGTGCTAAACAGATTTTTTCTATGGTCACTTTTTACCAAGTGTAAGTTTCTATATGCTCTGTCAAATGCCTCTTTAAGGATTTATTCTGAGGGATTTTCTGCCATTCTTGGGCTTAAAAGTTCAGGCAAGGTTAAGGGGCTGGATGGACTTTGGAAGTGAAAAGCCACATAGGGGACAACCATGAGAACATGGCACTGAGAAGGCTGAGGTCAACCCTCTGTGCCCTGCCTGGCCCATTTATAAAGGGCCTAGATAGTTCTCCTGAGTCACAGGCAGCCCTTGGCCTCAGCCAGCCATTCTGCAATGAACATGGGTCATGAATGTCACAGAGTTCCAGGGGCTGTGCATGTGTGGCTGGGCTGGTACTGTCCCACACTGGGAAATCATCAAGGGGGTTGATGGTGGGCAGGTAGTGATGTCTTAGATACCAAGGATGACATCACCACTACAAACATCATTGTGACCATTACAGTAAGTCTTACTGAAGAAAGAATAAAACCAAGTAATTCCCTGAAAACTGACCAAAGCAGTATTAAGAAATGTTATTGAATTATTGATCCCTTCAAATACAAGTGCCTATTCCTTGGTGAAACCATATGTTCTAAAACCAAAAGGCAAAGAGAACAGCTGCCCTCTACTTCTCCACAGAGGTCACGTTGACCTCCATGTGGCCAGATCCACTGAGAGATTCTCTTGGCCCTCATCTTACTCATCTCAGCAGTGTTTGACACAGTGACTATTCCCTCCTTCTTTTAAAACATAAATCAAATAGTTTTATTTGTCTGCATAAAACTCTCCAAGGCATCTCATTGTACTTTAAAATAAAAGCCAAGCCCTACAAAGCCCTATCTGATCTGGCCCCACTTTAACCCATTCCAAGAAGGTACCAAACTCTTTCCTGCCTCAGGGCCTTTGTACTGGCCATTTCCTTGGCTTGGAATGCCCTTCTCACAACTGGTTCCTTCTCAGCTAAGTCTCAAATCAGAACAGCCTTCTTAGATAGAGAAGGTTCTATGACCATTTGGAACAGTCACCACCTCCATCCCAGTTTTCCTCTCTCATATCAGTCTCGGTGTGTCTTTCCTTCAGCACCTATCACATTTGCAAGCTATCTTTTTTTTTCCTTTGTTTTCTGTTTATAGTCTGTCTCTTCTACTTAACCTGGAATGTTGGGTCTCTAGGAGCAGAGACCTCACCCAGCACCCAGAATAATACCTGGTTCATAGACAATGCTCAATGAATATTTATTTGGAGGGAGGAAGGAAGGGAGGGAGGGAGCAAGAGAGTGAAGGAGGGAGGACAATGTTCCCAACTAGTGTGTCCAAAGACTGATATACCTCAAATTCATTACAGAGGTGCTACCAAATATTGAATAGTGAATTGATATGGTTTGGCTCTGTGTCCCCACCCAAATCTCATTTAGAATTGTAATCCCCACATGTCAAGGGAGGGACCTGGTGGGAAGTGCTTGGGTCACGGGGCTGGTTTCCGTGATAGTGAGTGAGTTCTCACAAGATCTGATGGTTTAAAATTGTGACACTTCCCCCCTCATGCTCTCTCTTTCCTGCCATGTAAGATGTGCCTTGCTTCCCCCTTGCCTTCCACCATAATTGTAAGTTTCCTGAGACCTCCCCAGTCATGTGGAACTGTGAGTCAATGAAATCTCTTTCCTTTATAAATTACCCAGTCTCGAGTAGTTCTTTATAGCAATGTGAAAACAAACTAATGCATAGATTCCATTTATTTTGGCTACAGCTGAAGATATAGAGAGTTGAGTCATTGTCACATGGAATGTTCAGTTGATGCAGAGTAAAGCAGCATTTGACTTATGATGAGTAAGAGGCACTGCATTGGGGAGCTAAGGCCAGATGGCCTGCCCACTGGGATATGGAGAACTTGACTTTGAGACTACATAGAAGAGCATGGCCAGGGCAGTGGGCTCTGCTTCTACAGCAGCCCTTAGTGCAGAGAGGGAGGGAGTAAACTCTGTGATCCCCTTGCAGGCCACACAGAATCATGGCTCAGAACCCCGCCCAAGTTACTGTTGGCCCATAACCAAACTCTGAGTTCCAGGAGGGTAGGGGTGGGGCCTTGTTCGACAACCAATAAACATTTGTTGAGTGGCTGTATTTAACAGAACTTCTTCACAATACTATTTATGTTTTATTTACAATACACTTTTATACACAGTGCTTACTGTGTATACACAGTGCCAGGTACTCTTCTAAATGTTTACAAATATTCAAGCCTCACAAACACCCCCAAAAGAGAGATGCTGTTATTATTACTACTTTAAAGATGCAGAAACTGAGGCATGCAAAGAACAGGGAACTTGCTACTCAGTTGCAGAGCTGGAACGTGAACTTATTGTAGCCTTGGCTCCAGAATCTATGCTCTTAACCACCAGCCCAAGCTATCAAGAGTGTCTACTGCCACAGCACCAGCACCATGTACCAAGAACAGGTGGGTGGGATGGCAGCATGGGAAAAGGGTGAATGGGGCAAGTGGGTATTTACCCTTTAAGAGATCGCTGGGTTAAGTCTCACATACTTCATATACCACTTTTTGGTGCCACCTCTGCAGGCTGAGGGAAGGTGGGGAGGTTGAAGCTTGGGGGTCCATTTCCAACCCAGTATCCCTACCCCTGCAGGAGATCTCTTTTTCCCTTCATGTTTCTACTATAGTTCTAGGCCAGCAATTCTAAACCTGGTACAATTCTGTCCCTGTTGCCAAGAGGACATTTGGCAATGTATAGGGACATTTTTGGTTGTCCCTAACTTGTGGGAGGTGGGGAGGTTCTACTGGTACTGAGTGGGTAGAGGTCATGGATGCTGCTAAACATCCTACAAGCCATGGGACAGGCCCCCGCAGCACAAAATAATCTGGTCCCAAATGGTAGTAGTGCTACGGGTGGGTCACCCTGGTCTTGGTCCAGAGACTACCTATCAGAAAATTAATAAGAAAGGTGGTAAGGCCATCAAAGGCAGGCCCATCTGTGAATCACCGAGAAATGCCAGCTGCTCCACTACAAAATCTGCAGGGAAGAGGCAAAGACCTTCCTGCTTGCCTCCCTCTCTCTCCTGATTCCTGGAACCACAGCCTCTCCCTCCTGCCGAGAAGCTAAGAACAGCTCTGGCCCACATGGCACATAACAGAGGTTGCTAATACCCGCTTCCTTTGGCAGCTTCTTAATGCTCTTGGCTTGGCATTTGGTATTCCTCAAGCCCTTTTGCCTAATTACATTCTAGAGATGAAGGGAAACCTATGTATAATTCAAAAATGAATGGCCCTACCTTTGATTCCTCTAAAACATGCCAAATCAGAGTAGAACTGTGCTACTCCTCCAAATAGATTATGGGGATCTCTGGAGAAGTAAGCGGACCTTGATGAGCCCAAGCTGGACCCCAGGGCAGAGCACAAGAGAATTTAGAATGCTCTTTATGGATGATAAAATGAAGAAAACTCAGGATCAGATTTAGGATGGGAGCGAGTGGGGGAATTACGTGGTATGGTAAACCCAGAAGGCCCAGGCTTGATTGCTGGCTCTGTCCCTGAGCTCTGTGGCCTGGGATTATCACTCCGCTTTTCCCATGTGTAAAACGGGGTTTGAGACACCCCCATAAAGATACTGGGAGGGTTGGTGGGGGAGGCCGTCAAGGGCCTCACACTGCATGTGGCTTAGAGTAGAGCCTTATCAAATTTTTGTTTGTTCACTTGCCAATGTTCACCCTTTTATTCACTTATCACCATTTATCCTTTTAACCATCTCGACACCCGAGGGATCCAAAAGCTATTTATGCCTCTAGCTCACCAACTCAGGAGCAGTAGAATGTCCTGAGCACTCAGTAGAATAATAATGAACAAAAATAAACCTGAGGAGCACTGGATGTGACTTGATTTGCAGTCATTTCAAGGAATCATAGAGTTGATTGGATTTTAAAATTGGGCTTCAGCTAATGAATACATGTGCAATCCAGAGTCAAAGGCATGTGCTGAGATGTGATTTCATGGCCATCTGTATGGAAAAAAAAAAAAAAAAAAAAAAGGTCTGTAATGGTGTGGATAGGATGCTGTCCAGAGAAATGGATTAGGCTAGCAGTTCTCAAAACAGGGCTAATGATTGAAATCACCTGGGGATCCCTCTGAGCTCACAGATTCTCCATCTGACTCCCAAGAGCCCAACCTCATGCAT
The DNA here is from genome assembly GCF_000001405.40 of Homo sapiens. Lineage (NCBI taxonomy): Eukaryota > Metazoa > Chordata > Mammalia > Primates > Hominidae > Homo > Homo sapiens. The sequence goes on from NC_000023.11 coordinate 17,829,447, forward strand.
CTAATGGGGTCCAGAAATGTACAAGTTCTAAACTCTCCCCAGGTGATTCTAAGGTCAGCTGGATTTAGGAACCTCTTGACAGGGTTTCTAAATTGTGTGGAGCAGTTCACCAAGTGCCAGGCAACAACCCATGATCCTTAAATCTCTTCCAAAATCCTTAACCAAGATGTTTCGCAAGCATTGTTTGAGGCTGCATTTGCTTTTACATCTAAGAGAACATTTTTAGATATGAGATTTGTTTTCCTTCCAGCAAGATGCTCTACATCACTACTACCAATTAGGCAAGTTCATTTAAAAGCTTTGAATCCATACTTGTAAAATTCCCCCTTTGCTCATCCAACTTTATGTCTAAACAGTGCAGCTGATGGCTGTACAGTTCCATTTATGAATTCCACTCTTGTGAATGTATTTCCAAAATTGTTTCAGAATTTCTTTGTCTGGGTAAGCCAGGACTGCTGGTTTTAATAAGAACATGGTTTAAACATAGTTATCCAGGTCACTGATATTTCATGGCTTCCCAGAACACAGACAGCACCCAGTACCCAGAGAGAACCTTCCCCTTTTCAAACAAACACTGCCCTTGCCCAACTCTATCCTTTCCTTTTGCAAAATAACTCCCTCTCCACTTCCCTCGCACATCATTTTTTCTTTAGAAAGAGTTATATGGTGTAATAGAATGAAAACTGAGGTTAGACCAAAGGAAAGGCAAGTACTGCCTCTGGTTACAGCTCATCAGCATCACAAAGTGGTCCACAATAGTGTCTAGCAAAGTGGCTTGCACACAGTAGGTCCTCAACAGCTAACTGAATGAATTCAATTATTTGAGAGAACTCTTGCACCTCCATTTAGGAAAACCCAAAAAAATATTCTCTGAACAACTGTGACATTCCATAGCATTCACATCTGAGAACGTGTTCTATTACATAATCAGCAAAGTAAAAGGAACTTTATTTTTAGCTACTGGACTTTGCAGGGAAGATCAGAGTCCCATTTTAAACTTCTCTTTCATCCCTAACCTTCAAATGACACTCCTATGATTTGTTTTTTTTTTGTTGTTGTTTTTTTTTTTAAAGACTCAGTTAAAGATGGCCTGGAGCACACTTAAAACAATACAAAACAACAAGAGAAATAAACCAGATGGCAAAAAAACATAAATCAGGACAAGCCGAGCTGAACAAGCTACAAAGGAAGGCATGGTCAAACTGTGAAGGGAAGAGGCACTTCATCCCTCATGGATAAGTCTCCATTATTGCTTCCTTGCAAAGGAAAGCTCAGAGGTCATCTGGGGTGTGTGTGGGGGGGTGTTATACCTCCACAACCTGTCACAAGCTAGGCTAGAAAAAGCTGCATAATAGTTGGGAACCTCCAAAGGGTCAGTACTCAGAACAGGTAAGTTGGGCATTGATTCCCATATGATAGAAAAATAATAGTTTGTGAGTATCTTTGTTTTAATTGAATGATGATAAAGGTAGAGAAAGAAGAAAAAGAAATTGACCCAATGTATCTGTGCTATTTCTAACACATGATGAAAACAATGAGAACTATCCTCTAGAAAAACCATCCATCCTCATCTTTTCTACAAACATCCATAAAAGGACATACCTTACACAAACATCACTGGCACCCTCTGGGCTGAGGAAGGCAAGAAAGGGACTCTAAAATTCGAGACACATCTTGTTTGGCTGTGTCTCTGATACTGGAATAAATGTTTGGACTTTTCCATGGAGATAAGGGCTTCAGTTCTGGGAGATTTGTTTTGTTTTATTGGATCTGTGTGATAGCTGGTAGAAAGTAAAATATTCAGGGGGTATTTTTAATATATAATATGGATATATGGACATCTGTCAACCTGCATTGGGCGGGCCTTTCAGCTCTTACAACAGCTGCCATATATTTCTAGTACATTAAAAAGCTTTTTTTTAAAAAAACAAAAAACAAAAAACAATAACTGGGCCTCTTAGGCAAGAGTACATGTCCATTAGTTTTAGATACTTACAAGTACATGCTGTTCTGTTGTAAAACAACACGCAGAAAATCTGGCACTAAGTTTTCCACCCTGGAGCCCTGTTTACAAACATACTGAATTATTAACCCCAGAACATCATCTTCACCCCTCTCCCCATTTTATCTACATGATCTGAAAACTTGAAGAAGGTTTTCCAAGGCATGCTTGTCACTCTGAATTTATGGGCACGGACAATGCCAAGGACTCCTGTTCACTACACACTGAATGTTTTGCACCAGCCAGTAAGGACTGTCGAAGTGGGAGAAGAAATGTGGCTACGTGTTGGGAATGTAAGCAGCACAAAGGGATTACATCAATAGACCTAAATCTGTCTATTTCCTTATCATCCTCCACCCTCTTTGTTGATAGCTGTTATGAGTGCATCAGAGTTTGCTGCAAATGGCTTTTCTGAGCAGCCCTAGAACTTTGTGGATATGCTAAGGAAATCATGAACTTGTAGTGGATTGTCTTTCCCACCTGCTTCCAGAGCTTCCAGAATTTTCCCAATTAAAGCACTCATTGCCTTATTGTCTCTAATCAAAGCAAGCATTGCACTGTATTGTAATCACTTGTTTAAATCCTACCTTTCTTGCTATAGGAAGTACTCCAGAAGGAGGGGCAGAGATCACCACTGTCTTGTTGTTACCAATCTATCCCCCAAACCTTGCAAGGTGCATGGTCTGTAATAGAAGGCTAATAATATTTATTAACTGAAATGCACTGATAACAGAGTGAAAAGGGCTCCCTCTTGTAGGGTGACCAATTGTCCTGGTTTGCCCAGGACTGAGGGGCTTCCCAGGCCCTGGAACTTTCAGCACTTAAACCAGGGCAGTCCCAGGCAAACCGGGAAGGTTTAAACAACTGATCTCTTTTCGTTTCTGCACCACCAGATCCAGGTTGCAGACCCACCCTCGCCTCCCAGTAGTTCCCAACCCTGTCGCACCTGTACATACAGCTGCTCGCCTCACCCATCAGCTGGAGGGAGGGGGCAGCCTTCTAAGGTGACATCCCTTTGTGCCCAGTTTCTGCCCAACGACAAATGACTACCTTAGCCACACTGCCTGGTCAGCTTCTTTATGAGAGGCAATAATGGTTACTTTATTTCCCAGATTCAGAAAATGGGCAGGTGTCAGAATGATCAGGAGAGATGCCCCAATTTAAGCTGTGTCCCTGAGTCTGCCCAAAGGTGGGCGTGATGCCAGATACCTGTGCACTCCAGATGAAAAACTGCTGCTCTCCTTTCCTGGCCACCTGCAAACCCACCCCAGGTCCCCCTGCCTGTCGGTTTCTAAAGCTCACCTTCTTTTCTCCCATATTAGGGTTAATGGAGGCTAGGCGCTGAGGTCCCTCCTTACCCCACAATTATGCTGGGGATGTGATAAGGGAACATGAAGCTCACTTGAGTCTTAAGGGAAAGATAACCCAAGACAGTCTTGCCACTCAGGATCCAGAACGCTTGTTTATGCAGTGGTGAGTGGATTTTGCCACCAGTTGGAAACAAGTTCACCCACGGGCACATCATTCTTGCTTATTTCTAGGATGCCCTTCTATAGACTATCCAGAAAACATAAAACTGAAGGCAAGGGAAAAGCCAAAAACAACCCAACCCAAATGTCCATCAATAATACATAAACAGTCTTATATTCATATAATGGAATATTACAGAGCAATAACAGAATGAATTACTGATACAATGCAACAACATGGATGAATCTTGAATATTTACACTGCGTAAAAGAAACCAGACACAGAAGTACATACTGTCTGATACACTTCATATGAATTTCGGGCTGGGCATGGTGGCTCAGGCCTGTAATCTCAGCACTATGGGAGGCTGAGGCAGGCAGATCACTTGAGGCCAGGAGTTCGAGACCAGGCTGGCCAATGTGGTGAAACCCTGTCGCTACTAAAAATTCAAAAATTAGCCAGCCATGGTGGTGTGCGCCTGTAATCCCAGCTACTCAGGACGCTCAGGCAGGAGAATCACTTGAACCCGGGAGGTGAAGGTTGCAGTAAGCTGAGATCATGCCACTGCACTCCAGCCTGGGTGACAGAGTGAGACTCTGTCTCAGAAACAAAACAAAACTGAAGTTCAAAAGCAAACAAAACTGATCTTTGCTGTTAGAAGTCAGAGTAGTGGTTACCTTGAGCCAGAAGAAGAGAAAAATAATGATTGGGAAGTGAATGTTTTGCAGGGATGGAAATGTTCTATGTCTTGATTTGGGTGGTGGTTATATGAACGTACACATAGGCAAAAATTTATCAACTTGTATATTTAAGATGAACTCGCTTTACTTACTTTATACCTCAATTTAAAAAGTAAAACAAAACAAAAATACAAAAGCAATGGGGGAGATACTTGCTTTGAGCTTGATCCAGCAAGCCATGTCAGGCATGTCATTTAACCCTGGGGAAAACATTCTTACCTCCTCTGTAAGTACATTATTCTACCTACCTGCTTTGGCTGTCAAATTAAATTAGATAAAACTGAGTGGGGTGGTTGTTCAATCTCATTTGTTAAATGTATGCTCGACAAAGGCAATGCTGTCAATCCCAATGAAATTAGAGTTTGTCAAATGAGGAAGCTGATTTTTTTTTTAATAAAAGATTTCTGCATTTAGGGCTTACTCTCAAATATCTTTCTAGCAGCTGTATCTCTCAGCCTATTAGTCAAAGGCAGGCACCCAGCCAGCTGTTTGCTGGATTCAACTTCCCCATACATAATCATTTCAAAGGTCGTGTATATGTTAATTTACTACCTGGTTGTTATTTTAAAAGACTTTATTGTATCATTTTATGGTGATTTATTCTTCCTCCTCCTCTAAGAAATTCTGGATACTAGAACACCCACTGGCAGGGTAGCTCTGGGTGAGTATGAGACTTCAAAGAAATCACTGTTGTCATTTTTCCAATTAAACATGAACACACACAAGCAATATGTTTTGGTCGGACATAATTATGATCACCATAGTCTGGAGCTAGAAGGAAGAAGTAGTTTAAGCAAAAATGATTCGTTTTTTTTTTTAAAGAAGACAGCAAGCGAGATACACACAGCGTGCCTATCTAAATCATTACTTGACAATAGCAATGCCCATGTGGTGAATTTGACAACGTCTAGGTCTTTATAATTTGACTCGCTTTACTTTTTTCCTGGGGACAACCTAAGGATTTCGTAGTTGATTATAAGGCAATGCAGTTTCATTTTCTATGGATTCTGTGAGGCCCACAGTATCCTTAAGCTTGGATCATATGGGAAGAGAATAAAACACCCAACAGGAGGAAAAAGGAGGTTGAGGAGAAGGCAGGGTAAGAGAAGAGAGGTGGGATTCCAAGGTAGCTTACAGGAGGGGAAGGCGGTGGGTTGATGGAAAGAGGTCGCGTATGTAATACTATTTCATATGGCAGGGGTTACAGAAAAGGTTTTTATGGTGGTGGCTCAGGGAGGAGAGTTGTGATGAGAAAGGCAATGGCAGAGAGCCACAAGAAGAGGGAGGCCTAGAGAGATCAGGCCCAGATAAAAGCACTGATTTGCTTTCAAATGAACATATCAGTGCCTCATTTACTTTTCACTGGCACCTGTAATCTCGGGGACCTCCCCAACATGTGTTCATGTTGGAGAAAAGAACGATTCAAGCACAAAATCGTCAGTGAGTGATCACCATTGTTCTTCCGCTCAAATGTCACATTAAGGCGCCCATACGCTACCATTCAGAAATCTATTAGTAACATAGCGAAGTCAGGAACTTCCCTGACCTACTTTTACCAGACAGTGGATGCTTCTAATTCTGCAATCAGTGAAACAGTAAAACGATTAGAAAATGTGTGTAGCATGGTGCGGGATCAGACGAGGCAAATACAGCCGCTGGGGAAAGGTTAATAGAATGTAACTTAAACAGCTTGTGTGCTTCTAAATTTGCCCCAGGCAATGAAGGGCACAGGCCAAAGGGAATCCTTCAAAACCAAAACCATACTCCTCCCTCTACCATTCCCAACTCTTGGATAGCCTGAGTTTATCTGTGCCTTCATATTCCCTGCTCCCCAGCCCTTCCTGCACCAGCTGTGCCCTCCACACAGATCAACCAAGATCTGTATCTGCAATTTGACATCTTGCCCTCTTTAAATGCTGTAGGCCTTCAGATCACCCCAGCCCCACTGAGATAGGTCCGTGTGTTTATCCCCCCAGAACCACAAACTCAAACTCAAATCATCAAATGTTATAGCTAATTATATCCTACTGCCCTAAGCCCCACCTCCTTCCTCTGTTCCCTTTCTTATGTGGAAAAATACCCCTCCAAGAAAAGATGAAAAGGAAACTGGACAAACTGCTTTGTGCATTATGGTTTTTCTCCCTAAAAAGATTCATCCTGGAATTCTTTTAAAAATATTCATGCTTATGTTACAACTGAATTTTGGAAAAATTAGAAAAAATGGAAAAATTCATTCAGGACTCTTATGCCCCCAACAAATCAAAACTATTTAACTTTATTGTTTTATTTTTTACAGGAAACAACCTATCATGGCACAGATACAATTTTTGTCTTTTCCTTTTCACACTGTATTTTATGATAAGCCATTTTCCTCAGAGATACAGAGTAGCTGAGAATCACCTTAAGTAACAATACCCACCCCTCAACTCCCACCCCTGCAACCCCTGTATCTTAAATGATTCCATTTCCTCACATCTTTTTGGAGTTACATGTCTATCGTGCACAAACAGTATCGGGAGTGACAAGGACAGGGAGCAATGGGACCAAGCTGTCTGCCCTCATTGTAGCTTGAAAATTAAGTACTACAGATGCTCCTTCACTTACGATAGGGTTATGTCCTGTCATAAGTTGAAAATATTGTAGTCAAAAATGCATTTCATACACCTAACCTACCAAAATCATAGCGTAGCCTAGCCAACCCTAATGTAAGCTCAGAACACTTATATTATCCTATTGTTGGGTAAAATAATCTAACAGCAAGCATATTTTATAATACAGTGTTGACTATCTCAGTAATTTATTGAATACTGTACTAAAAGTGAAAAACAGAATGGCTGTACAGGTATTCGAAGCACAATTTCTAGCGAACGAGTATGACTTCTGCACCATTGTAAAGGTGAAAAAAATTCTAAGTTGAACATCGTTAAGTTGGGGGCCATCTGTATTTATTATGGTCCTCCCCTGAGTTGGCCCCTGATCACAAGCTTCTCCACAGCAAAGATATCTGACGAAGGCCTTGCTGAACCCCAAACCAGGCGATGCAGACAGTGTCATGGAATTTGCAAAATCCCCAGACAAAATTAGTGTATGTGCCAGAAAGCATTTTTCCTTGGGGAGGAGCATGGTTAAATTTGGATTCCCCCAAAGGCAGACCCTGTGACCAAGATCTGAGTGCATACAGTGTATGTAAAAGGGGACCACAGGCAGCACCCATGGAACAATAGAGAAGTGAGGCAGGAAAGGAAGGCAAACAATTCAGGATGCGTTAATAAGCAGCTGACTGCCATGAGCAACTGGGGCTAAGTCCCACTGGGAGTTAACCTCAGGTTTCTCCCTACTGAGGGAGAGAAAACAGCGGCATCTGTCTTCCAGTTACATTGCATCATCAGTTGAGGGCTGCTCCTGGTGACATATGCTCCAGAGCCTCTTGCTTGTCCTGTGCCTGGGCTAAGCATGCTTCCAGGGCCAGTACTGAAGTCTTGGAGGAGAGAGCTGCAGGGGTTCGAAGTGAGCACACAGATAGGTGGAGGTGAGTACCCAGGAGGTAGGGGTCAGCCAAGATAGCTTCCACTATAGAGATAATCAGTCGAAGAGCGAGCTGCTGCAGACACCCAAAAGACCAAAGCCCACCAGTGTGCAGGTGCAAGCCTGTTTGTTTCTCTTTCTTCACTCTCTGAAATCCTTACTGACATCCTGTGGATGGGCAACAGGCTGGATTTTCCCAAGGTCTGAGTTCCCTAAAAGTAAATTGGGTATCTTTAGAAGTTGTCTGCACCCAGCCTTACAGGGCTTCTAATGGGAAATCTTGGCATTGGAGCCCAAAACACAGCTCACAAATCCTGAAGCAGCCAGTGACCCTACCAAAGATCCCCACTTACCTTCCAAGGAGTAATTTAATCACTGGGAAACCTGGATCATAAACTCTGAAGTTCTCAGAAATGATGTCTGTTTGGTAGTGGAATTCTGTGTCCAGGCAAGCCTGCCACCCTTCTTAATGTGATCCTCTTCCCCCAAAGGAGAGAAGTCAAGACAGGCCTTATGCAAGTTGACTGCTTCATTCTTCCTGGGAAGCCTGCTGGGTTAAGTTGGGGGTTTTGTTATTGTTGTTGTTTGATTTTTGGCAGGGGGTTATTTTTTGCAAGCTCTATCTTTGTCAAATGCTATCACAGGCAACATTAAGACAGATCTACATATGGACACAAAAAGACATGTTCAAGAATATTTGTAGCAGCTTTATTTGCAATAGCCCTGAACTGGAAACCACCCAGATGTCCGTCAGCAGGAGAATGGATAAACAAACTGTAATACATCCATACAATAAGATACTACACAGCAATAAAAAGGAAGGAACTACTGACACAACCAACAACATGGATGAATCTCATAAGCATTATGCTAAGTGAAAACAGCCAGACAAAAAGACTACCTATACTGCATGATCCTGTTCATATGAAACTCTAGAGCAGACACAACTAATCTACCGATACCGAAGTAAGAATAGTGTTTGCCTTTGGGAGATATTGACTAGAAATGGGCTCAAGGGAGCTCTTCAGGGTGCTGGGACTGTATTCTATTTTGATCTGGGGTATGATTATACGGGTGAATACACATGCACTTAAAACCCATCAGCACATAAGATTTGTGTACTCTGTGACTTTACTGTATGTGTTACATATACACCTCTATAAAAAGGTAAGATAGACTAATATAACAATAAGTTGAAAGAATAATAAAATAAAATAGGACAGCTCTAGAGAATACTGTCTCTCTCTGTCTTTCTCTAACTGTGACCAGTGGAAACTTAAGCCCTTGCCTAGAGCTTGGTCTCCTTAGGGAGAAAATGTTTGAGAGGGTTCTCTTGGTGAAGTTGGCATTTTTGCCACAGGAAACAGAGAAGACAGAAGGAAAAACTCAACATGAGCCCAGAGGTCTTTGGTGCGCAACATGAATAGTTTGGGGGAATTTAATCAGGACCGCCTCAAACACACACACACACACAGCACACACACACACACACACACACACAAAACACAGCACACTCATGCATTGAATCACATCCACACACACTCCATGCCCACCACCCTGCAACACCACATGCACTCACGTCCCACACTGCTGCTGCAACACACCTCACACAGTCACACACATGGGACTGCACACATCACACATCATATACACGGCACACTCACATACTCAACCACATCACACTGCACAGACCTGCATACACGCAAAGCACACATCACATGCTCATACCACAAGGGATCATAAACACACAGAGTGGAGGCAGCCCCTGCCCTCTCAGGGCCAACTCTTAGAATGCCAGCGCTGTTTGGGTAATCACCTCCTTCTTCCCGCTGCCAACCACAGCCACTGTCATCATCATCATCATCATCATTCCAGAAACATCCCTCATGGACAGGAACATCTCAGAGTGCACGCAGCTGTGCCTGCAAACAAAGACATCTGCCTGGAGCTGCCTGCTCACCCCAAAAGCTGTCTGGGCACATCAGGTTTCTGCCTGGTTCTGTGGAGTGAGTGTCCTGCAACCTTCAGCTCCAGCCCTGACAGGAACCCTGCAGCGACATCTATGCACCATCCTCCTCCCTCTCTCTTTCTCTGTCCTACTGGCCACTGCCCCCTTCGCAGTAAGGAGACTTGCTTCCCTTCTTAGTGTGGAACAGTGTCCATCCTGGGCCCAGATCAGCCCTGACCTTCCAGATAATGCTGACTTCGTTGCCAGGGGAATGCAGAGAAACCAGCCAATATCCAGAAGGTGCCATCCTCTCAATTTGGGATGCTGGCGCCTCCTTGCTGTTAGTCTTTGCCATGGACTGCCATAGCTGCAGCCTTCTGAGATCCTGGAAAACCCTTTTTCTGCTGTTGTTACCTTAACTTGAAGAACTCCACTGAGTCCATTTCAATATCTGTTGACCATCTGGACCTTCTGCAGAAAATAGGTCTCCATGTGTGGAAGACAGTGAAAAATTCCCATCAGCGTATGCACCATTTAACTCTCAGGAATCTCCCCCAAAGATAAATGCACAAGCAGGTTTATCACAGCTCTTTTGTGTTATGAAGACTGGAAACAACCTAAATGTCAACTGAGAGGGAATTGGCTTAGTTAATTATCCCAGATTATTACACCAAATATTACCCAGTCCTTGCAAAGGAGGACACAGGTTGGTCTGTTCTGACATGGAAAAAAATGTCCAAGGAAACTATTTAAGGGAAAAATAGGTGAAGAAGTCATTTGGCAGGAGAGAATATAGATTTTCTATATTTTCTACATGTAACATGAACTAATTTTTGTTGAGTGAGCATGTGTGTACACGTGTGTGTGTTAAGAACTTAAAGAATAAAACCAAGCATGTACCAGTTTTCTCTGATAATATTACAGAGCACTATTCATGTCTTTGTTTCAGATATCTATAATGTTTTTATTTTTAAATATGTGTTACTTTTTTCAGTCAGAAAGAGACAAAAACATTTTTTTCTAAGTGTCCATCACTGGCCCTTCACCCATTCTTTTTAAAATCTTGGATTACCAATACTCAGAGGCAGCTGGACCTTGAGGCCAGTGAGTTCAGCATTTTCTAGCTATGGGGTCTGGGCATGTGACTTCGCCTTGTTGAACCTTCCTTTTATCCATCATCAACAAGCCTCATTGAGAGCCTACTCAATGCCACCCTCTGTGCCAATCCTGGGGTGACAGTGGTGGACAAAATGCTCATCCCCTTCCTACTTGGAGTTGCATCTATCGGTGTAAAATAAGGAATCTTTGCAGGGCTACTGAAAGGATTAGTAACACAAACAATTCCAGGCACATAAAAGGCCTTTGAAAACTATCGGCTGCTTAAAAAAAAAACCCAAGGAGCATGACTTAGTTAAGGTAGGATAAGTTACCTAGTGAATTGCTCCTAACTTGTAATTGCTCAATAATGAAAGCTTATGTCTTGTTTATGTAACTGTCTAGGGTGGGGGCTCCAGATCTGGCAGTTTTGTTCCATGAAATGGCCTTCCCTAGGCAGAAGAGGCTCTGCCATCTTTAACTGTGGCTTTCAAGGTGACCTTGGGACTTCACTCCATCCCAGACAGCCAGTGGATAAGAGAAGAGCTTGGAGGAAAACCTAGAAAGCTTTTATGGTTGGACCAGAGGTGCACACATCCTTTCTACTCACATCCCATTGACCAGAACTCAGGCAGATGGCCACACATACAACTGCAAGAGAGACTGGGAAATGTAGTCTATCTGGGTACCTAGGAAGATAAACAAAACAGGTTTTGGGGACTAACCAGCAATCACTACCGTAGTGAATTAGAGAGGGAAACAAATCCCTATGACTTTGTTTGTGAGTGTTTATTTGTGGCCAGTCTGCAAATAGCTGATGCTCAAAGAAGTCTTTGCTCTAGAAGTTCAGAAGCTTTTTTTTTTATTATTTTTTTGCTGAACTTTTAGTTTTTTGGAAGAACTCTAAGAAGACATCTGTTTAAGCCTCTTTTTTATCATCAAGGTTGTCCTGCCACCGTCTGAGATACTACTAAAAAACAATGCCAGCCCCAAGCTCTGACTTTCACAAGATTTGAGATGCTGTCAAAAATAAATGCCAGCTCCTCAGATTCTGTGTGAAAGAGATGCCAACACGCATCTAACTCAAACTAAAAGCTGCAGACAAGAAGCTGTACCATGCATACATTGTCACTCCTACTCCACTAAAGAACCTCACATGCGAACCAGTGAATCCATGGATTAATCATGGCAACTAAAAGGAAATATCATTTTTTCCCTTAAGCTCGCACTTTGCAGAACCAGTACTTATATGTCTGTCTGTCAGAGGCTTACATCACAGGTTCAGAAGGCTTACGATTTAATTCTACAATATGGTTTGCAGAAAGTCCATGTGTGTGGTCGAGATAGGGACAATACGTGTACAATACGATACTATTCATTTGTTCATTTATTCATTCATCCATTCAATCAATATATATTGAGTAACTCCTCAATTATGAGCACTGTGGGTCCCGGGTTGAGGATACCAAGATGCAAGACACATTCACTGTGTCGTGGGGGAGTCAGCTGTGTGAACACACAATTACAATGCAGCCAGACACCTGCTGCAGTGGAAGCACGTGCGATGGCAGTAGAAGAAGCACAAGAAACAGATTATTAAAAAGGCCACTCAATTCTTGGTTATTTCTCTGATTTACTTGGCACAGAAGCATCAAGTAACTCATCAGAAATCTTCCTATGGCTCATTAGATGAAACGACTGGAAATGTGAAGAGAAAGGAAGTGCTCTAGGGCCCCAAGGGCTCTTTATTTATGCTGTCATTAGAAAGAAAGTGGGCAAAGTACTAGCAGCTGCAGACGTTGGATCTCTCCTGTGTACTAGGCATCTTGCATACTTGTCACTCATCCTGACAGGCAGGTATCACTGCCACCCACTGTACAGTTGGCATCTCTGAGGCCAGAGAGATGAAGACACTCGTCCCATTATGTAGTAGTTGGTAGACCTGAGAATTTGGCCCCTTTGACTCTAAAGGGCGATCCCTTTCCATTGCATCCCCTTACTGCCCACAGTCCATGGAAAACCAGGGAGAACAGACCCAGTGGACAGAGGGAGGCTTAGTCTCACTGCGAGGGAGAGGCAGCAAAGGATGGTGGAAGGCGTTAGTCTCAGGAGCTGATGCTCACCCCCTGGGAGTAATATGAGGATAAACTGTCGTCATTCATTCATTGATTCAACATTTATATTAAGGAACTGCTAGGTTCCACATGCTTGGGGGATATGACAGTCAGTAGAAGAAGAGAAATAAATATGCTAAAAATTTCTTTGTCACCCATGAGAAGTAATAAAACAGGTACCTTTTCATTTTTGATGTTAATGATTAGGGAAACATAAATGATCGGCAAAGTTTTGAGAAAATCAATTTAAGCACAAGAAGACTTTGAATTGTAAAGCTCCAAACTCCTGGAGAAGATAAAGAATATATGTATAGGAAAAAAAAAAAAAAAAAAGACTGTGAGGACATGAACCAAAATGGTGATAGTGGCAATCTCTGGGTGGTAAGAATGCGAATGATATTTATTCTCTTCTTGCTATCTTCTCATACTTGTAAATGTTTTAAAGTAAGTATGTCTACTTTTATGATCATAGAAAAACAAGATTTACTACCAAGGTAAAGAAAATAAAACTCCAAAAAGCCAGAAGAGAAGGATTCCTGTGTTTCATCCCTTTCTCTCCTGGCACGTAGGCGGTGACCAGCATGTCAGCCAGACAGCTATGCCTCACTCCTATAGTAACACCCAATGATATCTTATTTCAACACACTGCCTGATTATTTCAGAACTCACTCGCAGGAGTAGCCACAGGAGGAAATATGCACTCATCACTGAGATATTAGGGACTGAATCCTGAAACTTGATTTTTCATTAGGGCATTATGCCATTTTTCAATTAAGACAGGTTCATCTTTTTTTTTTTTAAAGTGCTGATGTGTAAAATCTCATTTCCTTCCTTAGCACACTTGCCTGTGGGTTTTGTTTGTAATGCATTTCCATGCACTCCAACGAGTGGCAGAGAAACTGAGCTCGTGAGCTGTGTTGCGACAGTGCTCCTGGTGCTGGAAAGGAAACTGCAGCTCTGTGAGAACAATGCTCTGGAAAATCTGTAAAACCCAGTTGAACACACCTAAGGTTTGCATGAAAGGGCAGACATTACTCATGGCAGCTTTGACAGTGAGAATGGAGACAGAAAAGCCATCCAACCCTTCAGCAATGAATGTGCCTGGATGAACTGATCAGGTCTAATCTAGAAGCCAAGGAAGAACTGTCTAATGTCTTGATACAGTGGATTCATTGCATTATCTTTTTATTAAAAGTATTTTCCATGTTCTTGAATAAAAAAAAAGATTCTGACCCTACTCCCTCAAGTATTAAATCTAGAAATGAAAATATCCTCACTCAAACTAACAGGGTCTGTGAGGGGCTTAGGTTCTTAACATAAGATTCTATTTCCTGCTAGAAATATTGTTTCAGAAAAAATAGAAGCTATGATAGAAGGGCCACAGGAAACATCTGTGTATACAAACAGGCCAGCTCACTAGGAATAAAAATGCATTATGCATCACGAAAGTCTAAATATTTTTATTAACATGGTTTGTTAACTAAGAACTGAGAAATAAGGTTCCCTAAGAGTACCCCATCAAATGCTTTCTTCAATATTTCATTTTATTCTTAGGAGAGAAGTTGCTTGGGAATCTTATCTTAGATTTTTGCAATGAGTTTTCTATTAAAACTTATTTCTTTTCCATTTCAGGCAGAGCAAAGCTCTGGGCCAAGAGGGTTAGGGAATTTGTTTCATAAAACTGACAGCTTGGCGAGTATTCAATCACTCGGCACTCCACAGCCCAGGAGAACAAATAAGTCCTTTGCTGATGCCGCTCCAGACACATTACGATGTATGTTCCATAGCTTGATTCCCACCTTCCCACTTTTTGCCTCCTGCAGCAAAAAGAAAAGGAGGCAGAATGCACATAGAAAAATACAATGAAACCTACGAAGAAGAGAAATTCATCAATCATACTCTCATTTGGAAGTTGGAGAAAAATGTCCTCGTTGGATATGCTATTGCTGTTTTAGTCGCTGTGCCTGGCCTTACCTTCCAGAAGGCCAGTTGATTCAGAGGACTCCCAGCCATTATATTGTCCTATTCTTGGTGCTCCCAGACATGTGTCTTTGCAAGCTCTGACAGAGGCTTTAATAAGGCAGATAAAGCAAGCTTGGTGGCTGCCTTTGGCCCAGGTGGTGCCAAGAACAGGTTACTGGCTTGCAGCCTGGGCATTGTCTTGGGCAGAAGAGACCAGCCTGCCCCAAACCCTATACCAGCAAGAACCCAGCTTGGAAACTTCCTGTTTAACAAGCCTAACTCACAGCAGCCAGAGAAAGAAAACCATTACAAAATTTCTGCTCCCACCCTCTCCATCAAAACAAATCACAGGACTGGATTTTTTTGGTACTCATACACAAAGCTATGATTTAAAAATCCCTGCATGTGATACAACAAATCTATGCTGTTAAAAGATAGTGGCTATTGTTGGTGAGGATAATGAAGAGGGCATGAAGAAGCTTCCAGGGGCTGGTGCAGTCTGTGTCTCCTTCAGGGCACTGGTGACATCGGTGTGCTGTTTGTGAAAATTCTTCAAGATGTACACTTAATAATATATGCAATTTTGTGTATGTATGTAAGAATTTTAGACAAAAATCCACAAATAAAAATTTGTGTTAGATAATTTTTAACACATCTCCCATCCATATAGCTGGCTTTAAAAACCAAACATTACCAAGGAAAGAATAAACCATGTCACCCTACTGCTTAAAAATTGACCTATTTGAAGTGTGTGTGAAATAGACAACCTTTTAAAAATGCTGATGCTATTATTTAAGTTCTAATATCTACTCCTCATACAGTGGTACAGAGTGCCACAAATGAACAAGAAGACTCATTTTCTCTCTCAGACTCATTTTAGGAGGGCAGGGTATCATTGAGGGCACTTTCCAAAGACCTAAGTCCCATTTGGGGTGGTTCTCAACTATCTGAACCACATGGCCATGGCCGAGGAATCTTATTCTTGCCTTTTTCACATCTTCCTCTAGTTTTCCCTTTCGCTTTTATTTCCCTGAACTGAATTCCTCCTAGACCACCCTCCATATTCTAGTTGTTGAGAGTTCAGGTGCCACCACGAGAATAAACTCTGAGTGCTTTTCCCTGTCACTGGTGTCCTAAGATGAGTGTGTCACCTCACTCTGCATTTCTCTTTGTATTTCTGAATGTACCTGAAGGCTTGCACCAGGACCCAACAGGAAAAATCCCTTTCATTAGCTTCCTACTCCAAGCTCTCCACTTTGTACCATTTACAACATGTTGCCTGTTTATTTACTGAGGTTTGCTTTGCAAGAGAAATCTTTGGGATGGGGGTGGAGAAAGGAAGCTTTTGAAAACTTAAAATTTTTTAAATTTGGTTTCAGTAGAGTGATGAATAATGGAGGATTACAGTTGCTTTGCAAAATTAAAATCTGAATGGTCTACTGCTACACAAGAGTCTGCATCTTGCTGCTCCTAGAAAAATAAAAAGTCTTTTCTAATCATGATTTTAAGGACGTAGGAATGCATTATGTAAAGAAAGTGTTTTTCTCACTCAAGACTCAGTTTAACATATTTCCATGTCCAGTTAAGGACTTTCAAGTCCCAGATTCCAGCAGGACTGAAGGATTTGTTCACTCATCTGAAATTCAACTGAAATATCTAGACAGGCATCAGATGGGTGGGATAACAAGAATGGCATAGGGCGGTCTAGTTTCCAGGAAGACAGGGTAAGGATCTCAGGCTCCTATTTTAAGAGAAGTGCTTCAGTTGGAACCAGAGAAGCTATTGGAAAGGGTTTCGGATATGTTCTTGCCTTTTCTATTCCCAAGCTCCTTTTCTTCTCTGTGGTGGCATCCCCATACTGATGCCAGTTCAGGTGGAAGTAAATCTCCACTGCTTTGGTTCCAATCAGCTCAGCCATCCATGTTGCAACATTTCCCCTGGCAGGTGGGGTGACTCACTCACCATGGTTTGCCCAGGACTGTCCGAGTTTTAAAACTGAAAGTCCTGTGTCTTAAGCACCCTCTCAATCCCAGGCAAATGAGGACAGGATGGGTGGTCATGCTAGCAGCAGGCCACCAGCTAAACCCCTCTCCCCTAGCTGGGCCCAGTCAAAGCCTGAACCAGCAGGCTCACCCAAAGTCCCCTCCTGCTTACAGAGTCTGACCTATTTAAAGCGTATGTATTTGTGAAGTGCATTTAAAGCTGCGGACTGAAGGTGCTCCTGGCTGTTGACTATGTCTGTCAGGTTTTGTTTTTGTCCCCAGAATGGCTTCAAAAGGCTCTTCTGACCCATCAATTTGTTTTCATTGCATTTCCTTCAGAACTGAGGGCTCAGAATAGGATTGCCTAGGCCATACCAAGATTTTCTGACTACTCACCTAGGCCTGGCTGCAGGGGGAGGGGAGGCCCAGATACCCACTCTCTCCCTTCTTCTGAGTTTCCTGACCCACCAGGGGGCCCAAAAGACAGAAACCAGGGTGCTGTCATCATTTAGTCTGTCTATCAGCCTAATATGATTTGGCTATGTCCCTATCCAAATCTCACCTTGAATTGTAATAATCTGCATGTGTCAAGGGCAGGGCCAGGTGGACATAATTGAATCATGGGAGTGGTTTCCCCCATACTGTTCTCATGGTAGTGAATAAGTCTCAAGAGATTTGATGGTTTTATAGATGGGAGTTCCCCTGCACAAGCTCTCTCTTGCCTGCCACCATGTAAGATGTCCCTTTGCTCTTCCTTAGTCTTCCACCATGATTGTGAGGCCTCCCCAGCCATGTGGAACTGTGAGTCCATTAAATCTCTTTCCTTTATAAATTACCCAGTCTCAAGTATGTCTTTATTAGCAGCATGAGAACAGACTAATACAAAGCCATCACCAAGCCTCAGAGAGGCAGCCTCCTAAGATTCTTTCTGAATCCAGCCACTAGCCTCCCCATCCGCTGCACTCCTCTACTTCGGTTCTTCCTTGCCTCTCTTTCTGGGTTACTGCAACAGGGCCTTTTTGGTCTTCATTCCCTCCACCGTCCCCATCCCCCACCCTCCAGTACATCTCCACTGGGAAAAAGACCAAACACATAAACTAGGTCACCTCAAAAGCCTCCTGAAAACTGCTCAGGATGAAGTCCAAGGTCTTTATCAAGGCACACAAGACCCATTATGATGTGGGCCCTGCCCACCTTTTCTGCTCATCACTCAGAACTGGCCCTTTTGCTGCCTCTGTTTCTTCATCCCACAAATGAAAATAGCTGTTTCTGAAAGTGACCGTGTAGTTGAAGTGAAAGCACATATATTAAAGCCCTGCAGTGGTTCAACTCCATCTTAGGTTTGGAGAACATGGAGTCCTTTGCCCCCAGCCACAGAAGTGGTCAAAAGGAATGAAGGGGAAGGGTGGAGCACTTGGCATAGCCCTCTGCAGAAAGCAACGAATTTGAAGGCAGCAAATAAGTATCCATATGGATGGGGGAATGAAGAGCTTCCTGTCCAAATATCCACAGTGGAGTTAACAGCGGGTTTGGCTGACTAGAGGAAAGCAGGCCTCAGCCCCTGGTGATGATGGTGACAAAGACCAGAGAGGGCCAGAGCTCTGGGACCCACTACATGCTGGTATTTACTGAGCCGCTCATGGGTAGATGGCAGAGAGCTAAGTGGTAGGAAAATGGAAGTATTAAAAGCCCAAGGAATTTACATTTCAACACCAATTAATGGGGACAGAGCCTCTATAATAATGCAAAAGAGGACTTAACTTCATGCCTTTGGAGACTTACTTTTGGAAACAGACAAACTGAGGGAAACTTGTGTGTTAGCACTTTTTTGTTCAATCTATTATCAGCATCTAAGTGCTGCCAGGAGCCAAGGAGGGCTGGACTGTCATAGACTGTGATTAAAATGAGCTTTAGGAAGTGCTGCCTGGCTCAAGAGAATGAATGTTGGTTTGAGACCAAGCCACAAAAAAAGACACATGATTTCTGCTCTCAAATAAAACAAAAAATGAAAAAAAAAAAAAGGGTAGGGGAGGGAGAGACAGAGAGAAAAGAAAAAAGCTTAGTCTCTGTGGGGGAAAACAGAAGATTTGTGCATACTCAGAAAAAAATATTCCATACCACTCTTTCATTTTACAAATATTCATAAGAAAAACAGCTCAACAGCTGCTTTGGTGAGTAACCTCAACTACTTCTTTCCACCTGTATCTAAAAAAAAAAAAAAACAAGAACATTCTTAGCACTGCTGAAATGGAGATCAAGTGTTAAGGTGGCTGACATCACAATCTCCTTCCAGGGACCTTTCCAGACCTTCCCTGGCCTCCTGGCCACTCACACCCCCTCACCTCTACCCCTGCCCCAGGGAGGCTGGCTTTTGCCCTCCAAAATGGACAAAGACTTTAATTAGGGTGAAGAAATAAGTGTAGGGGCATGGAGGGGTGGGGGAAAACCCAGCTTCATTATCTGTCTGTCTCACTCTTTCCTAGTCAACTTTTCTGCCCTGTTTAATTACAGAGAACAGCAAATTGGACAGCAAATGGGCCTCTCTGCCTGGGCTTGCCCTAGATTGCTAGGGTGGTCAGGCAGTTCCTAGAGCCCATGCTTCTTCCTTCACCCGCAACTGGCTCTCCACCCTCTTCCTCCCAAAAGATCCCAAATTAAAATGAATGCATTCAAGAACAATTGCTAAGGAAGTGACCAAATCTAACAGTCGCCCAAATAAAGCTGGGATGACGACGAGAGGGTAAGCTCTTCAGGACAGCAGTGGGAAGGAAGCTTCTCCCTGCTGACTTGAGCCAGCGACCACTGCTCCCTGAGGTACAGAGGCAATTCTAATGCACACTTGCCCTTGAGAACTGCTGGCTACAGGCCTCTGAGAAAAAGCAGAGCTGTGTTTTGTCTAGAGGGAGGAAGAGAGATGTAAAGTCTGCAGAGAGCAGACAGACGGAATGGTGCGGTGAAACAAGCATATTCTAGAGCTGCTACCAAAGTGTACATTCAGTAAAATCCACTTCCTCAGCCACTTACTTGTAGCTAGTGGCTACCATACTGGACTGTGCATAACATTTCCATCATTGCAGAAAGTTCTACTGAACCACGCTGTACAGAATCCCAGTTCCACCTCCTGTAAGTGGTGTGATCTTGTGTAAGTTACTAAACGTATCCAAGCCTCTGATTCCTTCTCTGTGAAATAGAGTTCATAATACGTATACCTACCTCATATGGTTGTTATGGAGCTGGAAATAAAATAATATATGTAAATCACTTGGTACCACTGTCCAGCCTATAGCAGGAGCTTGATAAATGAGAGGTAATATAATTGCTTTTATGATTTCATGAGCAGTCATTGGAGGATGTTTCCTAACAGAATGGACATTCTGCATTGGCTAGGATGGACCCGTTCCACTATGTTTGAGTTGTACGTTCCAAAGCTTGGGTAAGTGGCTCAGTTCTCAACAGGATAAGTAGTAGTGTAATTCTGAAGCAATACCCACTTGCTGGCAGGCCAGAAAGGTGGTATCCTGACCCAGAGTGGTAAGAGACTTGTAGTAAGGCTGCAATTCTTGAAACCAGAAAGCCTCATTTTGTGAAAGGCTTCCTTTTCTTCTCTTTTTTTCTTTTCTTCTCTCTCTTTCTCTCTCACATTAAACTCAAGCCTTCCATTTTCTTCATCTAGAAAGATGTCCAAGATACCCCATAACCTTTTTGGAAATCTCCCCTCATATGAGAAAACAAACAAAACCCAGCACAGAGAAGTTGTAAAACCTGTAGACGCCCTCCCATGATGCCTTACTGAATGCCAGTCGAAGCTCTAGGACAGGAGAAATGGGCTGGGAAAGTAGAAAGGGCTTCATATGTGGACTTTTATTCAACCTTATTAGGGAATAAGGGGCCACTGAATGTTCTTGAGCTAGGGTGACAAGACTAGAGAGGTGCTTTAGCAGGAGGAAGCTGATGCAGGCCTGTGGAACGGCAGCTGGGGGAGCAATGCAACAAATCATGCAGAGCAGTGAGGAGAACAGGGTCACACCGGGGAGCCTTTTGAGGCCTGTGCTCATGACAGCAGTGGGCATGGCTGAGGAGAGGGTGAAGGGGGTCAAGCCCACGAGAACCGGCAATGGCGCTGACATTGGGAGTCAGGGATAAAGGGCCCAGGCTCTCAGCATTGAGGCTGCACGCTTGTGCGTTCATGTTCAAGAGGCCAGTTTTGCCCCCTCAAACTCCTCCAAAGAAGCAATTCCATTCTTCACGTGGGCTTAGGACAAAGCCAGCTCTCTATGAGTGAGGGGTCAGAAGAGCTGAGTAAAGAAGGGACTCAGGGAAGCGGTCCCAGGATCCTTCCTCAGGTTGCTGTTTCTGGCTTAGGAATCATAACAAAGCCTCCCCTTCCAGGTCTACTTGGGCCTCCTGGGTGAACCTCAGACTTTTGAATGTTATGGATGAGTAGCATTTTTAAAATGAAGGATCCAATATGAGTTAGAAAACTTCTGACTTTGTTAAATCAAGATGTCAAAATACAAATGTCATCCACTATCTCTTGATAAGTCGTAAGAGAAAGTTTCACACCAAGGACAGTGGGAAAGATCATTTTGGAATACAGGGCAGTTTTGTAAAGTGGAAAAGGTTTAGCTTTAAACAAAATAAATTTACTGCATTTTCACTTTTCTTCCACTTCACTGTGAGGGGGCAGAAATCCTGTCCGATACAGGCAGTGGTCTGCAAACCTGGTCTGTGGGGACCACTGGCTTATGGGACATTCTAAGATGTTTCCCCTTGCAGTTTTGGCTGTAAGCTTCAGCCCTGATGACCTCAAATCCAGCTGCTCAGCCTCTATGAGCACAAACAAAGCTTGGGGTTTCTGGTGTGGCTGTGTCGAACATGGAAGGGCAGGGCAGAATTGGCCTTTTCTAACCTTCTTAAAATGCCAGTGATAGACCAAAAAGGATCTTAGAACAAATGGCCCCATATTGATATTTTCACATTCAATAATTTTATATTTGGTCTAGAGGGCTAGTGATTCTTTTTTTCATAAAAGGAAATTGCATCCAGAGCTAATTGCTCAATCTGAAATGGATCTGGACATTGTTTAGATGTTGGAAAGGAAACGGTAACATTGTAGAGCTTTCACAAAGAGGGGAGCATTATTTTAGAACAAAATTTAAATGGAAATTAATAGGAAATGTAACTCTGTATGGTTTTCAAAGCTTTGATGTGCATAGTCGAAAGAGTATCCCTATTCTGTGCTTTCCTTGACATTTTTCTTGTTTATAAAATGCAATAGGAAATTCATCGGCACAGGCTCAATCCATTCCCATCCATTGATTGCTAGCCAATCAATGACCATTGTAATCTGAAAAAAAGTAACACTGGTTTCTATGACCCTTTCCAAGCACAGCACTGTTTAGCTAAGCTTAATAAAGAGAAAAACAGCAAGGACCATCTGGAAAACACTCTTCCGGAGTCTCGAAAGATAGTGGCAGCCTCTGCCCAACCTGCTATAAATAAGTGTCTCAGAAACAAAACAAAACAAAAAAAACACCCGATTTTCAAATCTGTTTCTACTTAATACAGCTGCAATAGGGTTTATTTAGCTTTTCCCTATAGAAGGAAGACTGTTTGCATTTTTATGACAAGTTCCTAAATGTTTTTCACAGCCATTTCCATTGCCATTATTTTGAGGAACAACATACCACTCAGATCTGTCTGTTTGCTTCTGCACACACAGCGGTGGCCCCAGTGGCCTCTGCACCACGAAACTGGCCTCCAACGCCCAGATTTATGATCCTATTTCCTCTCCCAGTGTTGCAACCATCACCTGAATCCTGGCCTGCAACGGACTGGCAACTTAGAATGTCCAAGTGTCACGTGCTACAAATCAATTATTTATCCGCCTGAGCCCAGCACACTGTGGATCCCTACCAGCTTGTTGCCTCTCTCTTCATGGCGACAAGGAAGACTTCAACTACTCTTCAAGAGATGCTGGAACTCACCAATGAAGTGTCGCTGGCTTGCCAAATCCCTCAATGCTCACCTTTCCATTTTTCCTCACTGGCTAGTATGCAAGGGAATCCTACACATGACACTCTTTGGAAAAGGTCAGCCTACCTTGGATGGCTGCAAAATGAAGTGGCCTATGTTGACTTCTGCACTGAACAACTGCCCCTATCCTTCACCAGCATCCCCTGCTCCCATATCACTCTCAGAGGCTGGCAGGGGAGGGCTAACTGGGGAACACTTTCCCTGTATAATGAGTGATCCACTTCTCTGCCCTCTCCCTGCCCCCCAAACACCCATTCCATTTCCATGTATGGGCAGGGCATGGTTTGCCCGCATGACACCTTCCTTGTGTAAGGCATGACCCTCCTTTCTAGCCTTTCAAGGGACTACCAGAAAGAATATGGCTGAGGGCTTGTCCTGGTGGCAACATTTCATCTGCTGTTGCTGCCTGTAGGCATTACCAGGTGCTAGCTGCCTGAAGGAGAATTGCTTCAAGGAAACAAATGTGTGTAAAAGGAAACAAAATTGCCAGGGGTGATGGGGGCTACCTGAATTTCAATCATTACGAAAAATGATCCATCTACCGAGAAAGTACTGTTGACTTTCTCTCTCAATAGTACTGGAAAACATGGAATTTAGTGGTGGGTAAAGGGCTGCTACAATCTGAAATGAGTCCATTACAATATTACGAGCAGAGCTCTCACAAGTACACTAAATGGCTAAATCAATTGGCTCGGGCTTAAGATGCTACCGGAGAAATGACAGTGGGGAGGGGCTGGGGGTGGGGGAAGATGCCTGCTGACTTTGAAGTCATGCCTGGAATCAGGTGCATATGAAAAAGAAATTAGGGAGGAATAAACCTGTTCTCTTTATGAAAAACCAGAGAAGCCACTAGTTCTTACAATGTGCCCCCCAATCACCTATGACTTATAAAATTGCCTGCCTTGAAAAAGTCTCTATGCTTATACAATCTTATAGACCCTTCCACCAACCTTAGAATTAAATCACGCACATGACCCACTTCCAACCGTTAATTAATCATGCCCATGAATTGTATTTATAAAAGTCAGAGGGGGAAAATTGTGTCTTTTATTATGTCAAATGGAATTTTCCAAAAAAACACAAAGTACTTATTAAATTTTGGTCTAGACAAGTGGTCTTCAACAGGGCTAATTTTGTCCCAGAGGGGACATTTGGCAAGGTCTAGGGTAGGAGGATGTGGTGTTAACGGTATCTAGTGGGTGGAGGCCAGGGATACTGCTGAACATCTTAAGGTGCATGGGACAGTCCCCTGCAACAAACAATTCTCTGGTCTAAAATGTCAACAGGGCCAAGGTGAAGAAACCATGCTCCAGATAAAGCCAAATATGCTTGGCCTTTAACATTCATTTTTTTTTTAAAAAAAGGGAAAGGATCCCATTTTTTTCAAAATCTAAGGCAGGTTTACATATATGTTGACTAACATATTTACTCCTTTTCCATATAAATGAAATAGGTTCTCCATCTGAATCTAGGAACATTAAAGAAATATTGTGATGATGGTGGGGGTAGGTATGGGATATTTTAAATGCATATTTCATCAGTCTAAATGGGTGGAAATTAATATCTCATAAAATAAAATGATTATCTAGTTATGTTCCATACAAAACCAAAATCAATACACTGTATCTTACCTAAACTGCAATTAGAGTTTTAAAAAAACTAAAACAAGGAAATGCTATTCTTTCCCGTTTTTTGCTAGCTGGGCACACACTTCTGAGCATGAGGCATTAAAAAACAAACAGGCAGACAAAAACCTTATTTTTTTAAAAAGACATATTTTTCCAGAGCACAAAAAGCTTCCTGAATCTTTCCTTGTATTTACTGTAGATTCAATCATTCCTTAGTGAGCAAAACATGCAGCCCATTCTCTTGGTTATGCTTGCCTGGCTTTCCAAATGCCCTCAAAACTAGGATGATGAATCACATACTTTGGCCCCATTGTGCCAATTAATAGTAAGCAAAAGAATTCCACACGGCCAAGATAGGACTTTCTGCCTGGTTGTGCATACGGGGGTGGGGAGGGATTCTTCAGCCAATTGCTTTCAGAGAATCTTAAGAACAGGTGTTTCAGTTCCCTAAAATTCCTTTCATCCTAGAACATTCTATGTGGTTCTGCAGTGCCCCCACTTTGGGGATGGGCTTTGATCAGGAAAAACCTATGTTCATACAGTCAGCCTGGAGCTTCCAGGCTTAAAGCACGAAGGAAAGAATGGCTGACAGCTACACCATTTCAACCCTTCCAGGCCTCCATTTCTTTCTCTGAATTATAAGGGAAAAGTGGCCATACACACAAAGGCAAAAATAACAACAACAATAAAAACGCCCAAACACACCCAGTCTTGGCTGCCAGCACGGCCCGATTCTGCTGCTGAAAAAGAACAGTTGCTACAGTGCAGCTGGAGGAGCTTTTCCAGGGAACTGGTAATACCCTGGCTGTTAATGAATTATTTTTCGCCAGAATGTCGGATTCTTCCTGTGCTCCAGTAAACAGTCTGCTTCTGCCATGTGAAACAAAACCAACTCCTTCTGAGGAGCCCAAGGGGGTCAGCCAAGGGTCCCCTGTGAGGGCAGCCCCCTCAGGAGCCAGAGCCACAGGCGCCTGACCTGTAAATCACTGCAGTCCCAAGTTCATTATCCCATCCCTTTCCGTCTATTTATGCCATGACCAGTGCCTAGGGAAGGACCCAGAAATGATGTGATGTGATGATACCATAGTGCCAGCCAAAATCCTTCTTCTACCTCCCTGAACTCTCCTTTGGCCAGGTTTCTTCATCTGCTGTGCTATGGTTGTGTGAAATTGACCTTCCTTGCATTTATTCTGTCTCCCTCGCAGAAATTTTATTTATGTCCTTGCTCTTGTTCTCATCAAGCTGTCAGGAAATGACAGTGTGCATTCTCTTTTTTATTTTCTCTCCTTTAAGGCTGGCCCTGGCCCTAAATAACCCACTGTCAGCATGAGGGTGTCTACTGGCGACATTACTCTCCAAGCACAAATCCCTGGGATGGATAGTACTTTAAGCTGCTACTAGAGCAGGTGTCAAGGAATTCTCCGATGGACAAGGACACCGGCCTGTGGGGTGGGTGGGGTCGAGGAAAGGAAAGAGCCATTTCATTCAAGCCAGTCCTGCCTGTGCCCATTCTATTGGGTTTCTGGGTCCCACATTCCTCATAGAGCATGAGACTGAGCCAACATGCTCATGGCTAGTTTCCACGGGGAACCTCCATCATGGCACCTGAGCTACTGAAAATCAAAATCGCTTGATGCCAGGCTGCTGTGGCTACTGACTCAGCCCCCTGCCTCCCACCTGCCATCGAGATGGAGAGCGTTTATGTCCCCAGAACATCTGGAGGCTGAAGTCACGAGGTTGGTTAGTTTGCTCCAGAGCAGCTCTGTCTAATAGAAATGTTTATGTAATTTAAATTTTTTTTGTAGTCACATTTAAAAAAATAAAAGAAGCCACTAATTTTAATACTCTATCATATTTAACTAATATATTCAAAATATTATCATTTTACCATGTAATCAATGCAAAGCTTATTAATGAGCTATTTTGGATTCTTTTTTTGTATTAAGTCACAGAAATCCCATGCATCTGTTATATTTAATGCACATCCTAATTTGGACCAACCACTTTTCAAGCACTCTATGGCTGCATGTGGCTAGTGGCTAGTGTGTGGGACAGTGCAAACATGTGACATTTCCATCATCATAGAAAGTTTTATTAGACAGTGCTGTGCTGGAAGACCAAAAAGTTGTGGGAAGAGGAGTGACAGGTGTGAGCAGAGTGTGCTCCAAAGTTCTCTAGAATTACTGAGTTGTTGGAGCTAATTACAGCAGAAATTGGAATTACAAGGATTGGGATGTTCAAGGAGCCCAGCCCTATGTCTCAGTAGAGATTAAAATGGGCTTTTATGAAAGGCCCTGGGACCATGCATAGTCTGAATGTGTCTGTCCCCTCCAAACTCCTGTGTTGAAATCCTAATCCCCAACGTGATGGTATTAAGAGGTGGGGCATTTGGTTGGTGATTAGGTCGTGAGAGTGGAGCCTTCATGAATGGGATGAGTGCCCTTGTAAAAGAAGCCCCAGAGAGGTCACTTGCCCCTTCTACCATGTGAGGGCACAGCAAGAAGATGCCATCTCTGAACCAGGAAAAAAGCCCTCACCAGACACTGAATCTGCCGGTATCTTGATCTTTGACTTCCCATCCTCCAGAACGGTGAGAAATATGTTTCTATCATTTATAAGTCACCCAGCCTATGGGATTTTGTTATAGCAGCCCAGACGGATGAAGGCAGACCATGCCCATGTTTTGCGGTGCTGCCCCACAGCAGTGGGAAGGCCAGCAAGTATGATCATGGCTCAAGACATCTGCTGGCTAAGCTGCCTCCATCTTAGCTGTTCTGGTCTGTTCAGGGCAGGGGCTGGGAGAGAACACCAAAGTCACATACTTCTTCCAATAACAATTCTGGGTTTGAATCTAATTTGGTGAAGCAGATACAGAAACGTGATCAAATTATGTGTGCCTGTGTCTGTGTGTGCATGTGTGTTCGTGTGTGTGTTCTTGGCAGGAGAGAGGAGGGTCATGTGTGAACTCCAGAAGTACTAACCTGGCCGCCAAAATCAGCTTCTCACCAGCTGCCATCAGAGGACAGTGAAGTGGCAGACTCAAGAGGCTCATCAACATTGTGAGCCATGAAGGAAAGGCTTTGAGTCTGGAAAGAATGAGATGATGGGCACCCGGGCAGACGATCAGGTGGGAGGGAGAAGTGGTAATCAGAGGCATTCTCCAAAGACAAGAGCTGCCAACTCTACAGCAAGGATGTCACCCTGATCCCCAAATCAAGCTTAATTCAGAATCCCACGCAGGCTTTTGTGTGTGGGAAGAGTGCAATTAGCCATCTTTCCCCCTCATTCTCTGAGGTCTCCCTCATATTCTGTTCAGGGAGGCAGCATTGAGGAGCTCCTCATACATAGATTCAAAGCCCAGCTCCCTCGGTGGCTCCAGAATTTCTAGGAGTTTGAAGACTACCACCTGGTTGGAAGGGGGCTACGGGGCTTGCTTTAACGATACATTTGCATAGCAAGTTCCCTCCTCATTTTCCTATAGAGTGTTTGTTTATTTGAGACAGTTTCTAGTTAAAAATACCTCACCCAGCCT
Organism: Homo sapiens; assembly: GCF_000001405.40. Lineage (NCBI taxonomy): Eukaryota > Metazoa > Chordata > Mammalia > Primates > Hominidae > Homo > Homo sapiens. Next base: position 17,857,481 of record NC_000023.11, read on the forward strand.
TTGGTCCCTCGTGGACTTTGAGTTAGTTGCTTAACCTTTCTGAGCCTTAGTTTCCTCACCTACAAGATGGGAATAATCTTGCCCATCTCCCATGGATTTTGTAAAGATTAAACTGGGGCTTGTCAGCATGGAGCTACCAAGGGCTAAAACTGGAATATGACACCAGGAACTTCAGGCCCCCAACCAAACGTACAAATCTCTGGATCTCTCCTTGCTGGGTCTCCCTTAACAATGATCTACAGCCCCCTCCCCACTGCCATTCACTCCATCAGTGCCATCATTTAGTCACTCAACTCTCATTTATTAAGCAACAGTTGGGTGGTGGGGACTCCAAGATGAAAGGGTACAGTCTGTCCATCTGACACAGGGTATTTCGGATCTATCTACTTGGCACATAAGTATGCACTGTGGGTGACTGGGTTGCCCACTGGTGGGCTTCCACCTTCCCCCCAATCCCCACCAACTGTGTACCAGATTTTGCCAAGGTGGAGGGGCTGAAAGATCCAGCAGGAAGAGATCCAGAGATTTGTATGTTTGGTTAGGGGCCTGGAGTTCCTGGTGTCATACTCCAGTTTTAGTCCTTCGTGGTTCCATGCTGACGTGTCCCACTTTAATCTTTACAACGTCTATGTGAGATGGGAAAGATTATTCCCATCTTGTAGGTAAGGAAACTGAGGTTCAGACAGGTTAAGAGAAATAAATAAGAGACCTGGAGCAGGGGAATAGGGACATGTTGCCCCTTTAAATCATAACCACCAAAGTCTGAAATCAGATACACAACTGGAAATTTATCTGAGCCTCAGATTCCTTATCTGTAAAATAATTCTTCCATCACAGGGTGGCTGAGAAGGTTTACCACATGTGAAGTGCCTAGCAGACAGAGGCCAACAATACATGTTAGTTCCCTTCCCAATTTATTTCCCTCCACTACCATCCTCTCCAAAATTCTAAGCTTAGGGGAGAAGCCAGAGAACAGACGTTTCCTATTTTCTTATCATAAATTTGGAGCACGCTGTGCAGGGCTTTCTGCACATCCAGAGTATCTCCATTCTGGATCAATGGATTTGGGAGGCCAGTCCTATCCTCAGCTTCTGGGTCATTACAGCTAGAGCACTCCCAGCAACAGCTCCTCACACACCTTCCAGTCTTTGATTTTTCTTTCTTGTAGTTCAGATGGTCCTGTTTCAGGGACTCTGTATTCTGGATACAAGATTTTGAAATGTGTCTTACAGTTCTTCCCCAGCTGCCCACCAAACCGTGTTCTCACCCCAGCGATCGGCATCGCTTGGAAAACTGTCTTTTCATTTGTTCCTCAGATGAACAGGTTTTCCTGGGCAAAACATCACCACTGGAGGTCTTGGCTTTTTTTCATCATAAAGGAACCCCCTCGGGTGGCTGAATGGTCCCCTGGGCTGGTGCCAAAGTAGTCACTACCCCCAAGTTCCAGTCTGACTTGGTTCATAGTGCCTGGGCTGCCCTGGGGATGCCTCTAGTGGGCATCTGTCAGGACGAGAAGCGAGTGCCCATTTGAAGGAGACTGTGTGTATGTGGGGGTGTGGGGGCAGGTGGCTTCTCTGGGCTTGTAAGAGGCAGAGAAACTGGGATGCCACCATCTTACAATTCTCTGCCTTCCAGCCCACCCCTGGCTTCTCATGTTCCCGTTTGAGAAGAAAACTAGCCTCCATACTGTCCCCTTCCGTATTGTCCCCCTCCCACCTTGCCACCCCTCTACTGTAACAAAGGCATGTCCACACCACATTTTCAAAGTTGTCACAAGTCTCTCGGTCCACCAACAACCAATTCTGATGACTCCAAAGGAGCAAGAGAGACATCCAGAAAACGGTGGGAAAGATTCCCTGGGAAAAGCACAGAAAACCTTGCCTGATGCTTGCAAGGCTAAGAATTGTTTTCTCCCTGCTGGCTGCTTTTCTCTCTGTTCTAAAGAGAAGCTTCCAAGAATCAGTTAAATAAAGGGATCACACCAGAGGATGCGAGATAATGCTAAACCAACAAAAACAAAGACCCAAATGAAACAGACAGAGCCATGAGAATACGCGGTTATCAAAACTTTGTTTGGCCATATCTATTTATCATCGCTGCACACCCGGGCTCTGCGGAATATCATTCTGTTGATGTCACTTATCCTCAGCAAAATATTTACACATCCTTAAAAACGCCAGATGAGGGGGGCCGGCCCGCGCACTGCCGCAAGCCGCCCCTCAAACCCCATCGCTGGGTTCTGAACAGCCCACGACATAGGGGCACGACGGTGGGTGGCACCAGCGGGCACAGGTGAGAGCTACCAACAGTTCCGGGAACACGGTCACCCAGACGCTGCGCCGTGCCCTCCCCACCTCTCCCCTACCTGACTCTGCAAGCAGCAGCCACATACCCGATATGGTGTCGGCGCCTCCTTGTCCTCCTCTCCTGCCTTTTTCATTGATTAAGTTCTCAAACCATTGTTAAAGCTGGGTTGCTTTTTCCTTGGAAAACTGGGCTAAATTCATTAAGCTTCCCTCTGCCACAAAAGGAATATTCATAAAAGTTTGGCAGGCAGAAAGGGAGACTGAGTGAGTGCCATGGTGTGGGTAACAACCCGCTCCTCCAAAGCCACCTTCTTCTTCCGTGCCCCATCCCTCTCTCCATCCATCCGTCGTGCCCCAAACCTACTCCAAGGACTTCTGATAGGGAAACACAAAGCAGCAGCTGTTTGGCAACATTTCTACCCCTCGCCAGCAACTGTGGTGGGATGCCATTTCCCCACCCAGGCGGAGCTTATCCTGAACAATAGTCGGGCTTTAAATGGCAAACAAGCAAACACACAGAGCACAACCCCAACCCCGAAAAAGCCACCGCGGAGAGAAGCAATAACTCCCTCCGCAGCAAAAGGCGCCACTGAAACGCACGCAAAAATGCAGCGAGAACGTTGCTCGGTGCCTAACATGGCAGAAAGCCCGAGCTGGTGCGGCCACCCCGGGGCTGGGCATTGGGGGGCACCGGGGCTCCCGGGGCGCCGACGCACACTCACCCGGCTCCGGGGGGGATGCGGGGCTGGCCGCGCGTCACAAAGAGGAGCCCGGCGCAATCTGGCAAAACCCAACTTTCCACCAGGCTCGCCAGGGCCGCCAGATACGTCAACAGAATCCATCTTTCGAAGGGCCTGGAAGGCGCCGGGTTTTCCGGGCCGGGGCAGAACGGCAGATCCGGAGACTGCCCGGTGCGGTGCCTGGGCGCGGAGTCCGCCGTGCACCGCCCTCTGCGCCCGATGCCAGTGCGGGCGGCGGCCCGAAACCCACTTCGGGGCCCCCGCCCCGCCGGCCGGCGCCGCCTCCCCGGCAGTCCCCGGCCCCGCCGGCCAGTGCGCGGCGCCGGGAACGGGAGCGGGGCCCCGGCGCGCCACACGGGCGGCGGCCTCGGCCCGCGTCCCCGCCCCCGCCCGGCCCTCCCAGCCGGCCCCGGCCTCCGGGCGCCGTCCTGCCCCCGGGAGCAGGCCCCTCCCCGGGCGCCGGGCCCCGCCAGGCGCGCCCAGCCCGGCGCGCCCCCTGCGTCCCGGTGGCAGCTCCGCGCGGGGAGGGCGGGGGTGACCCCGGCCCGCACGGGGGCGCCGCGGCCACTACCTCGCAATCGCGGCCGCCGCCTCCAGGAAGCCGCGGGGTGGTCGAGTGTGCTGGAACTCTCCGGTCTGGCCTCGCCGCCGGCCGCCTGAAGGGGGTGCGCCGCGGTGGGAGCCGCCGTCGCCGCTGTCACCGAGTCGCTGTCGCCGCCGCCGCTGCTGGTTGTGCGTGAGCGTGTGTGCGCCTGTGTCCTGGCGAGTGTGTGTCTGCGTGCGGCGCCCGGCCTTTACTATATACACCAAGGGGTGGGAGGAGGCGGGGAAGGGGAGGGCTTGGGGGAGGCGGCGGAGGAGGGGGAGCAGGAGGGGGGCGAAAGGGTACCCGAGGAGGCGGCGGCGGAGGAGGGACAGGTGATCTCGCCCACGGGGAGGGCGTGGCCGTGGGCGGCGCGGGGTGCCAGGAAGAAGGGGTGTCGGGGCGGGGAGGAGGACCTTGGGGGGAGCGCCGGGGGAGGGCCGGAGGAGCTGGGACCCTACTGCCTCCCGGCGGGCTGGGGACCATTCCAGACCCCAGGATGGAGAAGAGCGAGGAACAGAGCCCAGAAGGGAGGAAGTGGCTGGCTGATGGAAGCGGGGGAGGTGGGAAGGGCTCAGCGATCACCCGAAAATGCCAATTGTGATACCGGTGGAGGATGCTTCTCACAAGGTGGGAGATTAGGAAAGATCAAATTAGTCCACCTACGTAATGTAATTTCCATCCAAGAGGTGATTCATGTATCAATCTAACCTTTATTAAGCGCCTAGTGTTTGCCAGATACTGGGCAAAGAACTGGAGTTACAGGGACGGTGACTGTATGATTGCTGACCAGTAAATAAGTAGTAGGTGTCAGTTGTACTATTGATCATTTTAAAACTGAAAACAATAAACCCTTAGAATTCTTGAGACAGCCAAGGAAGCAACCAAATTGGTTTAATGATTCTCCAAAGATGTAAAGATTTTTTTCTATTAATCAAAACAGGATGAAGATATTTGAGAGAGAATAGCAGAGCAGAAATTATTTAATCAGAGCAGAGAATAAAATGAATCTAGTTGTTCTTGGTAGTCTCGAGCCCCCTGAAGTTCCAATACTGTGTGTATTAAACATGACTTTCCTCTTATCAAATCTGAGTTTTATAACACAGTTTATAATTAGTATGGGAGCCTGAACTTGTGTTTGAAAGGCTGTATTCTAACTATGTTGTGTTGCAAGCATAAGGTGGTAGTAACTGAGGCTGAATGATGTCTGTCTTGAGCACTTTTGCCTTTGTGGACTCCTTCCTCCGTAGAAAGATATTACAAATTACATTTTACAATTGCATTTGTGTAAAGATGAATATAATAGCATTATATATTAAAACAGTTTCTTCAACCTAAAAATTCATTTTTTCTTCTGATTTTAAAAGAAATTAAAAGATTTATGTGGGTCCCTAAACATGAGCCCCAGGCACTGTGTCTACTATGCCTAAGGGAGAAGTCAGCCCTGGTAGTACCATTCCTTGATACTGAATTTCCTCTTTTGAAAAAGAAGAGTTAAATTAAGAAGTACCCAGACCACACAGGGGTGGAAAGACACACAGTGCAAGTTTAAGAATTGATAATAATGAATATCAACAGAAAGTGTCAGTTTCTACTTGTTTCAATCAGGTTTTGGGGGGTTTAAAATCAGCCCCAACTAATTAATGATACCTGTGGAAATATTTATGAATGTGTCTTCAATCATTTCAGCAACCAAAGACTTCCTCTATAGATCTCATAACTGTTCTAAGTTCTTGGATAAGGTATGTGAGGTCTCGGTTGCCAAGACCTAGCCTGAATCCAACTAAAGACACAGCTGGGCAATTATAATTGGGCAAGTTCATGGATGAAAGATCCATAAAGGTTTTGTGTGTGTTGAGGGGGTATGTGTGTATAAGGTAGGGATTGATATCCTGGAAGGCAATTACTAGCCTATTTCTTTTGTTGGCCTCATCACAACCCTGGGTTAATGTTTGATCCTCACTGGCAGTTGTGATTCATATTTGCTGCCCTTTGAGGTGCTTATGTTTTCAGGAAAGATTATATTGATTCAGATTAATGCAGAAGAAATAGGCTTCATGGCCCCCATTCCCAAATAAACATACAGTGGCACCCTTCTGCCTTTTCATCCTGGCTGCCCTTGCAAAGGGAAGGAAAAAAGGTTCATAAAGGGTGGGTCTGGATTTGTGTGTGCGTGTGGGGTGGTGCTTTGGGACAGAAATAGGACATTAATGTGGAATAATTTTGTTCATACAGTTAAAGGGGTGCCTAAGAAAATGGAGGGAAGAAGGAACATGCCGAAACAGCAGGAAAGAACAACCTCAAAATCTTCCAGGATGGGTCAGGGTGATTTTTGAGATCTGTAATTGTAATATTTGGTGATTTTAAATAAGTACCCAAGAAATTTCCCATCCCAGATCTTATTCTTTTTACCCATATCCTCCTTCTCTCATACAGCATCTCCTTATAATCGAGTTTCCACATACTTGCCAGATGAGCGATTAGTTTGTTTATCCAATAAACATCTATTAAGCACCTACTAGCTGCACAGTCACTGAGCTAAGGATGTGGGTTAGAGATATGGTGAATACATGGTTTCTGACCCCAGTATGCTCACAGATTATTAAGAACTGTTAATAATACAATTTGACATTGTGTGGTACATGGTGAGTTATAAAATAGGCTGGGTGAACACCCAAGGAGTGGGCCTATTCCTGCACTGGGAAGGAATAGGGAATGGCATGGGGCAGGGAAGTCAGAAAAGGTTGCCAGAGATGGTGACAGTTGCTGAGTGCTGAGAGACAAATAGAAGTTTCCAAAGTAAACAAAAGGCATTATAAGTGAAGGGAACTGAAGCTGGGATGCAGAACACTATCTAGAGGCTGCAGATTTTTTGTAAGTCCAGAGTAGAGGCTGTGAGGAATAGTAGAGGAGGGGGAAAGGGAAGCTACAGGTCACTTGAAGTCCCTGGTCTGTCCTGTCAAGGAGCTTTTCCTTGCAGTCAGTGAGAACCATTGAAAGGCTTTAAGCAAGGGAATGACAAGGAAAGATTTGGATTGAGGAATGATCACTCTGTTGGTTGGTGTGGTGGGCTGATCAGAGGGAGGTGAGATTGGCAGCAGGGAGACCAGGTAAGAGAGGCTGTTGCAATGATTGGTCCTGCCAGCAGAGATGAAGAGTAGGAACTTGAGTCAGGTGGTACTTGGGATGCAGAATCAACAAGGCTTGATGATGGAGGAAACAGGAGTAAGGGTGACTGACACCTGGTTTTCTGACTTGGGTGACAGGGTGGGTGGGGGCGTGGTCACTGAGATAGAGGTCCCTAGGAAGAGAAGCAGATTTGGGGCTGGCAATGACAAGTGTCGTAGGTTCCCCCAGAAGCATATCCTGAGACAAGGATTCCAGTGCAGAAAGTTGATTTGGGAACTGAAGGAAACACTGTAGGGGAGGAGGGAAGGAAGCCAGAGGGACAGCCATCAATGGGAGGCATGTTCACAAGGCCAGTTACCACTGTGAGCAACTGGAGCTTAATCCCACAGGCAAACTCTTGGACAGGATACCAAGCACCCACTCCAGAGATGAAGAAGCTAGTTAAGAGCAGTCCAGGGGGTGCTGATTTTCTGGCAATTCCAACCTACCACCCAGCATAGGCAGAAGATCCTTCCCAAATACAGAGAGAAGATCCTGGCAGCTGGATGTCTGTGGAGCACATTAAAGTGGTAGCACCCAAGGGATGTGGGTGGTGCATCATCAGTATCTGCTCCAGGGAGTTCTGGTTAAGACATCTCGAATTGGAGGTGCCTGTTGATTAGCCGCGTAGAGCTGTCCAGTAGGCATTTGGAAGAGTAGATCTGGAGTTCAAAATTTAAGTTGCAGACCAGGATTTTGGAGTTGTTAGGCCCCGGGTGTTGGTTGAACCAGTATTACTTGGTGAACTCTGTAGAAGACATGTGTGAATTGGGCTGGTGGCTGAGCCCTTCACCCTGGGGTACACCAACACAATCTGACCTCATCTTTATGAACATGTGGGTTTCTCAAGGGGTTCCTGAAAGCCCTGAAATTGTAGATGTCAGTTTAATGCTCACCGGTGTGAATGCATCTGGGGAAATTGTCTATTGCTTTCAAGAGATTCTTAACTTCTTAAGGGGTCTATATTTTACTGAAGTGGAATAATGTATTTAAAATGGAAACTTTGTTTTACAAATGTTTTCGTGGTTAATAATATTTACTGGGTGATTGAGTGAATGAGGCAGGCATTTGAAAACATAATCACAAGGCAGAAGGAGAAATGCTGAAGAAAATGCAAGGGATAACTGAAGCACAGAGGACCGAAATCAAACCCAGGTTTAGGGAAAGAGGATGGAAAGCATTCAGAGAAACAGTCCAACGAGAATGACATTTTTACCTGAGGAATGTTCAGAGCTCATGAGGTGAGGGAAAGGTTTTGACTCTTTGGATGGGACAGAGACATCTACTGCGCTCTGCATGGGGGTGGGGAGTTTCAGTATTCTTCATCTGAGGACTTCCTATGAACTGTTTTATGCACTTTGGATAAAATTAGCAAAGACTGGATCAAAGGATATGTGAGTTGGTCCTTTAGTTTGGCAATCAGTAAGTATATACTGAACAGCTATTACTTTAAAGTACTAAGCTACCTGCTAGAAAGCAAAGAATAATAAAGTACCATCCCTGCACTGCATTGAAGCCTCTCATTGTCCAGTTGTAGCTCTGTCTAGTCTCACAAGCAGTAGAGCATTGCATTTCATAGAGATTTTTGAGAAATTATCACAAGTAAGAAGCAAGCTCATTATAAAGGGCTTTGCTTGTGGCTGCTGTATTCTGTATTCTCCATTTTTCTTTCCTAACAGAACACTAATATTCAGACTTCCATCCCTCTCCTGTGAAACCTATGTACCTTAGAATTTCATCCTATATTTAGGGTAGGTCTATTTGAGCTAAGAAAAATTGCATCCCTCTTGCTATAATTAGGGCCAAATAAATGAGAGGAGAGGTTTGCTGGGGATTCCCAGCTAAGTTCTTACTCTCTAGGAGAGCATCCCTCCCTCTCCTGATGGATGTGAGGCTAATGTAACTCCATTTGCAACTGGCAGCAAAAACATTATGCAGGTGACCACATAGTTGATCACCTAAAGCAGGATGCTACTGAGGGTGAAAGGGGTTGCTATTAACAACTATGTCAGGGGAAAAGGGATAAACTGGGTCTTTCCAGTAAACCAGGATGGATGGTCACTATTACGCTAGGAACCAGGCCTAGAAAGGAGTTGATGCTCAAGGCATCACAGCAAAAGTAGAGAAAGAACTTAGGACCATGGCTAGGTTGTGGAACTACTAGAATAAGCAGCTCTAGAGCCAGCCAACCATGCACTTCTGGTTATGTAAATTATTACACTGCTTTATAGGTTAAGCTTCTTTGAGTCAGGTCTCTATCACTCGTAATTTCATTGAAAGCATCCTAAGACATACATGCAGTAACTGGGTTGTCTTTGTTTTGTTTTACCTCCAATTCTGGGGATAAAGGCCATTCTTGAGTCAAGCAATCTGACAAAAACAAGTGTAGGGAAGAAGTAGGTTATGGATCATCATGGTAAACTGACTTTAAAGTCAAACGAAGGCGATAATCTAAACTAAAACGCGGGTGAAGGCCCACTGTGCATGGGGCGGTTTCTGTTTTAGCCATGCCTTCAAGGCACACTGCTGCCTCTGATGGAGGAGGGCAAGACTCCTGTGCAAGGGGTCAGGATGGGGAACGTCTGTCCCCTGCTCTGTCAAAGTGGCTTCGAGTAAGCTCTCCTCTCCCTCTGGGACGTAGATGCCTCACACCAGTGGTAGCCGTCCTTGCCCTTGCCTCTCATCTCTCTGAGTTGATGGTGCACGTTGAGGGAGGCCTCATGGCTTGCACCTCCTGCAGACGCCACTTTAGTTCTCCCGGTGTGGGCAGCCTGCAGTAAGTAGTTGTTGAACTCACTGCTATCTCCCTTCCCATTTGGGCTTGGTCTCTTACTCCGAAAGAGCTGGAACAGCCACTTCTCCTACAAGTATCATGACCGTCAAACACACCTTCCTTTTCGGTGTGGAGGGGGGATGTGGGCAGAGTGGGGTTGGGGTTGGAGTCATGTGACTGTCACTTGAGGCCACGAGGGTTTGCCCAAATCCATGGAGAGCCCTGTACAAGCCACGTGAGAAGCCAGGCTGCATGAGACAGAGTAGGGTCCACGAAGGTCACCAAGGAAGGACCAGAACATGATTATAGCCCCAGTAGAGAGTTGAAGTCAGGGGCATGAAATTATAAGGCAAGGGATGTCAGTGAAGTGAAAAATACACCCAGATTTGTTTTGGGCAGTGAATTATCTTGTTGGATGGGACACCTGTGCCAACTGTGGCATGAGTGTGGGTGAAATACTGGCACATCACAGACCAGGGGTAGGAGAGTTCAGAGATGACCCCGCACAACCCAGCCTTCGCATGCAGAACATGAGGCTCAGAGATGTTTGCATAGAAGAACTGGATACACACACGCAAACACACGCACACAAGCACATGCACGCATGTACACATGCACGTGTACACGCACTCACATGCACACAGGCCCGCACATGCACGTAAACGCACACATGCACACACACACACACACCCATTCTCACATGCCAAGTCCTGTTCCCTTTCCAGGTGTGAGACTCACCTTTTCCTCTCTTAGAAGTTCATTCACAAATGAGCCAGATTCATCCCTGAATAAGAAAGGAAAAATGGGCAAAATTGCGCTGGACTAATGGGGATTAACAATTAGAACATTGCCTAAAACAGATCCTAAAAAGTAACTGCGCAGACACTCCAAGGCGGGAGTGTTATTGTTAAAGAGGACAATGGAGTGGCCCATAAATATCCTCGATTGCCCAAATACACAGGCCCCTGGTGCCCGTCTCTGTGGTGAGGCCGAGATTTAGCTCTGCAGTGGTCGCTTGGGAGAAGAGCTAGTGAGGGCTTTCTCAGCCATCAAACCCATTGGCTTTTGGTAGGGATTAGTTCCCCCAGAGACACAATCTGTTTGACCTGGCTCACATGCATTTCATGAACAAATGAGAGTGTGGCAGTCAGTTTCACAAATGATCTGTGCCACAACCTGCATCGCATGCTCCTACCACCCTCAGCGTGTCCATGGCCTGTTAGGTCTGCTCTGATTCACGCACTGCAAGTCTCCCCAGTGTAACTGGCAAGGGTTCTGTTACTATAAACTCAAGGAATAAGAGGAGTTGCCAGGTCATTCATTTTTGAACAGGACATCAATGTGTAGTACAAAAGAGACTTTAATAGTTTCATTTTTCTTCACCTGGGAGAATTTCTCAAATTATAAAATTTTATGAATGGAACAATGTTATAGAAGAAGGAAAAGAGAGCAAGTGTAAAATCTCTCATGTCTAGGCTGGTTAGCATTTTTAATTGCCGTCTTTGCATTTGTGGCCTCTTAGTGCCAAGTCAACACCTAAGTGCTGTCATAAGATCACTTACCAGCAGCCCCTGCTCACCTTGGCCTCTTTCAGGTGAATTCTCTGATGCTCTTCACCCCTAGGATTATCCTTGCCCAATTTCTGAGCCAGACCACCAGTGTGTTGGGCCCCAGATGAGGCCTGCTTCTCTCTTCTAAGCTCCTCGTGTTCTTGAGGGGAGTACACTAGGCATCGCTCAGCCATGGAGCCTTAGCATTCAACAGTCATCATCCATGACCTCTTCCCACATTGGCCCCATTTATAGAACTAGCCTTCTGGGTCTGATTGTCTTCGTAGCTCTCTAAGCTTCCATTAGAAATGTGGCTCCACAACCCAGCCCAATTCACTAAAGTGTCTCCATCAATCTCTGATGTCCACATTTCTGTGCACATGGGAGAGAGTTGGTTTCTCATTCACTGACATCCTGCCTTAAAGGAATTGTTCTCAAACTTAACAGGCACGTTTCATAAATAGTGGGCCACTACCATCTTGGATTTCTGTTTCACTCCATCTATTAGATGAGTCCTTGTTTTTTGAAGAAGAATCATTTTAGAGGAAATAGAGGTGACATTTTGAAAGCTACAACATTATTGCTTCAGAAAATATTCACAATTAATATAGAAATACTGTAGAATACATATAATTTATTATTTTTTAAACAAATGGTTCATTGTAATAGTCATTAAAGATTAAATATAAGTGTAAAAGTGTATTGTATCTTCAGTGTAAACATTCAATTATAACCACTTTCAGTGATCTTTATATTTCAAGTTTTTCTCTATACTATTTACTCAACTGAAATAATATTACATGTGGTTTTAGTCCTGTTTTTATCCCTTAACATCTTCAAAGAATAAGCATTTTATCATAGCATTCTAATCACACTACACAATCACCATAAATATCTTTAATGGTGGTATACAATTTTATTAGGTGGATTTATTACCATATACTTAGTTTTCCCCCATTAGAAGTATAAGCCACTTCCAAAATCTGCTGTTAAAAAGAACACTGCAATTAATATCTTTGTGTATATCAATGTTTTCCATTAATAATTATTTCTCAGCATAAATACACAGCTGTAATATTTCTGGGGCAGACACAGAGACATGAACATGTTGCCAAACTGATTTTGAAAAGGATATATGAGGTCTGAGACCACCTGCCTTGTGAGTACTCACCAGTCTGGGCCAAAAAATTTGACTCATTTTGTTTTAAAATGTATTTCTCTGATTACTAGCAAGTTGAGTCATTTTTATTTGTGTACTTGCTACTTCGATATCCAAGGGAATTGTCTTTATTCACTTTTTCATTAAATCACAGTGTTCTCATCTTATTGGTGTGTATGTGTCATTTACTTAATGCAAAATAAATGTTTGTCATAATCGCAACAAATATATACTCCATTTTCTTTTCATTCCGTGAGTGTGGCTACTATTTTATATAGATAAGATTTTTATTTTTGTAAAGTTAAATCTATCCATCTTTTGTGTTGTGAAGCCTTCTATTGTTTGAGTAAAAACTAATAAATCCTAATTAATTCAATTTTTATTCATTTAGATTTGTTTGGTATTTATTGTAAGGTGGATTCTAATTGTATCATTTTTTCCCCAAGTAGTTGGCCAATTGTCTCAACGCTATTTAATATGAAATACCTTCTCCATTAATTTGTGCTTTCTATTTTAGCAAATAATAAGCTAATATTTAAAAGATTCTAATTCAGGGCTGTCAGTTCTGTTTTGTTGCTCTGTCTCTCTTTTTTTAAGATAAAACTTTTTATTTTGAGATAATTATAGATTCACATGCAGCTGTAAGAAATAATACAAAGAGATCCCCTGTGTCGTTTACCCAATTTCCCTATTGGTAATGTCTTGCAAAACTGTAGTGCGATGTCACAGCCAGCATATTGACATCGATACAATTCACAATCTTATTAAGATTTCTCCAGTTTTATTTGCACTCAGGTGTATGTGTGTGTGTGTGTATTTGGTTGTATGCAATTTTATTATATGAGTAGGTTTGTGTATCCACACTATAGTTAATATATAGAACATTTCCATCACAACAAGGATCTCTCTTATTGCCCTTTTATAGCCACATCCACCTCTCTTCCTCCCCTCCATCCCATCCCTACCACTGGCAACCACCACTCTGTTCTCCATTACTAATTTTTTTTTTCATTTAAAAATGTCACATAAATGAAAGTATACAGTATATAACCTTTTGGGATTGGTTTTTTTCACTCAGCATAATTCACTGGCGATTCATCCACATTGCTGTGTGTATCAACAGTTCATTCCTTGTAATTGCAGAATAGTATTCCATTGGGACATACATACCATACCATGGTTTATTTAACCATTAACCTGTTGGAGCACATCTGGGCTGTTTTCAGTTTTGGTCTGCTGTCAGCTTTGGGCTACTATGGATAAAGCTACTATGCACATTCCTGCATGGGTTTTTATGTGAACATAAGTTTTCATTTCTCTAGGATAATGCCCAAAAGTTCGCTTGCTGGATTGTATGGTAATTGCATGCTTGGTTTTTTAAGAAACTGCCAAACTGCTTTATAGAGCTGTTCTAACATTTTACATTCCCACCAGAAATGTATGGGTGAACAAGTTTCTCCACATACTCACCAGTTTTTGGCATTAGAACCATTTTTATTTTAGCCATTCTAATAGGTGTGTAGTGATAGCTCATTGTGGTTTTAATTTGTATTTCTCTAGTAGCTAATGATGTTGAACATCTTTTCTTGTGCTTGTCTACCACCTGTATGTCCTCTTTGGTGAAAGGTCTGTTCATACTTTTTGCCCATTTTATGATTGGATTGTTTGGGTATTTATACTGTTGAATTTTGAGAATTCTTTATATATTCTAGATATTAATTCTTTGTCACATGTGCGGTTTGTGCATATTTTCTCTCAGTCTGTATCTTGTCTTTTTATCCTTTTAATATGGTCTTTTACAGAGCAAAAGATTTTACTATTTATTTATTTATTGCCTATGGATGTCCAATTGCTCTAGCACTACTTTTTGAAAAGCCCATTTTTCCTCTTTTGGGTTGTTTTTGCACCTTTGTCAAAAATCAGTTGGCCATATTTGTGTGAGTATTTCTGGATTCTTTACTCCATTCTACTTATCTATGTATCCATGTGTCTGCCCCTCCACCCACACATACTATCTTGATTACTGTAGCTATATTGTCATCATTAATATCAGGTACAGTGATTGCTTCTAGTTTATTCTTCTTTTTCAAGATAGTTTGAACTATTTTAGTTATTTGGCCTTTCGATATAAATTTTAGAAAAAGCTTGTATATGTCTATAAAAATTTTTGCTGGGATTTTGATAGGAATAACTTTCAATCTATAGATCAAATTGAAAAGAAATGACACCTTTAGTATGTTGAGTCTTCTAATTCATTAACTTAGAATGTATCACCATTTATTAAGGTCTTCTTTAACGTCATCAGCACATTGTCATTTTTCAGTTAAATTCAGACCTAAGTGTTCACTTTCTTTGCAGTGATTGTAAGTGGTATTGTGTTTTAAATTTCTGCTTCCATATGCTCTTTGTTAGTATATAGAAATAAGACGGATTTTTTGTGCTCATCTTATATTCTGTGACCTTCCTAAACTCAATTATTGCAATTATTAATTCTAGAATATCTTTTTATATTTTAGAAATTCCTCGGAATTTTCTACATAAGCAATCATGTCATCTGCAAATAGGAACAGTTTTGTTTCTTTCTTTCCAATCTGTATGCCTTTATTTCTTTTTCTTGCTTTACTGCAGTGGCCAGAACTTCCAGTATTATGTTGAGTATGAGTGGCAAGAATAGACATCTTTACCTTGTTTCTGATCTTAGGGAGAAAATATTCAGTCTTTCACCATTAAGTATAATGTTTTCTATAGGTTTGCTGTAGATACTCTTTGTCAAGTGGAGATAATTCTTCTCTCTTCCTAACTTGCTGAGAACTTTTATGATGAATGAGTGTTAATTTTGACAAATGTGTTTTTTGCATCAATTAATATTGATTATCTGATTTTTTGTTTAGCCTGTTGATATGATAGTTTACATTGATTTATTTTTGAATGCTGTATCATTCTTTTATATCTGGAATAAATTTCACTTGCCCCATGTGTATTCTTTTAATACATTGTTG
The DNA here is from genome assembly GCF_000001405.40 of Homo sapiens. Classification (NCBI taxonomy): domain Eukaryota; kingdom Metazoa; phylum Chordata; class Mammalia; order Primates; family Hominidae; genus Homo; species Homo sapiens. Next base: position 17,872,759 of record NC_000023.11, read on the forward strand.
GATTTGATTTGCTATTTTGTTAAGGATTTTGGTGTCCGAGTTTATAAACAATATTGATATCTACTTGTACTTTTTTTGTACCATTTGTGTAGTTTTGATATCAGGATATTTGTCTCACAATATAAGCTGGAATTTTTTTCTCTTATTCTATTTCCTGGAAAAGATTATGTATAATTGGTGTTATTTCTTCTTTAAATGTTTGATAGAGATTTCCAATGAAACTGTCTGGGCTTGGATGTTTCTTTTTGAAGGAGTTTTTAAATTACAAATTCAATTTCTTTAATGGTTATAGGACTATTTATTTAATCTTGGCTGACATTTGGTAGTTTGTGGTTTTGGAGGGATTGGTCAATTTATTCCAAGTTGTTAAATTTATTAGTATAAATTATTTGTAATATCCCCTTATTTTTCTTCTAATGGCTATGAGATCTGTAGTGATAGTCTCTGCTTCATTCCTAATATTGGTGACTTGTTTTCTTTATTTTTATTTTTATTTACTGTACTAAAATGTTATCAATTTCATTTCATTTTTTGATGAACCAGCATGTAATTTTATTTCATTTTTACTCACTTTTCTGTTTTTCATTTTATTGATTTCTGCTTTTATGATTTCCTTCATTCTGCTTGCTTTGGGCTTATTTTACTCTTCTTTTCCTAGTTTATTGAGGTAGCAACTTAGATTACTGATTCAAGACCTTGCATCTTTTCTAAAGTAAGTTTTTGATGCCATAAATTTCCCTCTCAGTGCTGCTTTAGCTGCATCCCAGATATTTAGTTATGTTGTATTTTCCTTTTAATTAATTTCCATTTTTTTATTTTCTTGGAGACAACCTCTTTGACACATGGATTATTTAGCAGTGTGTTGCTTAATTTCCAGGTGTTTAGAGATTTTTCTTCTTCATTCTTTCTGTTATTGATTTCTACTTTGATTCCATTAAGGTCAGAGAACATGCCATATATACTTTTAACTCTTTCAAGTGTATTGAGATTTGTTTTATGGCTCAAGATATTGTCTATTTCAGAGACCGTTATATGGATTATTGAAAAAGATGTGTATTCTTCTGTTACCGAGTGGGATGTTTTATATATGTCAATAGGATCCTGATGGTTGATTGTGTTGTTCAGATCACCTATATCCTCTCTGATTTTCTTTCTAGTAATTTTATCGGTTGCTGAGATAGAAGCATTGAAGTCACTAACTGTAATTGTGAATTTGTCTATTTCTCCTTTCAGCTGTATTAGCTTATGCTTTCATTCATTTTAAGGCTCTGTTCTTGGATGCACGTATATTTATAATTGCTATAGCTTCTTGGTATATTTACATAATGTCTCTTTCTATCTGTAGCAATTTTCTTTGCTCTAAACTTTATCTTACATTAATATAGGTTCTCCTAATTGTTTTTTGTTTTTGTTGTTGTTTGTTTGTTTGTTTTTTTGAGACAGAGGCTCGCTCTGTCGTGCAGGCTGGAGTGCAGTGGTGTGATCTCAGCTCACTGCAACCTCCACTTCCCAGGTTCAATTGATTCTCCTGCCTCAACCTCCCAAATAGCTGGGATTACAGGCACCTGCCACCATGCCCTTTTTTTTTTTTTTTGTATTTTTAGTACAGGCAAAGTTTTACCATGTTGGCCAGGCTAGCCTCAAACTCTAGACCTCAGGTGATCCGCCTGCCTCGGCCTCCCAAAGTGCTGGGATTGCAGACGTGAGCCACTGCGCCTGGCCCTAATTGTTTTAATTAATGTTTGCATAGTATATCTGTCTCTATCCTCTTACTTTTAACCTACCTATGCCCTTGAATTTGAGGGTTTTTTTGTAAACCACATATAGTTGAGTTGTTTTGTAAATCCATTCTGTCAGTATCTGTCTTTTTATTGGTATATTCAGACCTTTTACATTTAAGATAACTATTGGTATGTTAGAACCTTAGCCTACCATTTTATTGTTTGTTTTATGACAGTTTCCTCTGTTTATCATTCTTCTGTTTCTGTCTTCTTGCCTTCCTGTGGGTTACTTGAACATTTTAATAAATCTATCTTGAATTATTTATAGTGTTTCTGAGTGCATCTCTTTATATAGCTTGCTTAATTGTTGCTCTGGGTATTACAATATAGATATGTGATCTATCACATTCTACTGGTAGCAGCATTTTGCCACTTCAAGTCAACTGTGGAAACTTTAATTTCATTTAGATCCCTTTAATCTGATTGCTTTCAAATATAATTGTGTTGAGTATCAAGTGTTATTATAACTAATGTTTTAATCATTAAATATAATTTATAAAGCTTGTAGGAAAGATAGTCTATTTTATTCACCCAGATTTCTGCTCTTTCTGTTGTTCTTTCCCACTTCTTGATGCTCCAAGATTTTTTCTTTTATAATTTCCTTTCTGTTTGAAGAATTTCCTGTAGACAATATTTAAGGGTAAGTCTGATGGTGACAAATTCTCTTGGTTTTCCTTCTTCTGCAACTACTTTGATTTCCCTTTCATTCCCAAAGGATGTTCTAGATCGGCAGTTCTTTGCTTTCAGAACTTTAAGAACATTGTATTACTTCCTTCTGGCCTCCACGGTTTCAGATGAAAACCCCATTGTCATCCAAATTGGTGTTCCCTGATAGGTAATGCATCATTTCTCTCTGGCTGCCTTCAAGATCTTATCTTTGCTTTAGTTTTCAGAAGTTTAACTATGATATGTCATGATATGGATTGGGGGGAGGTTATCTTGTTTGAGGTTTGCTCAGCTTCTTGCATCTATGTGTTTCTTTTGCCACATTTGAGACGCTTTCAGTCATTATGTCTAATATTCTTTCAACCCCACTCTTTTTCCTCTTTTTCTGGAACTCCAATTATATATATGTTTGATCTTTTGTTATTGTTCCACAGGTCTTTGGGAGCCTGTTCATTTTTTTCCAGGCTATCTCTCTGTTTTTCAGATCGTGTGAATCTTCTTAATTCATCCTGAAGTTCACTGATTCTATCTGCTGACATATTTGCTCTACTATCAACTCCATCCAGCAAGTTAATAAATATGGAGTATTATACTTTTCATTTATAAGATTTTCATTTCATTATTTTTTATAACTTGTATTTCTTTTCTGAGGTTTTTTCTACTTTTTCACTTATTTAAAAAGAATTCATTGTTATTCATTTGAAGTTATTTATTATGCTTGCCTTAAATTCCTTGTCAGATAATTCTAGCATCCTATTTATCTTTTTGTTGCCATGCCTGGATTGTCTTTTTTCATTCAAGTTGTGATTTCCCTGGCTCTTGATATGGTGAGTGACTTTTTATTGTATCCTGGACATTTTTTGCTTTTATCTTAGGAGATTCTAGGTCCTATTTAAAGAAACCAGTTTAGGTTTAGCATACAGATCCTGATCTACTTTTTTGGACTGTGGTTTCAATGACAGTTTAATTTTCAGAGCCTTTTCAGTGCTTCTTGGTATGCTTGATTTAGCTGGTGCTGCTGGGACTTCCACTGGTTCCTGGTGGTGCTGCCTGAAAGGATCAAAAGGGTTTCCCAGTGCAGGGCCACCTGGTGTCTCAAGATGGAAGAAAGGAATCTCTAGCCCATAAGGATAAAGAATGCTTCCTAGGAATAAGCAGCCTATTGTGTGTGGCAGAACCATCTTGCCAATGCCAGCCTGCCACCCAGTGTCTCTCAGTAGAAGTGGGTGTGTCTCAGGTCTTGCAGGGGAAGATAGAATTTGCCTTAGCTGCTTACTTTTAGCAGGGCTCCTGATCTATCCTTCTTACCAGCACTGTAGGCTCACTGGGCATTATCAGTAGGACTGCCATTCATTCTGGTGGAGAAATCAGCCTACCTGCACTACCTCGTGTTGCCAGGTTGAGGGCTTGGAAATGCCAGGCCAGGGTTGCCTTCTTCTGCTGGGTAGGGGGATATAAGACACTCTGCTGCTGTGTTGTTCCTTCAGTACTGGAATCCCAAACCAGCTCACCTTCCTCTTATCACCTTTCATAGTGTTCTTTTGTTTGCCTTTTGAGTTTTTTCTAAGGTTTATAGTTGTACTTAGCAGGTAGGAGCAGAGAGAAACAGGTCTAAGCCATCTTGTCCAGACCAAAACTTCATTTTAATTGTTAATTTCTTGTTTTACAACTAGAGAAAAATTCAAGAAAATGATTATTATGATTATTATATGATCAATACTAAAAATACGTTTGGCATAGAAAGCAAGCACATTTTTGGAAATGATCTGCTGCAGGTGTCAAATATATTAGCTATGCCACCAAGAGTGGGCAAAGTAAAAGGAGAGATTAGAAAGACTGTGAAGAATGGCCTTGAAGCCAAGGGTGGAAAGAGTGTTAAGAAGTTGAGAAGGTTTATTATATTTGTTTTATGATGGGATTAGAAACCAGAGTATCTGGAGCATTAGGTTGCTTGCCCAAAATTGCTAGGGCATTTGAGTGCAGGATGGTTGCAGAATTCAGGATTATGACATTCCAAGACCATGGTAACAGCACACTGTTTCCCAGAGCACTGCTTTCAAACTCCAAACACAACATTTGCTAGAAGATATACTGCAACAGTGAAGTTAACCTTTTGCTTATCTGGCAAATGAACAAAAAGTTTCAATAGAAGCAAATGTTTACTAAATTCGACTAGTATTAAATGTCTGTTATTAATTATGTCTTAATCATGCTGCCTGGATGGGACTTAATTAATGTTCATGAATTCATTTTGAGATAATAATTAGCAAGTGGAGTGCTTGCTCTTAGAAGAAGAATATTAAATTATTATTGGCATTTGGATAAGTTTGTGAAACCATTATTTATGTCTTTTTTTAAGCTTCTGACTTCTAGAATTTATCTACAACAATTTCGAATAAGTCGCATTTCTCTAAGTTTCATTTGCCCATGTTTCACTTCCACCTAAGTTAAACATTTGCTCTCAATAGTATATACAGGATTTCAGATAAAAGCTGACCACTTTCTGATTAAATGTGTTTGAGTCTTTCATTTGATTTTTAAAATTTGACCCTGAAAAAAATATATGAAATGGATTTAAAATTTTTAAGGAAACATCTTTTTTAAAAAACTCAAAACAAGATACCTCTTCCCACCCAGGAAAACAACCCTTCAGGAAAACTGTCCCAAGTGAGGCCAAACTGCAGATAGCGTCCTGGATGAAAATATCTGCTTTGCTACCCAGTCCAAAAGGTCTATGCGTTTTGTTGATTGGACTGTGGTTATTTGTTATGTTGAGACATGGGAAACTACTCTCTGGGAATAGATTACGATATCTTTGGAAAGTCTGTTAACATTTTCAAGACATTGGGTTGCCATCTCCCCCATGCCCCAAATTTGTCCAACACATTAAATGGTTTCCCAGCATCCTGAAAATGTGAATCAAGCTTCCACAGGTGTCTGTCTTGCAGTTAGCTTATGCTTCTGCCTGAGGTGTAACTGGTTTCAGTGGTCTTAGCTTCCTTTTGCATGTCTCATGATATTCATAGTAAAAGTTATGATGCTTTGGTAATTTGAGATCTCACCTCACAGCTGAGCTATTAAATCATGACTGTTTGAGGAGGTGAGATGCCAAGGATTTGGGTGGGAATGATCAGGTTTCTAAATTATGGGAGCAATAAATTGTTAGTATAAATTATTACTCAATGTGCAAGAATCTAAGGGTCATGTCCACAAAATATCATTCATGTGATGTACAAATGATTCACCAAAGGGAGTGATGCACGTACAGGGAAGGCTCTAACATCTATAATTCTGCAACTCAGGAGAGCAAGAAGCAAGTCTGCCCTTGCAAACCTGCTTAGAAGAAGCACTATCATTATTAGTTCACCTCCTTATTTGTTCCTGTATATCATATCATCAACTGGTGCTTTAGAGTACTTCCTTGTACCAAATACGGCCCTATAAGAAGTGAACAGGTTAAAGTGTCATTGTAATTTTTTATCTGCAATGTGGCCAGCTCTTTAGTGCCAAAGTGGAGGAATGATTACTTGATATTAAATAATCATTTACTTATTTGATAGTAGAAGAACCCAAATTATTATTTGTAACCCAAATGTTTTCTTGGGGATATGAGTGAAATCAAATTAATCCAAACTTCCTGGCTTTTAACTCTATTTACTTATTCAGGGTCACCAGTTTTCTGGAAAAGTCCCCCCTTTCCCAATTGAGTATTCCTGGATATCCCCAGCAGGAATTCACAGGGAGCTCATGAATCAGTATGGCAGCTACAGGTCCCACACATCCATTATCAAAATTTCCTTCTCTTCCTGAATAGGCTTCCCCTCGTCAGTGTTATCTGCTCAGAAGTACAGTGAAAGCCTCTTCCCAGTGCTGCTGCTGATGGTGAGAATTCCAGCTTCCCCACCAAGTACATTCTCTTGCCATGCTCTCTAAATAGTCCATGATGCAGTAGCAGACAGCATTCTGTTTTGGACAACAGTTCAGAGATTGTCTCTATTCTCTACTGTGTGATATTCTTTGTCATCCCAGCCCCCAAGACAAAAATACTTGTATTCAGTCTCACCAGAGTATCTCATAGAATGTCTCCTTCCATGTTAGAGCTCAATATCTTTTTCCACTGGGGATCAAAACCATGCCATGAAACCAGGCAAGAACAAAAATCTTGCCTTCTCCTTTCTTGTCCTCACTTCTAATTTCTCCAGCCTTCTCTACCTCCACACTTAATGCATCTAATTCCTCTTTCTTCCTTCAGACACCAAAGACCTCAAGGACTCAAGGACATCAATTCACGGAAATACTGCCCATCCTACCACAAACCCTCAACCTCCAGTTGTAAGTGATTCTCTGTGAGCTCTTTATTGGCCTCAGTCGTCCACTTGGCTTTGGTTGCTTAGATATGGCCTTAGATTCTCTAGAGCAGTGGCCTCCAAAGTGGAGTGATCATACACCAAGGGTGAATGAGATAATATACTGGGGTACACAGAGCAAATGTTAGAATGATTAGATAGATAGATAGATAGATTCAGTTTGACTACCATTTAATATATAGATTGCTACCAGTGAGCTTCCTCTGTCTATATGAGCAGGTCATATGTCCCATGTGCTTTTAGAGGTATTCTGGGGAAGGATGGAATGTTCCACACTGAGAAGGGTTGACAGCGGAGCCCTCATGTGATCACTTCTTTCAGTGTATTGCAAAGTATTGCAGTTTACATGTTCCTGGTGAGGTAGCATTACAAAGTATATTAGCCAGTTGTAACTAAAAACCCTCTCACAATAGGTATGTAACTTTAAAAAGTCCTTGGCCGGGCGCGGTGGCTACGTCTTTGGGAGGCCGAGACAGGCGGATCACGAGGTCAGGAGGTCAAGACCATCCTGGTTAACACGGTGAAACCCCGTCTCTACTAAAAATACAAAAAAAATTAGCCGGGCGTAGTGGCGGGCGCCTGTAGTCCCACCTACTTGGGAGGCTGAGGCAGGAGAATGGCGTGAACCCGGGAGGCGGAGCTTGCAGTGAGCCGAGATCGTGCCACTGCACTCCAGCCTGGGCGACTGAGCGAGACTCCGTCTCAAAAAAAAAAAAAAAAAAAAATTCTTGCAAAGAAACCATAGATCAACATACTACTATTCATTCAAGCTTACAAAATCAGAAGAAAATGGCAGCACTGCCAATTCTCTTACCCTAGTTGTAGCTCAGCACCAACCACATTACATAAAATAATGACATTATAATCAGATTACTTAAAAATAGAGAGCATCAAGGAGACCATTTAAAATGTTATTAACTATTATCTTAGTTTGCCCCACTCCAACAAAACAGACCCCAAGACAAAGATTTAGATAGAAGTATCCTATTTGGGAGGTGATTCCAGGAAGCACAGTAAGGGAGTAGGAAAGTGACATACAAAGGCAAGAAAGCCAATAAAGGATATGTTGATGATTGGGTTACTACATGGGGCACCAGGGACTCTATCCTGCTGAGGACCCTCTGAGAGACTGTTTGGGACTGAATTATCCCTCTGTATTAGTCTGTTCTCATGCTGCTAATACAGACATATCCAAGACTGGGTAATTTATAAAGAAAAAGAGATTTAATGGACTCACAGTTCCACATGGCTGGGGAGTCCTCACAATCATGGTGGAAGGTGAAGGAGGAACAAAGTCACGTCTTACATGGTGGCAGGCAAGAGAGCTTTTGCAGGGGAACTCCCATTTATAAAACCATCAGACCTCTTGAGACTTATTCACTACTATGAGAACAGTATGGGGAAACCACCCTCATGATTCAATTATCTCCACCTGGCCCTTCCCTTGACACATGGGGATTATTACAATTCAAGATGCAATTTGTGTGGGGACACTGCCAAACCATATCACCCTCTGAGGTGCAAGGAAGTTGGGGCATTTATCTACTGACTCCCATCCCTCATTGGTTGAGAGTCATTCCTGGGGTGTTGGGGCCCTAGTACTGCAGGCCTCGTACATGCTAGTCACACTAGTATGCAGGACTCGTTCATACTAGTCACACTTTTTTTGTTTGTTTGTTTTAAGGAGCAGAGAGTTTAATAGGCAAGAAAGAAGGGAGAAGACAGAAGGAAGAAGCTCCCCCATACAGAGACAGAGGGAGGGGGGCTCCAAAGCCAAAAAAAGAGGTCCGCACTAGTCACACTTTAATAGTTAGAGAATGCTTTCATGCAGAGAAACACGTGAGCTGTTGCTTGTACAGGAACCCTACAGATGCCTGCTAGGGTGGACCAAGACAATACAGGTTGACTCCTGACAGTGTCTGCCAGTGCAATGAAGTTCTCTGTGACGCATATTTTTTGTTGAGCTATTAGCAAATGATAACAGGAAGACATCACGATTGGAAAGTACTTTAAAAATGTTCATTTTATATTTCCCCCATCCTTTCAAAATGTATTTTAGTGTATGTGTTTCATTATGCATATAATACATCAGAATAGTAGTGCACAAATACAATTAAGAAACAAATATATCTGTGTTGGTGGTACATGCTCAAAGTATTTTTTTATTGATATAGGTGCCTGGATCAAAAACATTTTGGAGTTCACTCCTCTAAAGGGGGCTGGAATCTCAAAATGGTTTGTGAGCACTAACTCCAAATCCTGTTGAAACATTGTAGGCCAGAGAACCATGGAATAGAAACCATAAACCCCTTTTTCCCCAGAGGAGTCTTACAATGGATTCTCTCCCTCTGCTCTCACAAGATATCTAGCAACCTGGTTGCTTTTTTTTTTTTTTTTGAGATGGGATCTTGCTCTGTCACCCACGCTGGAATGCAGTGGCGTGATCACAGCTCACTGCAGCCTCCAACTCCTGGGCTCAAGCAATTCTCCAGTCTCAGCTTCCTGAGTAGCTGGGAGTATGGCACATGCCACTACACTTGGCTAATTGTCAATTTTTTTGTAGAGAAGGGATCTCACTCTGTTGCCCAGGCTGGTCTTGAACGTCGGGCCTTAAGCAACCCTCCCGGGCCAGCTTCCTAAAGCATTGAGATTACAGGTATGAGCCACTGCACCTGGCCCCTGGTTGCTTCTTTAACTTCTCTTTGGACATCATGGCATTGAAGAGCAAATTGCCTTATAGATGAAAATGTCAAAATGTGGGGTTCATGATGGGTAAAGAGGAGAGGAAATAATACAAATAGATGGTATTGAAAGGAAGAGGCTCTGATGATCCAGTGTGCAGCCTTTATTTCACTGGTGGACTCTGAGAGAGGATGAGGTATATCTCATGATTTTTGGCTGTGATGTTCTCCATGTTGAAAAGGGTTGTTTTCCCAGGGAGTGGGGTGGGGGTAGGTGGGCAGCCATAAGGAATTACTATTTGGTCACATTGATTTTTTTGGCTTGCCATTTAGTGCCCTTTGTCTTAAGTAGCCTGACTGAGCCAACAAAGTTTGCTAAATCATGATTTTTCTGGGACCTGCTTTAGTCATTAATAATTAGCACATCAGTAGCCTGTATCAATCATTTATAGTGTCTCCAGAATATTAAAACTCAAGAAGTGCTAGAGATAGGATCATGAGCCATCAATGCTGGTATTCTGTTTGAGACATGAGAGCTAGAGGACAAATTTTGGAACGACGTATCCTTCTTGCAGACTTCAAGGCTGGAAAGGTACTACCAACACATATGAGTTATGTTTAGTCACCTAACCACAGCCAATCAACAATTGCTGAGTAGCTGTGCTAGGGCTTTGGTGGATTGGGCAAGATGGAAGGGAGGGAAGCAGAGAAGAAAAGAGAGGGGAGGGAGGGAGAAAGGAAAAGAGAAGGGAGAGAAGGATGGAGGGAGGGAGAGAGAGGAAAAGAGTAGGGAAAGAGGGAGGGAGAGTGGGAAGGAGGAAGAGAGGAAAGGAGAAGGGAGGGAGGGAGACAGAGAGAAGGGAGAAGGAAGGGTGAGGGAAGGAGGAAAGGAGAGGGGAGAGAAGGGAGAGGGAAGAGGAAGGGTAGAAGAAGGGAGTAAGGGAAAGAGAGAATGAAGGAAGAGAGAAGGGGTGGAAATCATCCTTGGCTTTCTTACAAGGTAGCTAACTGTAAGCAAAGCTGCACGTGGTGATTGCCAAATAAGATAAGCAAACATGGAAGCATCTTAAGAGCCTGGACAAAAGCTGTGGGGATCAGGGAAGCATCCAGAAAGAGGTGAGATCTGAGCTAAAATGGATCATCAAACCTGCAGGGACTGTTAAATTGGATTGCGGGTTCTCATCACCAGAGTTTCTGAGCCAGCGGGTCTGGAGTGGGGCCTGAGCATTTGCATTTCTAACAAGTTCCCAGGTGATGCTCATGCTGGTGATCTGGAGACCACACTTTGAGAACCAACCACTTCTCTGAAGGATTTTAGATATGTAGAAGGGAGACCTACGTGAAGGGTTAAGATGAGGAAGACGTTAAGAGGAATAAGGTGGCGAAAAGAGGAAGACCTGTTTAGGAGGATTCTGAAATGAAGGGATTGTATAACAGAAGAGCGAGAGAAAAGAATGGAAAGGACTTGGGAATCTATCCTATAGGCAAATGGGAGTCATCAAATGTGTCTGAGTTGTGACATGGCATGATGGAAACTTTAATTTGGAACTGCTTAATCTGTCATCAGTATACTCTATGGTGTGGTGCGAGGCAGGGGGAGAGATGGATGCGGAAAGCACATGTAAGAGCTCATGAATGTATTTAAGTGGTTTAAAGTCTATTTATATGCTGCTCTTTCCAAACAGAAGTAATGAAAGAAGTGCTTCTTGGGGGATTAAATTTTGGTGAGGAGCATGGGCCAGCATTCCTCTTGGAAAAGAAGACAGAGGCAAACAAATGGAATCTGAGCTTTGGTCTTCCATTATTCAAGTTTTCCTAAAAAGTGATAGCATGGAAACCCTCAAGTCTGCTCAGAGCCTGTGCCAATTTGATGGGAGAATCTGCAGATTTTCAGGCAGCAAGTTGGTCCGTGATGGCCTTCAACCCAGGAGTGAGAAATTTTCTGCTTACAGATTTGACTCAAAAAGGCTCCAAATTAACCCGCCCTGGAAGTGCATCACTAAGGGGGAAATTTCAATGTTTAAAAATGGTTTATAATAGGATCACATTGAATTTTCTTCTTTTTTTCTTTCTCTGAATATAAATGCAATTAGTGTGTCACTGATTCTACATCAGGCAAGAGAATTATGTGGTGAGGGCACACACACACATACACACACACACACGCGTGCACACACACACACACACACCATTGAGCACCGGCCAGCTCAGCTCTGCTCTGAGAGAGTTTCCTGGGCATATTTCTGCATGAAGCAAAATCAATGTGGGTGAAACTGAAGACCATCTATGGGAACCTTTGGAGAGGTAGATGAAAGAGGAGATGAAAGGCAAAGGTGAAGACTTGGGAAACAGTCCAAAGAAGCTCTTTCAATGATTCAAATCATTATTTGAAATTGATGTAGCCATCAGTGAGGCACCAAGGTAAGCCTGTAGCCCTGTGCAAAGGAGCCTAGAGATGACATGGGGTGGATACAGTTGAGAACAAACCTTTGGCATCTCCCGGTGTCCTTTGGGTCTTTGTTGTCTTCAGCTCCAGCTCACTAGGCAACCCTTCTTCTGTGTGGTTTTTCTTCCATTTCCCACTTTTCTCCTTCATTAGCTACCACCCAGCTCCCTATGGGTTGAATAATAATTTAGCACAAGTTCAATATTTTCAAAATGTTTTGCAATAAAATCTTATTGCCTCTGTTCCCAGTGGCTAGTGGGCTAGAGGCCTGGTATGACTGTCCCAAATTTAAAAGCAGGAAAAATAGGGATGATGGATCAAGTGATTTGCCAGAGAAGAAACAAATGAGATTAGTGCCTGTTACTTTTTATCCCAGCAGATGAAATAAACACAAGAGCTTGATTGTAGTAATTATTTGAGGAAGAATGGAAAAACATCATTCTTTGTGATTCTCATGTAATGAATGTGGTAACAGAGAAGATGGCTATGCCAGTTTTTAATTTGATGGAGATTTTGGACATATTTCTAGTTTCTTTAGTACATCCCAAGTTTTCTCATGCATAATATGCAGCTAATACAATAGTTAATATCTACTATAGGGTCATTGTAAGGATTAAATGATCTAAAACATGTTGAGCACTTAGAGTAGTATGTGGCATCTAATAAGTGGTCAATAAATTAATTATTGTTATTACAACAACAACAATTTGTTTTAAATTGAAAACTTCAATATTCAAATATTCCAAAAATGTATACCCTACAATGCCTAGATGAAAAGGAATCAAGCCTAGCATGGTGGTTGATGCCTGTAATCCCAGCACTTTGGGAGGCCGAGGCAGGCAGATTACTTGAGGTCAGGAGTTTGAGACCAGTCTGGCCAACATGACGAAACCCCATCTCTACTAAAAATACAAAAATTAGCCAGACGTGGTGGTGCACAACTGTAGTACCAGCTACCAGGGAGGCTGAGGCGGGAGAATCGCTTCAACTTGGGAGGCAGAGGTTGCAGTGAGCTGAGATCATGCCACTGCACTCCAGCCTGGGTGACAGAGCAAAACTCTGTCTCAAAAAAAAAAAAAAAGAAAGAAAGAAAGAAAAAAAGAAAAGAAAAAGAAAAAATCATACCGGTTTTCCTGAAAACTTTTTTGGAATGACAAATTAAGGGGTGGGGAATTGAGTAAATGAGTGGTCCACCACTCTTCCAGGACATTTTGGAAATTAAACCCTTCATTTCAGGTTATTTGTGTCAGGGCTGGCTGTGCCTGTGGGCAAATGAAATACAAAAGTTGCAGGTGCCATTCCTGCTCCTACCTACCTGAACCCCATTATAGCAGAAGTTATTTCCCTGTTACTAGGAAGCCAAGAGTATACTGTCATCAGGCCCTGATGTGACACTAAATTTATCTGTGACTTCTAAGGCAGTCAATCCTGCCTGTCACACCTGTGTCATTTCTCAAATATAAGCCTCACATGTCATCTCTCCTCTTGCATACTCTTAGCCAATAATTTTTTTGTTCTGCTTTCCACCTCTCTTGTTCTTCCTGTCATTCCTAATCCTTTTTACAGTGTTCCCTGGAATTTCCATTCCCCTTTCCATAGCAAGCAACCCTGTCCACTCCCACTCTTCCACCATCTAGTGTTAGTTCAAATCTGGATCTCCCATGAAGCTCTACTTCCTGAAGCTCTCTTAGGCAGATGGTGTTTATTCTACTGAGTTTTGTGGTGATGGTCATCATCATCTACCTGTTCTCTACCTAAACTTTTTTTCCTCCACATTTACATGAAGACCTCTTGGAGAACTTCTACTTTCAGGAAAATGATGTAGCTGTACTTTTACCCATTCCTCCTGCTAAGTACAAATAAAAACTATAGAGATTATATATGAAACAAACATGAGAAGATTCTGAAAGGTAGAAAGAAGAAAGCAAGCCAGCTGGGGACCTCAGGTCCTGATGAACAACAAGGCAATGAATTCCCTGGGTTTTCTTTTTGCCTCATACATCCCGGACTTGGACTGGCAATCTGGGAACAGCAAGAGGAGCAGACAGAAAGAAGCCCCAACAAAAGCCTGTTCTCTCTAGCCAAAGTACCAGGAAAGTGCCTAAGACAGAACATTTAGAAAATATATACCACTCCACTCCAACCAAGCACCACAGAAAGAACCGTGGCCTCACCCCAAGGGACATCAGCAAACCCTGAGTGAATATTCTTGACTTCCACCATTGCATGGCTGTAATGAGGCCCTCCTCTCATCAGAGTGATGTCAGAAGAAGCTGAGTATGGAGTCATGGCTTTCATCCCTACTGGATGATAACAAACACACTCCCCTTGTGGGAAGCCCGTTCTCCTATCTTTATCTGGCAGTAACAAGGCACCCTTCCCTACTGGGATGATGTCAGGGGAGGCTCAGTGGAGAGTCAGGACTTTTGCCACCAGTCAGCAATAATGAGGCAACCACCCCAGAGCTGTCATTGTCCAGAGCGTCAATGGAGGCTACATAGGGAGTTTAATGACATCTCAGATGACAACAGAGCTTGCCTGAGGGACTTGAACTTCTGTGCTCACTTGGCAGGGACAAGGTGGCACTTCTACTTCCCTTGCCAGAGCAGCGTCAGCAGAAACCAGCTAAAGCAAAAGGTTTAAATAAGATCCAGAGTATCATAATATAAGTGTCCAGGTTTCAATAAAACAATCATGTGTCATGCAAAGAACCAGAAAATTCTCAATTTGAATGAAAAAGACAATCAATGGATGCCAACACTGAGATGGCAGAGATGTTAGGATTCTATTATACACATTTAAAAGCAGTCATAATAAAGATCCTTTAATGAGCAATTGCAAGCATGATTGAAACCAATAAAAAAGTTGAAAATCTCAGCAAAGAAAGAGAAGAAATAAAGAAGAACCAAAGGGAAATTATAGAGCTGAAAATACAAGAATCAAAATAATAAACTCAATGGATGGGCTCAATAGCAGAATGGAGAGGCTAGTGAACAGAATCAGTGAATTTGAAGAAAGAACTATAAAAATTACCTAATCTGAACAAAAGAGAAAAAGAGACTGAAAAAAATAAACAGAGTTGTAATGAAAGATCTAACATCTGGGCACGGAAGTCCTGGAAGGAGAGGAGAAAGAGGATGGCACTAAAAAAGTGCTCAAAGAAATAATGGTTGAAAACTTCCCAAATTTGGTAAAATAAGTTAATATACAGTTTCCAGAAAGTAAGCAAACCCCCAAACAAGATAAACCCAAAGAAATCCACACCAAGTCACATAATAGTCACACTTCTGAAAATTAAAGCCAAAGATGAATCTTGCAGTAAAAGAGAAACAACACATTACCTATTAAGGAAAAACAATTCACATGACAGCAGATTTCTCATCAGAAACCACTGAGGCCAGAAGAAAATGGCACAACATTTTTCAGGTGCTCAAAGAAAAGAACTGTCAGTTTAGAATTCTACATCCAGTGAACATATCCATGACGAATGAAGAAGAAATCAAGACAATCTCAGGTGAAGAAAAGTAAGAGAATCTATTGCCAGCAGGCCCTACCCTAAAAGAATGGGTAAAGGAAGCTCTCTAAACAGAAAGGAAACGATAAAAGAAGGAATCTTAGAACACTAGGAAGAAAGAACAACAGGATGAATAAAAATATGGGTAAATACATTTTCCTTCTCTTCAGTCTTCTAAAGTATGTTTGATGTTTGAAGCAAAAGTTGTAACACTGTCTGATGTGTTTCTAAATGTATGCAGAAAAAAATATTTAAGATAATTATATTACAAAACAACAAAGGGCGAAGACACATAAAGAGAGGTAAGGTTTCTATACTTCTAACCCAAACTGGTAAAATGTATAGTAAACTGTGATAAATTATGTGTATGTACTGCAATACCTAGAGCAACCACTAAAAAAGCTATGCAAGGAGATACCTTCAAAAATACTATAGGTAAATCAAAATTGAATTTTTTAAAATGTTCAAGTAAAAGAATGTTCATCTACAGGAAGACAGGAAAAATGAGAACAGAGAAATGATAAACAGGAACAGTGTAAAACAAAATTATAAATGGAAGACATAGCTTTAACACATCAATAACTACATTAAATGTAACTGGTCTAAATGTATGAATTAACACAAAGAAATTGGCTTAGTGCATTAAAAACTCAACACAACTATATGGTGTCTACAAAAAACTAACTTCAAATATAATGATATAGGTAGGTTGAAAGTAAAAGGATGGAAAAAGATGTATCATGTGAACATTAGTCAAAAAAAAAGCAGGAGTGGCTATATTAATACTAGATAAAGTAGATTTCAGTGCAAAGAAAATTGCCAAAGACAGAGGGGGACATTACGTAATGATAAAAAGGTCAACCCTCCATAGCAATCTTAAATGTCTGTACATCAAATGACAAAGCTGCAAACTATGTGAAGCAAAACAACAACACCAAAAAAAAATCCAATATAACTAAAAGGAGAAATAGACAAATCCATAATCATATCTAGAAACTATGGTACCCCTCTCTCAATAGTTGATATAATGTATAGACAGGAAATTGAGCAAAGATATACAAGAACCCAACACAACCAACAATCAATAGGGTTTAATAGACTTTTATAGAATACGTCACCCAACAACAGACAAATACATATTATTTTCAAGTGTCCAGGGATCATATACCAAGACAGACGATGCCCTGACCATAAAACAAAACTTAACTCATTTTAAAGAATTGAAATAATACACTGTATGTTCTCTAAGCCCAAAGGCCTCAAACTAGAAATCAATAACTGAAAAAAAACAGGCAAGTATCCAAACAATTGCAATTGAAAGTAACACACTTCTAAATCATTCATGTGTCAAAGAGAAAATCTCAAGAAAAATTTTAAAAATCAAATTGATCAAGATTGAAAATGTACAAATCAAAACATATGAGACTCAGCTAAAGCAGAGAGGGAAATTTATGACATTAATTGTTTACATTAGAAGAGAAAAAGTTCCATATCAATAATATAAGCAGATCAAGAGCCTAGGAAAAGGAGAGGAAAATAAGCCTAAAGCAAGCAGAAAGAAGGAAATAATCAGAGCAAAAAAAAAAAAAAAAATCAATGAAATTGACAACAACAAAAAACAATAGAGAAAATCAATGAAACAAAAAAGCTGTTTTTGTTTTACAGAAAATCAGTAAAATTGACAAATTTCTGGCAAGACTGAAAAATAAAAAAGAGTGACAAATAAAATTACCAATATTAGGCTGGGCACAGTGGCTCATGCCTGTGATCCCAGGTGTGGCCGAGTCGGGCGGATTGCCTGAGCTCAGGAGTTCAAGACCAGCCTGAGCAACATGGTGAAACCCCGTCTCTACTAAAATACAACAAATTAGCCCAGCGTGGCAGCGTGCGCCTGCAGTCCCAGCTACTCGGAAGGCTGAGGCAGGAAAATCACTTGAACCCAGGAGGCGGAGGTTGCAGTGAGCTGAGATCGCACCACTGCACTCCAGCCTGGGCGACAGAATGAGACTCCGTCTCAAAAAAAAAACCACAAAAAAACAAAAAAGAATTAACACTAATTCTAACAATCTCTTACAGAAAATAGAAGGAGAGAGCTTTTTTTCAATTGTTTTTATTAAACTAGTATTACCCTGATACCAAACCAAAGACAGTACCAAAAAAGTAATACTATCTCTTGCAAATATAGATATAAAAATCCTTCAAAAATATTTCAGCAAATAAATTCACCACCATATTAAAAAAAGAATTATACACCATGACAAAGTGGGACTTATTCCAAGGATGCAAGTCTGGCTCAAATTCAAAATCAATCAATGTAATCCACCATAATAACAGGCTAAAGAAGAAAACTCACAGGATCATATCAATTGATGTAGGAAAAGCATTAGAAAATTCAACACCCATTCCTGATAAAAAGAAAAATCTCTGAACTAGCAATAGAGGGAGAATTTCTTCAACTTGATAAAGAACATCTACCAAAAAACTACAACTACCACTATATTTAATGGTGAAGGACTGATTTCCCTCTAAGATCAGAAAAAAGTTTGCTCTCACCATTCTTATTCAACAAAGTGCCAAAAGTTCTAGCCAGGGTAGTAAGAAACAAAAAAGAAATATAAGGCACAGACATTGGGAAAAAAGAAGTGAAAGTGTCCCTATTTGCAGATCATATGATTGTCTATGTGAAAAATCCTAAGAAATCTACAAAATATTCCTAGAATAAATGAGTTTAGCAAGGTGGCAGAATACAAGACAAAACATATAAAAGTCAATCACATTTCTATATACTAGCAATGGACATATGAAAACCAAAATTTAAAATATAATACCATTTACAATTGCTATAAAAGTTAAATACTATGTGTAAATCTAACAAAACATGTATGAGGGCTGGGCACCGTGGCTCACACCTGTAATCCCAGCATTTTGGGAGGCTGAGGCAAGCAGATCACTTGAGGCTAGGAATTCGAGACCAGCCTGGGCAACATGGTAAAACCCCGTCTCTACTAAAAATACGAAAATTAGCTGGGTGTGGTGGCACACGCCTGTAGTCCCAGCTACTTGGCAGGCTGAGGCAGGAGACTCTCTTGAACCCGGGAGGCAGAGGTTGCAGTGAGCTGAGATTGTGCCATTGCACTCCAGCCTGGGTGACAGAGAAGACTTCGTCTTGAAAAAAAAAAGTATGAAACATGTATGCCTCAAACTATAAAACACAAATGAAAGAAATAAAACAAGATGTACATAAATGGAGAGACATATCATGTCCATGGGTTGAAAGATTCAACATAGAAAAGATTGCAATTCTCACCAAATTTATATACTTGCTTAACACAATTTCTATCAAAATCCCAGCAAGATTTATTTTTTAGTTATAGGCAAGATTATCTCACAGTTTATATGGAAAGGCAAAGGAACTACAGTAGCTAAAGCAGTTTGGGGCAAGGAGAATAAAGTGGGAGGATAACTTTACCTAATATTAATGTTACCGTAATCAGAACAGTGTGGTTTGTTGGAGATACATAGATCAATGAAACAGAATAGAGATCCTAGAAATATACCCATATAAATATGCCAAACTGATTTCTGATAAAGGTGCAAAAACAACTCAAAAGAAGAAGGATAACCTTTTCAACAAATGGTGCTGTAGCAACTGGACCATCCATAAGCAAACAAACAAAACAAACAAAAAGGATCTCGACCTAAACCTCGCACATTACCACATTATACAAAAAACTCAAAATGGATCATAAACTTATATACAAAATGTCAAACTACAATACAT
Source organism: Homo sapiens (assembly GCF_000001405.40). Classification (NCBI taxonomy): domain Eukaryota; kingdom Metazoa; phylum Chordata; class Mammalia; order Primates; family Hominidae; genus Homo; species Homo sapiens. Next base: position 17,891,995 of record NC_000023.11, read on the forward strand.
TTGTTTTAAAAATAGCAGAATGTCTGAGCTCTAGAGCTAGACAAGAAGTCTTAGACTTGATACCAAAAGTGTGATATGATCCATAAAAGGAAAAATGGATAAATTGGACTTAATCTGCATAAAAGGTTTTGTTCTGTGTAAACCCTATAGAAGAAGGTAAAGACAAGCTATAGACTGAGATAAAATATTTGCAAACCACATATCCAACAAAGAACTAGTACCTAGAATATAGAAAGAACTCAAAAGTTAACATTAAAAACCTCAAACAACCCAATTATAAAATAGACAAAAGACACGAACAGACATTTCAACAAAGAGGATATACAGATGGCAAATACTCACAAGAAAAGATGTTCACCATCATGAACCATTTGGGAAATGCAAATTAAACCCACAAAGAGATATGCCTACACCTATCAGAATGGTAATAAAAAACAGTGACATCACCAAACACTGGCAAATGCTGACAAGGATGTAGAGAAACTGGATGGTTCATATACTACTGGTGGGGATGAAAAATGGCATAGCTAGTCTGGAAAATTGTTGAGTAATTATTTTTAAAAATGAGGCATGCCACTATCATATGATTCAGCAATTGTACTCCTGGGCACCCATCCCAGAAAAATGAAAACTTATGTTCATGCAAAAACCTGTTCATGAATGTCCATAGTCTCTTTATTCTTAATAGCCCCACACTGAAAACAACCCAGATGTCCTACCACAGGGGAATGGTTAAGCAGGCTATGGTGCTACTCAGCAATAAAAAGGAATGAACTATTGAGACACGAAAAAACTTGGATGACTTTCCAGGGAATTATGCTAAGTGAAAAAAAAAAGCACCAATCCCAAAAGATTAAAAGCTGTATGATACCATTTATATAACATTTCTGAAATGACAAAATTTTAGAACTTAGAACAGAGTAGTTGTTGCCAGTGGTTAGGGATGAGGTGGAGAGGTGGAAGAGAGGTGGATGTGGTTTAAGAGGGCAATATGAGAGATCCTTGCGGTGATGGAAATGTTCTGTATCTTGACTATATCAATGTCAATATCTTTGTTGTAATATTGCACTACAGTTTTGCAAGACATTAATTACCATTGGGGGGAAACTATTATTCTTTGTAATATTTATTAGCTGCATGTGAATCTACAATTATCTTGAATAAAAAGTTTGATTTAATACAAATCTTTTTAAATCTCCTGCTTTGAGAATCATTATCTTCTAGCTGCACCACTCACTATCTCTTTTTATCACTGTCATCCACCAGATGGAAGTCGATGATGACTTGGACTAGGGAGGAAGTGATGGAAATTGTGAGAAGTGGGTGGTTTCTGGGTGTATTTTAAAGGTCAAACCAAAAGGGGTTGCTGATGAATCAAATGTGAAATAAATGGAGGGATCCAAAAATGGCTCCAAAGTTTTTCCTGAGCCATCTGGATAATGGATTTCCTTCCTGAAATGGGGAAGACTGCAGGAGAAGCATGTTTTGGGGAAATGTTGGGAGTGTGGCTTTGGACATCCTGAGTTTGAGATTCCTAGACCTCCAAGTGGAGATGTACAATAGGCAGTGGAAAACATGAGTCTGGAGTGAAGAGGAAAGGTTACATCTGGAGAATCAAAGTGAGGAGTCATCAGCATATGGATAGTAATTGGTTATGAGTTTAGGCAAGATTGCCTAGGTAATAAGTATAGGAGAGAAGTAGCTTATGTCTGAGCTTAGGGACTCCAAAGTTTAGAGGACTGGGAATTAAGAGAAAACAGCAAAGACACTAAGAAGCAATGACCAATGATACAGAGGAAAGCAATGAGAAAGGAGGGCTTTGGAAATCAAGACCTAACTCTCTGACCATCCTTCTTGACCTTTTAAATGAATGAATGAATGAATAAATGGGCATCTGGTTTCATCTTCAGCCCTTCTAACCACCACGTATATGCAGATTCTCCCTAAATTATTGTCTTCAGCATTGACCTCTCCCTTAAAGTTCTAACTTATAAAATCCATTGACCATTGGACACTCTGTTGAGAGAACATAGGTACCTGTTCTAGTTATTCATTAATGCATAGCAAATCACCCATAAACTTAATGGCTTCAAACTATAACAATCATTTATTATCTCTCACAGTTTTTGTGGGTCAGGGACTCAGGAGTGACTTGGTTGGGCAGGTTTTGGCTCAGGATCTCTCAGATGGATGCAGACGGCTGGGATTGAAGTCATGTGAAAGCACACTCACTCACATAGTCTGGCACCTAGGCAGGGAAGACTCAAACCATTGGTCCAGGTACACCTCATCAATCTTGGAGTTATACAATGCACAATGCAATGGCAGAGTATGGCATTTCAGGCATAAACAAAGTGGTATCCAATCACCCTCCAACTCTCGTGGCTGGCAAAGTCCAAGTACATACCAGAACTCAGTCGTTTAGAACCAGAACCAGATGTTGGTTTTCCAGATATGGGACAGAATCTTACTAGATAGGACTGTATTATCCTTGTGTGTCTGTCACAGGCAGTCTGTTCTTCTGGGATGCCAAAATTGTTTATCTTAATCCCCCAAATCACTGCATTCTCTCATATGCATGTAATAAGCAACATTTACCTTGTTGACAATCCCTACAAGCCTCTCTGTGAGCTTTGTAGAAGATTGCCATTGTGGGAGCATTCTATGTGTCAGGGTTAGCAGATGTCTCGGTTTGTCAAGGCAGACATCCCAAGTTTTACACCTGTTATCCTACTTTTTAGTAGTACCCCTTTTACTCACCTCAAATATGTCCTGGTTAGATAATAAGTTTTATATACATATATAATTTCTCTACTCCAAATGTGTTTCCTCCTTGCAATTGTATTGTTTCAGAATTAGTCTTGAAGTGCAAATTATTCTTCCAGGAAGCAATAGGCTGATGTGTCAGCAAAGGGTTCTGAAAGAGAAAAGAAGCAGTCTTTCCCTAAGTGTGGGGTAGGGGAAACGTAAGAACCCAATGTGTCCAACGTCAAAACGGAATCCACATAGACACTATATATAAAGTCATTTTCCTCATAATAGTAATAAGTAAAGCACGCAGAAGCTCTC